>NC_000010.11:125678903-125990384 GCF_000001405.40 Homo sapiens | reverse complement strand
CTGCTCTGTTGCCCAGGCTGGAGAGTGCAGTGGTGCCACCATAGCTCACTGTAGCCTTGAACTCCTGGCTGAAGCGATACTCCTGCTCAGGCCACAGGCACACACACTGACTTATTTATTAAGGAACTCCCACAAGCTACAGATGGCCAACCCATCGTCCATCCTTTCGGAGCCCGCAATGTAGGTGAGAGACCAAAAGGTAGACAAATACTTAAGATGCAAGAAGTGTTCATAGAGGTGGGGGAATACTGCTCTGTACCTGGGGAGGAGGGAAGGCATGTGACAGAGGAGGGGAAAGCCACACGAGGAATCGCCCCTGCCATGCTTGCCCATGGAGCAGGCTCAGTGAGCACAGCAATGAAGTGAGTGCTCCAGGGAAGAAGGGCAGAGGTAGGGGAGTGTGCAGTGGCAGGAGGCCTGTGGGCGGTGGGGACAGCAAGAGGATGGGAGGGAGCAGAAAGGTAGCCTGGGACGGCATCCTGGCTGGGGTTGCCCGGAGTCTCTGTTCATATGCCTGACTCCCTTTGCCACCTCTTCCTCCTGCCCCTTCTCCTGCAATGCCCTCTGCCTTCCTTCAGCACACAGAGCTCATGTTCTGCTGTCTTTGCTTTCTCTTAAGAACCCCAGAGGTAAGTACCTTCCATGTTACAGCAAATGTTCTCAACACTGTCGGATGAAGGAACGAGCCCTCTTTTTTTACCTGCATCCCCAGAGTTGACCATTTCATATCACAAGTCTCCTCTGAAATTGTGTTTTTCACAGATAAACTCCCAGTTTGCTAAACTCAGATCCTGTCCCCTCATGCCAGGTCTGCAACTGAAGGTACCACAGCTCAAAAGCTGAGTTAACTCAAAAGCTGAGTTAACTTTAGTCTACACAAAACTTGTAATGAAGAAATGCCTAAAGGACACAGTTGAAAGCCATGGAAAGCACATACCTCCAAGCCAAATGCTACCTGGAATAAAACGGAAAAAGAGCTTTACTCACAAAAGGAAGGTTTCCTTTGTGCAACTGAAAAATTACTTGCCTGTGTTTTCAGTGGGTGGGCCGTGGAGAACACTTGTGACCATCCTAATTTTTACAAGGCTCTTGCTCAGAGATGGCCCTGGACATAGATAGCATCTTTAAAATGCTTTAAAATACCAATCTCAGAAACAACCTTAAAACTCAGCCGGCTGAAGGGCTCAGAGGTCTCCATGTGGGGCTCTCCCTCACAGGATTCTCCGTGGATGCAGCAGCACTGTTCGTTCACCCTCACTCACCGTGACCCCAGGAATCGGGTTTGTGTGGCGAGTTAAGACGCACACCCTGGGGTTGTCTAAAATGGATATGACACTGAATGGAGCTGCTTGCCCAAGGACGCTCAGGCAGGCAGCCTGCTTGGCTGTGTGGGGACGCTTAGGCTTACCCAGCCCACACCCCTGTGGCCCATTTCCTAAGAAAGGTGACTCCACCCTTTTGTGCTGAATGGCTACTAACAGGACAGTTCTGGCACAAAAATAGCTCTCCCAGTTTGTGAAAGCATAATTAGACTTCCCTGACATTACAAGTTATGGCAAGGCCCAACTAGCAAATATTATTGCAGTGTTTAAAAATTGTATCATTTCTGCTTCTGGTAAGGCCAAACGAGAGGCAGAATATTTTTTCTAAATTGCTTGTCATCTCCATTGATCTAGAGAGAGGTGAGTGTGGACGGTCTGAATACTCACTGGTTGTAGACACTGAGACGAGTGGGCTGTACTCACACTCCCCAGAGGGGCTGGTGACCTTCAGGCGAAATCTGTACAGCGTCCTTGGTTCCAGACCTTCAACAACATGCTTCGTTGCATATCCCCTAGACAGGAGGAGACAAACATGCTGATAACACCAGGTAGCTTAATCTGCACTCTCTGATAAGACAGCAGAAGAGCAGGTGGAAGTGATTTTCCTTCTATTTCCAGGACACAGCCGATGGATCCTGCTTTGCTGAACTCCGAGAGAATGAAGGACAAGTCCCACATGGCGCCCCATCCCTATCCAGCAGGTGCACTCTGTCCCATAGGGCCTAGTCCAGGGCCTGACACATAGCCAGCATACTGTTTTGTACTTTGGAGAAATAATCACGTTAACCACGACATTTGCCCTCAAGTAACAAAGTTTTATATTTGAAAGATAAGACAGGCAGTCAAATCATATATTTGTAATTTTCAAGTGGGGGCCATCTAGTGATGGGGGCTGCAAGGCTAATACATGGCTGTATAACTATTGCAGGCAAAATACCACTGCAGGGAAAGGACCTGAAGAAGTCACATGCAAGATTGCTCGTAGTCCATAAGCAACTTCCAGTAGAGCTGGGAGCTCAGGCAGCACATAGAAGACAATGCTAACATCATGCCCCATGGTCAAGTTCATCTTAGGAATGTTTGTGGGAAATGGATGCTGAGCACTTCTGGGATAGAAATCTGATGAGAGACTCACGATGGAAATCCACACACCTCCAGAGGGAAGTAGTACTGAGTCTCATCATTTGCAGTCTGCAAAATCAGCACCAAGAAATGCCTGCCTGCTCAGAAGATGCTGGGACCTAGCGCAAGTGCTAAGATAAGACCCCACCTTCTGCTTGTGAGGCAGGTCCCAGGAGCCTGGCTTTGACTTGGCATGCATTCTACAATATCAGGTCTCCAAAAGTTGACAGAGCTGTATATATTTCCCAGTATTACCCAAAACCTCCATGTTACCCATTTCTCTTTTCTGCCAACATTCTTTCTTCTTATCCGACTAAACTCCATGTATCCCTTTTCAAATCTTATCTCTAAATTTTTCTTTTCTTCTACTCAAAGCCTTGGTTTTTGAGAGGGTGTGTGTGTGTGTGTGTGTCATTTCCAGCTCTTTCTTCTTTCCTGCTTCAACACTTAATCCAGTTCTTGTTCTCCTCCCTTGGACCATTCTCCATAGCTCCTTAGATGCCAAGGTTACCATTGTTTCCTCCTTTTGTTTTTTCCTGTCTCTAGTTTTTACTTTTATTCTCAATAGATCCTCCAAAGATACCAGAATCATTCTTTGTGATTCACAACTAATTTTTCCAGGATGTTTATGTGCAACTAAATATTTATACATCAATTCCATTCCATACAACTCAACAAGTGTATCTAGTGCCCATTATTTGCAAGGTGCTGGGACAGGCTGGGATGTAGTCCTGAACCAGCTCAGGGCCAAAATGAACCTGTCAACACTGAGTTGACCCCAACTTCCTACTGATGGGGTCCAAGAAAAGGGGCAGTCAAGGACAGTGAAGAAGGGACAACTGAGCAAGGGTGAAATGACAGTGCTGGAGTTAGCATCACTAATAAACACTTGAAAACCTGACTTCAGATCTGGATCAGGTGGGTGAGCTAACACCTCACCTAATCATCAAACAGCCTTGCCCACTCACTCCCAGCCCCCACTGGATTCTTTCTCCTAAAGGATGAGGCATGGCACAAAGTGTGTGGCTAAAGAACAGACCCAACACTTGTCCTAGAGGGAGGAGTATCCCCAAAGGAGAAGCCAGAAGGTCTAAGTTCCTTCCGCCAAATTCATCCATCAAACAAGTAATTCCCCCACTGAGGAACAGGCATGGGGCAGGAACAGGTACCTGAGAAACAGGTACAGGGCAGAGGGAATGAGGTGCCAGGACAGTGTCCTCTGGTTGAGGTATCTCTGATGTCAAGTGAGAAATGGCATAAAGGACTTCCATGACAGACAGGCAGACGTCTCCCAGGCAGTCTGAGAAAGGGACTTCCCAGTAGGGTTGAAAGAACACACAACACCTGGGAAAGTCATGGTCTAGGTACTCTCACTGCGGTGAGTCAGGGCGCAGAAGAGTCTGGCACGTCCAGGAAAGAGGTGCCTCCGTGAAATCTGGAGACAACTCTAACATCATAATTCTAACATCTAACAGAACCTTTTTTTGAAAACTGAAAAACATTTACAAAGACTTTCTTCACTTGATGTTTCTGTCCTTTGTTAAAATGTGAAATTTCAAGGTAAAATCAAACACTGAACGTTCAATGATCCTGTTTTTGCATCACAAAGTTACTTCAGACACCAAATCTAAATGACTTCTCGGGTGTAGCACCAGCAGAGCCAAGAAAAAGACTAAGCACATTGAGGCACCTCTGACCACGTACGTGTCTCTGCCTCCCTGCTCTGTGCTGGTGGATTCAGTCTCCTAACTGACATCATCTTTGCCAGAAACACATTTCTCTTCACCTAAAAGAAGCCAAATGAGCTGGAAGTCAAGCTGACCTCCACAGTCTCCACCATCCCCGCAGGAACATGTTCCTCCCCTGCCAGAGTTAGAGTCTAGTTCCTCTCCCCTTGAACAGGATGGGAAGTGGTAGAAGAGAATCTGTACAGCTCTGGGTCTGGGCCTTAAGATGCCCAGAAGTTTCTGCTTCTCCTCCCTTGGAAGCAGGGAGGAGAAGCTCAACTTCCCTGTTAGAGAAAGAGGCCACCTAGTAAGACAGTCAGTGGAAGATCCAGACCACAAAGGAGATGAAAAAGCCCAGCCAGTCTCCTGCTGTCCTGGCCATCCCAGCTGATGCATCACACATGGGTGAAGCCATTTGGTTCTTCCAGCCCCAAGAGAGCTGCAACGGCCAAGACCACATGGGGCAGAAACAAGCCATCAACACCCTAGCCAAATTACAGATCATGAGCAAACACATGCCTGTTTCTGCTGTCAACCACTAAGTCTGGGGCTGGTTTGTCATGCAGCAGATAACTGAGATAGTATGTATCAACAAAAAAGAAACTGTAGGAAAGACAATGAAGAAATAACGCCAATGGCATTACAGAAACTTTTCGATCAAGAAACCGAGAAGTAGATAAGTGTTAAAAATTGATATAAACACATTTACCATAAAAGTAAAAGCTCTAAAACCAAGATAAATATTCAGAAAAACCGCCAGGGCTAAAAAGTAATAATTTTTTTAAAACTAAAATGTATCAGCCTGGCACAAAGTAGTCTTATGAGTAGGTAGATTTTGATGTTAAATGAAAATAGGTCCATGAATACTTAGATATTTGAGTCATAGAAACTGAGCCCTCAATAATGTGTGGCATCTGAAAAGATCTTTAGAAGTTCAGTGAGAATATAATAGCCAAGCCTCACCAGAATTCAGTGCAAGGTGTCAAAGACTTAGCATAGCATTAGACCAAAATAAAACCAGAAGTGCTCCCAATAAAATTCAGTATTGCTAAATATCATAAGGTCACCCTGAAGCAAACAGCACCTCCATAACCCCTGGAAAGGGAAATAACGCAACTGTGTTAGAAACCAGATGTTACCAAGCACGCTTGTCAAAGGCTGAAGATTCTTGCATCACTAGAGATGGCTCCAAAGAGGACAAAAGCCACAGCAGGGACCAGGACACAACTGCCCACCAGGGTACTCTACAGCGATTACAACACAGGCGCAGGGAGGACTCATGAGAGCAGTTCATTGAACCCATGGAGAAGCGCAACTTTACCTAGACATGACAGCTGAAAAAATAAATGAATCTTAGAGTGACTTCCACAGTAGAGGAAAGTCTACAAAAATTTAAAGCATAGCCTTGTTTTTGTTATCAGTCAATAAGCAAATGTTTGATGCAAGAGCTGAGCAAATATGAAACATAAGAAGCTAAATAAATATTGAAAAGCCCCAAGACTCAGTTACCAGACTTCCCTTTCTTCTCTAAACTCCCTCCCCCAGAATTCCAATCCAGCCTCATGCTGATGACTCTGGAGTCTGTCTCTCCAACCCAGACCCTTTCCCTGGCCCTTGACATCCCCAACACCCTCCCTGACATCTCGGCTTGGACGTCAGACAGTTTCAAACTGAGCATCTACTCCACCCACAGTCTTCCCCATCTCTGTTATTACAGTTGCTCAGGCCAGACCCTGGGTGCCTCCTGTGGAAGACTGGATTGTTGTTCAGAGACACAAGGTGCCCTCCCACAAGGATTCTATCTACCTCCCCGCCCTGTTGAACTCGGACATGGCTGCATGTCTTGCTTTGAGCAATGAAGTATACACAGAAGTGAAGTATGTCATTCTGGGCAGAAGCTTCAAGAAACAGCATGCCATGCTCTCTCCCCTGCTACAGTGACTGACAATGTTCACGCAGAGGCTGCCGCATGGCCTGGGCTGTGGCAGGAGGACAATGCAGGATGGAGCCCTGGCCGACCCACGGTGGGCATGGTGTGTAGGAGGGAATCACTGCTGCCATAAGCCACTGAGACTGTGACGCTGATGCTTCCAGCAGCATCACTGGGCCTGTGCTGGCTACCACATATCCCTTGACCATCCTCTCTCTCACATCCCGTATCTCACATCCCATATTCGGTCCACCACCAAGTTCTTAAATCCATCTTTAAAGCATATCCTGCATCCTCCCACTTTCCACACTGTTGTGTTGTCTCCCACCTAAACTGTTTCAAAAGCTTCTTCATCAGTCCTCCCTGCTGCTTGCTGCCTGGCCTCCCTACAGCCTGTTCCCAACTCAGCAGCCAGAGGGATCCTCGTAAAACATAAGCCGGATCACACCTCTTCTCAGCTTCACAATCTCCAGTGGCTTTCCCCGCCTCTCTCAGAGTAAGCCAGAGTTCTCCCAATAACCCTCAAGGCCCAGGCAGTGACCTCTCATGACCCAGCTGCCCTCGCCCCCATTATTTTCCTCCTTGTTCCCTCTGTTCCTCAATGCTCCTGGGACCAGCCAGGTACATTTGTACTGCCAGGCTTTCTCACCTGCCCTTTGCTATGTCTGGAAGGTTCTTCCCCCAGATAGTTGCAAGGCTCCAGGTATCCTTGCTTCAGATCTACTCAGAAGCTACCTTCTTGGTGAAGACTTCCCCACCTCTACCCCAGGCCCTCAATTTTTCCTATGCTGCTGCCCCTCAGTATGTATTGCCTGCTGACTACCTATTTTTACTTATGTATCTTATTTATTGTTTGCCTTCATCATCATGAGGGAGGAATTTTTTCCCAGTGCCGTATCCCCAGCATCCGGAGCAGTGTCTGACACACGGCAGACACTCAATAATACACGCTGATGGAATAAATGGAATGCGTGGCATGGGCAGCAACGATCACAGGAATTTAGGGCACAGACAATAGGGTAGTAAGGAGAGCTTCTCAGTGGAGGTAAAATCTGACCAGGGCAGAAGAAAGAATAGGGTGAGAGGGGAAAATCTGTCCAAACAGGGAAAACAACTGAACACACATGCAGAAAACGTCAAGGCATATTCAAAGGACAGTAAGAAATCTGACTGGAGGGTTTGTGCTGAGAAATAAGAGGCAACAAGAAAGGCAGGTGTAGGGAAACTGTGAAAGACATTAAATGTTAGTCTAAGGAATTTGGCCTTTATCCTTTAAGCAATGGAGGACCCACCAAAGACAATGTGACAAAAGAAAGATTAAAATGGAAATTAGCCCAGCAAGATAGAATGATGAGAAAAAAAAAAAAGGAATAAAGTCAACTCCTTCCATCAGAAAATACACTGGGCAGGTGTAGGAGCTGGGGATCCACAAATGAGCTAGACAGAAATAAAGCCTACATCCTGCAGGGGAAAACGCAGCTAAAGAGGGAAAGCACAGAAGCAATTCTACAAATGGAGAACTCAGTAACTGACTGGCTATGAGAAGCCATGGAGGAAAGCCCAAGTCAAAGACAATATCATTGTTTCCAGATAGACTGATGACTGATGGGAACAGAAACTGACAAATCAGGAAGAAGTTCTTAAATCCACAATCCAAACATCAGGTATTCTAGATAACCACTTTTTACAAGAAAAGCATTTGCTAGTTTTAATGCTATGTAGAGAAAGAAATAAGGAAGCAAAAGAGGTCAAGATTAATGCAGCCTAATTCTGCCACCTAGCGTCAAGATTTGTACTTGTAATTCTGTGAGAAACGCAGGCATTTCCCCACTGTCCTTAGAGCAGGGACCACAGATGTCACTGCCAGCCCCACAATGCCAGGCTGTCGTCAGAGTGAGAGTGCGTTCTCCAGCCTGACAGCAACCAGGTCTCTGGGGAGAATGCAGACAACACAGACACACACCTCAGGCTGGAAGCCAGCACACGCAGCTATGGTTTCTCTAGCTGAGGCTGCCTACCTGGCCACCCAGCAAAGGCACAGCCAAGGAAGAAAGAACGATGCAGGATGGCCCCATTCACCTGCCCAACACAGCTTGTGGTGCTAAGGTGATGGGGGAAAGAAAGATGTCTTTTTCTTTCTCAAGAGAAATGTTTCTCATAATTCATGCTTTTAGATAGAAAAAGCATACCTTCAATAAGTAAAACGACATGATTAAAATAACATTTGAGTAGTCAGAACAAGAACTATTTTTACATTGCAACTACATTTCAGATTTTTCTTAAGGTACAGAGAAATTTCTCAAATATCAGATATATTATCACTCAAGTAACAGTTGAAATTGGAGCTTTCATATACAGATTATATACATATTTATAGATATTTATACACACATACACATAAACATATCTATCTTCTCATGTCAGCACTTTTATCACAATGCAAACTTGAGAAAAGGCCAGGAAAGTGATGAACCTGTTCTGCATCTTGACTGCATCAATGCCAATATCCTGACTGTGACACTGCACTATTATTTTCAAAGATGTTACCATAGGGGAGAAATGGGAAAAGGTACAATCACTCTTTCTTACAACTGGATATGAATCTATAATTATTTCAAAATTAAAAGTTTCACTAAAAACCATATTTGTATCTCATTTTTGGTATTCCTGAATCACAAAATAGTCATTTTGCATTTTTCAAGTGGTAAATCTATCAAGGGGAAGAAATAAGTCAGAGATGATATGAAGACTAAGAAGAAAAACATAACTTTTTTTTTTTTTTTTTTTGAGACAGGGTCTCACTCTGTCACCCAGGCTGGAGTGCAGTGGCACAATCATGGCTCACTGCAGCCTCGACCTCCCAGGCTCAAGTGATCCTCCCACCTCAGCCCGGGACTACAGGCATAAGCCACCACACCTGGCTAACTTTTGGATTTTTTGTAGAGATGGGATTTCACTATGTTGCCTAGGCTGGTCTTGAACATCCAGGTTCAAGGGATCTGCCCACTTCAGCCTCCCACAGTGCTGAGATTACAGGCATGAGCCACCATGCCTGGCCAAAAGTGACTTCTTCATTACTCCTGGTGGTATTGGTTCATGCCAGAAGCATTTGGAAGGCCTGCTATATAACAGCCAGCACTGTCAAGGAACCGGCTAGAGCGTTAAGCAGGCAGAAGTCTTATTTGTCTCTCACTGAGTTTAATACTGGGTGAGGAGGCAGGAAAGGAACAAGAAGTAAACAAGTAAACAACAAGGTAAACAAACTAAGCAAACAAGTAAACAAGTAAAATAAGCCCAACAGAGCTAAATGCTATGTGGCATACAAAACAAGGTTCTGAGCTACAGGAGGCCTGCATGAAAGGATGGCTACTTCAGATGGCCTTCTGGGGGCGGGGGGATGTTTCATCTGAGATTGGCATGGTGTGAAGGAACCAGCTGTATAAAAACAGAAGGAAATGTATTCAAGACCACAGCAACGAGCAAGATCCTGCGATGGGAACCAGCTTGGCCTGTCCAGGCTGAGAGGCAGCCAGCGTGGTATAAGAGAGTTGACAAGGGGACAATGGTATGACATGAGATCAGAGAAGCTAGCCAGGGTAGACCATGCGGGGCCATTCCACGTCAGTGAACACAACAGCCTGATGGGAAGCTCACCTAATTGCATCAAGCTATTGTTTGAGTCTGTCTCTACATTCTGGATTTTAAATACATATCATTAAAATATTTCAGAAGTCAAAGAAGCTCTCAAAGGTACAGAGGTTTAATTTCAAAGTTACTGCTAATGCCTATTTTCCAAAAATTGTAATTCATAAAAGAGCATGAATACAAATGATGCTGACTCATTCTTTAATTTGAAACAAGCAGTGGCTTTTTAGAGACAACAGAAATCATTCCAGCTAATCAGGAAGTAAGGCAAAGTGGCAAGCAATTCAACACTGCACCTACGTATAAATGATACCATAAGTGTGCATTTTGGGGTCTTCTTCTTCAATCGAGAACCTGAACCACTGCTCTTGAGGTCCTTGGCGTTTGGCTTTCTTTTCCAGATCCCAGTATAATTCAATGCTGTGATGAGTCACTTTGCCCACGACAGGTGGATGAGGCTTTGAGGGTGGCATGATTTCTAAAAAAAAGAATGACACCGAACTTCAGGACCCAGTTTCCATAAGGAAGAGAGACCAGTCGAGTGGATTACAGCTGCTTGGTGATCGAGCTATTTTTCTGAGCATAAGGCACACATATGAGCATACCTCCCTGTTGCTTAAAGAACCCCTGAAAAGCTAAAGAGATACAAAATTCAGCTGATGTGTGAGCTACCACAGTCTTCAACAAGCATATATTGTACCATGCCCATCAATATCATACCACCCCCACTGACCCTTCCAAAGGGCTGCTTAACATATCAAACTAATAAGGTTGTATTTGACCTGCTGGAACTCAGTTTGCTTCTGTAATCCTTCAGTGACTAACAAAGCCAAGAGACAAATGCTCTATCTGATCCAAGTATGTGGAACATAGATGACAAAGGGTTGACACCTATGCTGTATAAACAGCCCTCAGAAACTAACCAGGAATAAAGGCCCAAGGTTAGTAACAAACCTAGCAAAAGATGAGCAGCACACAAAAGAGCAAAAACAAATTGCCAAGGTAATATCTGGAAAGATGCTCATATCATCCCCTAGTGCTCACAGAAATTGGTAACAATGGGGTATAACTTTATATCCAGTCAGAAACTGAAAAAGAAATTTCATAACTATTGGAGTTCACAAGATAGGGAGAGGATATTCTCATGTGCCAGTTGTAGTGAAATATGAATTATCGCCTTTTTAGAGGGCAATATGGAAGCATCTATTAAAATTAAAAATACACATATCCCTGTCTCACCATCCCACCCCTGGAAACTTCTGCAGAAATCAGAGCATAAATACACACAAGAGTGAGTGGCCAAGATGGCTGACTAGAAGCAGCTGGTGTACCTGACTCTCACGGAGAGGAACAGAAGGGGCGAGTGAATACAACACCTTCAACTGAAACAGCCAGATACTCGCACTGGGACTAATCAAGGAAACAACCTGACCCACAGAGAACAAAGAAAAGCAAGACAGGACAATGGCCCCCCGGGGGTCAGCACGGAGCCAGGGGATACTCCCCTGCCCAGAGAAGCAATGACCGAATGAGCGACCCAGAAACCATGCTTCTCCCACAGATCTTTGCAAACCTCAGGTCAGGAGCTCTCCACGTAAACCCCTCTCTACCAGTGCCTTCAGTCTTCATTCTGACAGAGCAGCGTGGAGTCTTGGCAGAGCAGCCGCTCAGGCACGCGTGGAGACCCTGGAGCCTTAGCTACTCAGGCTTTCCAGCAAAAGTAGCCGTAGCTCTGGCAAAGTGAGAGGTTAGACTCCTGTACATACACTTAGGAAAGAGGATGAATCCAGGCAGCTAAGCAGCAACAGCCCCCACTTCCACTGCACCTCACGAGATAAGACCCACTGGCTTGGAATTCCAGCCAGCTACCAGTAGCGGCATTGCACCACCCTAAGAAGGAGCTCCCAGGGGGAGGGGCAGGCCACCAGCTTTGCTGTTTGGGCACCTTAGCCATTCTAGCTTTCAGGCTTTGGAGAGTCCGAGCCAACACAGGGCAGAAGGGATCCCCCAGTACAGCATAGCTGCTCTACCGAAACGTGGCCGGACAGCTGCTTTAAGCAGGTACCTATCCCGTTCCCTCACTGGGCAGGACCTTCCAACTGGGGCCTCTAGCCACCCCTGCCCGAGCTGTCCATCTGACAGATGGACATTGAATTTCCCCTGGGATGGCACTCCCAGAGGGAGAGGTAGGCCACCATCTTTACTGTTCAGGTGCCTTAGCTGTTCCAGCCTTTGAGCCTCATAGTATCCGAGGCGATCAGGGGCTGAAGCGGACCCCTAGCACAGCACAACTGCTCTCCCAAAATGTGGCCACTTTTTTAAGTGGGTCCCAATCCCGTTCCTCCTCACTGGCCGGGACCTCCCAACCAGGGTCTCCAGTCACTTCCTACAGGTGCCTTTGGGCCGACACCAGGTCCATACCTCCCTGGGACGAAGCTCCCAGAGGGAGGGACAGGCTGCCATATTTGCTGTTTCTCAGCCTTCACTGGTGACACCTCCAGGTTCTGGAAAATCTGAGGTGACTAGGGACTGGAGCAGGCCCCAAGCATACCACAGCAGCCCTATGGAAAAGTGGGCAGACTTGTCCATATCTCCTCACTGGACAGGTCCTCCAGGCCTGGGCCTCCAGCCACCCCCGCCAGAGCTGTGGAGCCAGTACCAACTCAGCAACTCCCCGAACAGAGCCTCCAGGGGCAACTGAAAGCCTCTCTGCCACTATCTCAGCAGTGGAACTGCCCTTGCCACCTTCAAACTAACAAAGGAGCAAAGACTCTAAGAGTACCTTATCTACACCTCCAATAAGCTACAGTCGACCCAAGGAGAGGCAGCCAGTCTGTCTCCTACAGGTCCCACACCCACTCTCCCCAGCATGGCTCATCACCAGACAGGGAACCCCTGGCTTGGGCACACAGCACAAACCCTACATCTTGGGCTGACTGCACCAAGTGATTGCTGACCCACATCTCTCTGAGGTGGAGCAAGCAAATAACCCCCGGCCACAACCCCTGCTAAGATCTCTTCCTCTGCTGCCTCTAAGCTGAGAAAGGAACATAAACACTGAGATCACCCCAGAGCTGCAGTGGGCATCCCAGGAGTGCCAAGGAGAGCCAGCACTCAAGTGGGAGAGGAACACACAGTTTCAGAGCACTGAAAGGGAGCATGACGGAAACTGTGAGGAAACAGGGGAGCCACGCAACCAAACAAGAGTCTAGCAACTGACCAATTCACCTAAGCGCCACCTACTGGATCACACCCCAAAGCTTCAATACCAAAAACACCTCATTAACATACCCCCCTCTGAAACCAGAGACAACAAGTAAGCTTCAAATAAAGACCCTACATAAAGCATCAGCCCAGTGAAAACATCCAGAAAAGAAGTCTGTTGACCGTACTCAATCTACATTAAAGGAACACCCACACTCAGATGAGAAAGAACCAGCAAGAACTCTGATAACACTCAGATGGCCAGAGTGTCATACGCCCTCCAAATGGCCACACCAGTTCTCCAATAAGAGTTTGTAACCAGGCAGAACTGGCTGGAATACAGAATATGGATAGGAACAAAGATCACTGAGATTCAGGAGGATGTTGAAACCAAATCTAAGGAAAAGAACAATCACAGTAAAATGATATAGAAGCTGAAGGATAGAATAGCCAGCATAAAAAAAAACCTAACGGGTCTGACAGAGCTAAATAATGCAATATGATAATTTTATGACCGGGCACAGTAGCTCACTCCAGTAATCCCAGCACTTTGGGAGGCTGAGGCAGATGGATTGCCTGAGGTCAGGAATTTCAGGACAGCCTGGCCAACATGGTGAAACCCCGTCTCTACTAAAAATACAAAAATTAGCCAGGCATAGTGGCAGGCACCTGTAGTCCCAGCTACTCAGGAGGCTGAGGTAGGAGAATCGCTTGAACCTGGGAGGCAGAGACTGCAGTGAGCGGAGATTGTTCCACTGCACTCCAGCCTGGGTGACAGAGCGAGATTCCGTCTCAGGGAAAAAAAAAAAATTTACAATGCAATCACAAGTATTAACAGCTGAATAAACCTAACTGAGGAAAGAATCTCAGAACTTGAAGACTGGTTCTCTGAAATAGGACAGTCAGACAAAAATGAAAAAATAAATAAAAATGAATAAAACCTCAGAGAAGAATGGATTATGTAAAGAGGCCAAATCTACAAATCACTGGCATCCCTGAAAGGGAGAGAGAAAGCAAACAACTTGGAAAATATATTCCTAGATATCATCCCTGAAAACTTCCCTAACCTTACTAGAGGGACCTACAGTCAAACTCAGGAAATACAGGGAACTCCTGCAAGATTCTACACAAGAAGATCATCTTCAAGACACATAATTGTCAGGTTTTCCAACGTTGAAATGAAAGAATGTTAAAGGCAGCTAGAGAGAAAGGGCAGGTCACTTACAAAGGGATCCCCTTAGGCTAACAGTGAAACCCTACAAGCCAGAAGAGATTAGAGGCCTATATTCAACATTCTTTAAAAAAAAAAAAAAAATCTTCAACCAATAATTTCATATCCTGCCAAACTAAGCTTCCTAAGTGAAGGAGAAACAAGATCCTTTTCAGGTAAGCAAATGTTGAGGAACTTCATTACCAGACCTGCCTTATAAGAGATCTTGGAAGGAACAGTAAATATAGAAAGGAAAGACCGCTACCAGCTGATACAAAAATACACTTAAACACACAGACTAGTGTCACTGTAAAGCAACCACACAAACAAGCCAACATAATAACCAGCTAATGACAGGATCAGTGACAGCACCAGCTGACAGGATCAATGATATGATCAAACAGCACAATGTCAGGATCAAATCCACACATATCAATACTAACCTTGAATGTAAACAGGCTAAATGCCCCACTTAAAAGGCACAGAATGGGAGAAAATATTTGCAAACTATGTATCTGACAAAGGTCTAATATCCAGCATCCATAAAGAACTTAAACACATTTACAAGAGAAAAATAAACAACCCCATTAAAAATTGAGCAAAAGACATAAACAGACACTTCTCAAAAGAAGACATACATGTGGCCAACAAGCATATCA
Source organism: Homo sapiens (assembly GCF_000001405.40). Taxonomy (NCBI): domain Eukaryota; kingdom Metazoa; phylum Chordata; class Mammalia; order Primates; family Hominidae; genus Homo; species Homo sapiens. The sequence goes on along the minus strand of NC_000010.11, from coordinate 125,975,565 downwards.
AAACCACAAAGAGAGGCCATCTCACACCAGTCAGAATGGCCATTATTAAAAAGCCAAAAAAATAATAGATGCTGGCAAGGTCACAAAGGGAACCTTTATACACTGTTGGTGGGATAAATTTGTTCAACGATTGTGGAAAGCAGTATGGCAATTCCACAAAGAGCTAAAACCAGAACTGCTATTTGACCCAGGAATCCCATTACTGGGTATATACCCAGAGGAATATAAACCATTCTACCATAAACACACATGCATGTGAATGTTCACTGCAGGACTGTTCATAATAGCAAAGACATGGAATCAACCTAAATGTCCATCAATGACAGACTGGATAAAGAAAATGTGGTACATATACACTATGAAATATTATGCAGCCATAAAAAAGAAAGAGATCAGGTCTTGTGCGGGAACATGGATGGAACTGGAGGCTATCATCTTTAGCAATCTAATGCAGGAACACAAAATCAAATACCGCATGTTCTCTTTTATAAGAGGAAGCTAAATGAGAAGAACTTAGGAACACAAAGAAGGAAACAACAGACCCTGGGGTCTACCTGAAGCGGGAGGGTGAGAGGAGCAGAAAAGGTAACTATTGGGTATTGAGCGTATTACCTGGGTGATGTAATACTATGTACAACAAACTCCTGTGACTCATATTTATCTGTGTGACAAACCTTCACACGTACCCCCAAACCTAAAATAAAAATTAAAAAAATAAAAATAGATACACACAAAGACACATAGGACATTACTACAGTTTTCAGCAGTTTACAACAAAACAAAACAAAAGATGACCCATTTATAAGAGACTGGACAAATAAGTTATTCTATGTCCATAAAGTGGAACATTATACACCCTTTGAAAAATGAATTTGTTCTATACTAGGTGCTTTGAAAGGACCTCCACTAAGTATTGTTGGGTGAGAAATCAAGGTGCAAAGAAAAACACAGAATATCTCATTTTTGCCAAAGGTAACAAGGGGTGCAGTAGAGTGTATACCAAGCTGTGTAGCATGCAATTGTTCTATGTTAGTTTTGTCTCCCCTGCTACACTTTAAGTTTCTTACAGGCTGGGTCCATGTCTTACACTTCCTTTGAAACTTCTCCCTGTAACTCAATCCTTCTTGAGCCTCAAATATATCACAGATTTACTGCATTGTTCATTTAAAAAAAAAGGATCTTGTATTTCCCTTGAGCCAATGTCCCAAGTAGCTGACCAGCACCCTCTGAAGACCCAGGGGTCTTCCTGCAGTGCAGACCCACTGACGAAGACAGGGCTGCCCTGGTCTTGCCACCCCAGGCCAGTGGGGCACACAGCCAACAATTTCCCTTACACGAAGACCCCAGAGATATGCTAGGAGGCAGCCTGCAAGCTCACTTTCCCAACTTTATTTTCCAAATGTTTATAGAAAGCATGATGGAATTGGATAAACCTAGGTTTGAATATGTTCTCTGAAACTGAGTTAAAAATACCACAAAGTGTTTTGTGATAATTAAGTTACAAAGTATCTAAATAAATGATGGCATATTTCCTACAGTAAAATCCTATACAACAACTAAAAGAAATTAGCTGTATGAGTTTTGTATACACCTGCATCAACATAGATCAATTCAAAATGGATGGGTGGAAAACATGGGTTGCAAAAGGACACACTACATAACACGCAAAAAACACTACATGTTATTTATGAATGCACAGATATGTAGTAAAAGTTAAAAAGCTGAAGGGAAGAACATACACCACCTCAACAACATAACGGAAGGGATGGGGGCATGATGGGCAGGAGGGGGGTCTTACCAGTATATTTGTAAGGTTTGATTTCTTCATGAAAAGACTTTATGACATATATGGCAAAATGTTAACATCTTAAACCAAATGGTACATTGAGTACATTACCATTTGAAATAATTTTGATATGTTTAAAATATTAGTTTTTGAAAAATAACCATAAAAATCAACAGTATACATTACCCTTATGGGCCTCTTGGTTTTCTTAGAGAAACCAATTTCAGGGTTCTAGATACTGAGGGATACATGTGGAAGAAGGAACTACTGAACCAGACACTGACCTCTTACTGTGAGTCATCTCACTGAATCCCAGCAATTCTGGCTGGTGATGTCACAATGACTCACATCTTCACGTCCTTGTATCACGACATCAGTGTTGAACAAATGATTTTTTTCACAGCCCACTAAAACCAAACACCAGGAATGGTAGACTGTTATGGATTACCCCCAAAATAACCAGAAGCCAACAAGTATTTCAATTCCAAAGACATCCAGCCTAGAATCCTACTAGAGATCAGAACAGGCAAGAAATTCTAAATTAATGTCAAATTTCAAAACAGTTCACCATGAAGTTATATGAGGAGTAAAAAGATAACATTCCCAGAGACCCAAAAGTTTCTTATGGCTTGTTCTTTACTGATCATTGATGTAGGTACATAATGAGAGATCTCCATCAGTGAGCTTGGCACCAGCCACAGGTGGCCCACTGCCACCAGAGCTGGGCACAGGCCCACTTCCAGCTGCTACTCATGATGGAGCAAAAACCCTCACTTCTAGCCATCACCCCTCCAGATCTGGTACAGAGCCCGGAAAAGGTGGGTGTGGTGCTTGGAAAGTTGGTTCGTGTGTGTGTGTGTGTGTGTGTGTGTGTGTGTGTGTGTGTTGGGGGCAGGTAGTGATCCAAATGTAATGGCAGCATGGTCTCTCCAAGGAAGCCTTAGGTGTGAGTGAAGCCTCAGTGAACACACACACGTGTCAGCAATGGACCAGCTGCTGCCAAATCACACAACTACGCAACACGTTGCTCAGAAATGCCAATGGTTAGTGTACGCCCCACTGATAATGTTCCTGCATCTTCTTTACTTTCATACAAAACTCATCAAGATGTAAATCTCCACTTAGGCAAGAGTTGCTTTTTGCAAAAAGCTATTATTGCCAGATAGGACCTGGATGGTCAGGTCATGAATGAATGACCTCATCAGGTAAGAGCTAGTTATTTTCAGAATGCCAAAAAATAGTGGATGGGACCCAATTTGTTTTGCTTTGTTTCTAAGCCAACCTAGAGTAATTTGACAGGTGTATCCTAATCCTTACAATATTAACCCATATACTTTCTACTTTCTCTTTGATAAAAATTCTGGTGTTTTTGTCATCATCTGCTAATATACATATTTTAGGATATTGGTTTTAGGATCCTAAATATGTATATTTACAGGTGACTAGCAGAGTGCAAACATTACTATGACAATGGAGCAGAGGCCCGGGGCGGCACCGAGCCTTGGTAAGAGCCGACAGAAATGGCAGGTCACAGGCCGTCACTGAGGAGAACTGCAATGCGGCAACACTTATATGACACTTAATTTGGGTCATGTACTAGTGTGGATGCTTTATTTATTCATTTAACTTTCACCACATTTAACTTCACCAACTCTATATGCTGTAAGGATTTTTATTATCTCCCTTATAAACAATCTGAGGCACAGAGAAGTTACATAACTTGCCCAAGGTCACACAGAAATAACTGGTAGAACCAGGATTAAAATGAAGATAATCTGGCTCAGAAGTCCCTTACTTTTAACCTTGTACCATACTGCCTCTTAAGAGTAGAGATATAAAATGTAGACCGGAGCGGCCGGGCGCAGTGGCTCACACCTGTAATCCCAGCACTTTACTTTCGGAGGCCAAGGTGGACGAATCACAAAGTCACGAGATCGAGACCATCCTGGCTAACATGGTGAAACCCTGTCTCTACTAAAAATACAAAAAAATTAGCCGGCCGTGGTAGCGGGCACCTGTAGTCCCAGCTACTCAGGAGGCTGAGGCAGGAGAATGGCGTGAACCCAGGAGGCGGAGTTTGCAGTGAGCCAAGATCATGCCACCGCACTCCAGCCTGGGCGACGGAGCGAGACTCCGTCTCAGAAAAATGTAGACCAGGGTGAAAAATCTACTATTAGTTCGTTCTCCAGATTTCCTTAAATTATTCATTTTAAATCAGGTCTAGCTTGTGAACTGGCTTGAACCCCAAGGAAATTTTTAAATGATCAAGAAAACTTGGTCAGAAAAAGTGAGACAATGCAAACCAGGTAATTGTTTGAATAAAGTAGAGAGATGTTGTGTGCAAGCAGAAGAGAAGGCAACTTATTATAGCACCGAGGTCAGGGAGGCTGCTGACCTTCAGGAGCCCAGTCCAGGAAAGGAAAGATGGTATAGAAAGCCCATAGCAACCAGTAGTGGAGACCAAGAAGGCAGAGAGTTTGACTGATGTTTACTTGCAGACACTATGGGAATGGGTAGGAAGCCAGTCAAATGCTGCATTAGGTTCAGCATGAAATCTGGAAGAGGAAGAGTTGCATCAACAGGAGGGAAAGGCTATAGAATGTGGGTGAAACAATTAGCAAGATAGCTCATAGATAAATCTGAAAAGATTGTATATACTTAGGGCAGAAAGCACATATCACAGTGGAAAAGTACTCTGAATTTACTACTAATACATGAACAAGTCTATTTGTAAATGTTATCACCCCCAAGTTTTATAATACAGCTAAAGTTGCAAGGAGAGGTAAGTATATCTGTGACTATAGTCCTGGCTCACTTGACACTAGGACTTAACCATGCTGGATGTATAACAAGTAACACATCTTTCCTAAGGTGACAAAAATCAACATTTTGAAAAATTCAAGCTCAAGCTCTCCCTCTCCCTCTCCCGTCTCCTGCTTTCCACGGTCTTCCCCTCTCCCTCGTCTCCATCTCTCACTTTCCACGGTCCCCCTCTGTTGCCGAGGCTGGACTGTACTGCCGCGATCTCGGCTCACTGCAACCTCCCTGCCTGATTCTCCTGCCTCAGCCTGCCGAGTGCCTGGGATTGCAGGCGCGCGCTGTCACGCCTGACTGGTTTTTGTATTTTTTGGTGGAGAAGGGGTTTCGCCGTGTTGGCCCGGCTGGTCTCCAGCTCCTGACCTCGAGTGATCTGCCCACCTCGGCCTCCCGAGGCGCCGGGATTGCAGACGGAGTCTCGCTCACTCAGTGCTCAATGCTGCCCAGGCTGGAGTACAGTGGTGTGAACCTCCACCTCCCAGCTGCCTGCCTTGGCCTCCCAAAGTGCGGAGATTGCAGCCTCTGCCCGGCCACCACCCCGTCTAGGAAGTGAGGAGCGTCTCTGCCTGGCCGCCCATCGTCTGGGATGTGGGGAGCGCCTCTGCCCGGCCGCCCCATCTGGGAGGTGAGGAGCGCCTCCGCCCGGCCGCCGCCCCGTCTGGGAGGCAGGGGGCGCCCCCGCCCAGCAGCCGCCCCATCTGGAAGGCAGGGGCGCCTCTGCCTGGCCGCCCCCTCTGGGGGGTGGGGGGCCCCTCTGCCCAGCCACCACGTCTGGGAAGTGAGAAGCCCCTCTGCCCGGCCGCCACCCCGTCTGGGAGGTGTACCCAACAGCTCATTGAGAACGGGCCATGATGACGATGGCGGTTTTGTCGAATAGAAAAGGGGGAAATGTGGGGAAAAGAAAGAGAGATCAGATTGTTACTGTGTCTGTGTAGAAAGAAGTAAACATAGGAGACTCCATTTCGTTCTGTACTAAGAAAAATTCTTCTGCCTTGGGATGCTGTTAATATATAACCTTACCCCCAACCCCATGCTCTCTGAAACATGTGCTGTGTCAACTCAGGGTTAAATGGATTAAGGGCAGTGCAAGATGTGCTTTGTTAAACAGATGCTTGAAGGCAGCATGCTCGTTAAGAGTCATCACCAATACCTAATCTCAAGTACCCAGGGACACAAACACTGGGGAAGGCCACAGGGTCCTCTGCCTAGGAAAACCAGAGACCTTTGTTCACATGTTTATCTGCTGACCTTCTCTCCACTATTGTCCTATGACCCTGCCAAATCCCCCTCTCCGAGAAACACCCAAGAATGATCAATAAATACTAAAAAAAATTTAAAAAAAAAGAAAAATTCAAAAGCTGATCTTTTTTGCTATTTATTTAACCATGATGTTTATATCCCTATCTGTATTTATCTGTTATCAGTACAAACACTCTTGAGAACTGTTTTTATAGATGCTCTATTCAAGTTTTATAAAACAGATACAACACACCCACAGATACACATTCATAGACACAACTTACATGCTACTTTTTATACAAAAGTTTTAGAACTATTTTTTCTTGGTCATAAGTAAGTCTCAGATCTTTCAAAAGGTACTTTTTTTTTTTTTTAAGTCTGATAACCAGCATCCAAATTTAACCAACTAATTTCATCACAAAGTCAGGCTTTAATTTTATTTTAACTTTTCTAAAGATTTTGTTTTCTAAAAAATTTTCTAAAGAGTTTGTTTTCTAAAAAAAGCAAAAAGAAAAAGGAGACCTTATGTTCAATTTTCAATGGTTCTTTCAAATAATTGGTAGGATCTTTTCATCATGACAAATATTTCTTATTTTAAAAGTTTCTCAAATAATGAAAAAGGAAGAACAACAGTAAAACTACAAGAAGTACCTCAAAAGGACGATTATGAGAATTTATGGATGTGTTACGTACCATAAAAGCTTTTTGTAAGAAAGTTCTTATGCAAATCTGACAAATAAAACAATTTTATGCCTCTGGTGCCACTTGTCAAGTAATAAATGGGAATATAGAATAATAAAGGGCTTCATACACTGTCGCCACTCAGTCCCTATGGTTACTCAGAAGATGGCATAAAACATGGCTCAAGTACATCAGAAACCATAGTAAAAAGGTATCACTCACAAATTATAGGTTTGAACGTAGAAAACTATAAAATTTATGTAAACCACTACACAATATTAGGCTTAGCATCCTACATTTTTTAAAAGGATTGTAAAAGAAATGCACCAAGAGGAGACTCAAAAAACAAATTAGTAAAACAAAAAAAATCAGATTATTCAGCATCTTTATGATAAATAGTTGACCATATCTCAAAAGCTACAGAGAGAAGTGGTGATCATACACTGTATTGGAATTTGCAATTGTGATTTGTATCATGAAAAGTGGGAAATGATAAAGAAAAAAAACAAATATAAATATATTCACTATATAAAAACAGAACACCTTAAAGCAGAATTGTAGTTTCCCTGCTCTTCCAAAACTCATCTGAAAATTTACCGAAGTCAAATTTCACTGGCAAGGGGCATCTGCAGTCTAGCCTCCGGTGGCATATGGTCCACAGTGAAGATGACTGCACACTGAGGGGGATGCTATATGAGAACAGTGGTGGCTGTCACCTCAAAGCAGTTTATCATGGCTTGATCAGATATTTACAGCAACCATTAATCAAAAATACGTTCTAGGTCAGGTGCAGTGGCCAACCAACATCTGTAATCCCAACACTTTTGGAGGCCAAGGTGAGAGGATCACATGAGGCCAGGAAGAGACCAGCCTAGGCAACCTAGAGAGACCCTATCATCATGCCACTGCACTCCAGCCTGAGCGAAAGAGCAAGACCCTGTCTCAGAAAGAAAAAAAAAAAAGAAGAAATTAAAATAACTGTAAGGTACCATTTTACCTATAAAATTATATGAAAAACATGTAATGGTAATAATATTCAGTGTTGTTTAAGACTGTGATAAAACCGTTTTAGATTGAGCATTACACTGTATATTACACAATTCTTTAAAAAAACAATTTGGCTGTATTCAAAAATGGTTGTAAGATCTCCTACTTTGTGGTCTCACTTCTAGAAACACATTCAAGAAATAAATTCAGAAATCAAAAAATAAATATAAAAGCTAAAATGTTTTTGCATTGTATGTGCTTTTATTTTTATTATGAAAAAAGTTTCTGTCTGGGCATGCTGGCACATGCCTGTAGTCCCAGCTACTTGGGAAGCTGAAGTGGGAGGATCAGTTGAGCCCAGGAGGTTGAGGCTGCAGTGAGCTATGATTGTACCACTGCATCCCAGCCTGGGCTACAGAATGAGACCCTGTCTCAAAAAAATAAATAAATGAATAAAAATTTCAACATAAAAAGTAGAACGAATAGTATAGCAAATCCTCTTGTATCTGTTACCCAGCTTCAATTATCAGCACAATTAGGGCCAACTCTATTTTACCTAGGAGTCCATCCAACATCCCTGCCCAAACCTGGGTTATTTAATAGCTAAGTTTTCACAAGACTTTGTATGAGTGTTCTAAACTCTTTACATATACTATTTAATCTTCACAACAACCTTATAAACTGCTATAACTTTCCTCCTACCTTTTACCTGTAAGACTGGAGGCACACAGAGGTCCCATAATTTGCCGGGGAGTCCATGCAACAAGCAGCAGAGCCAGGATTCAAACCCAGGGAGCCCAACTCCAGCGGCGTGCCCTTAACTTTCCATGTGCTATCTACTACTGCCCTATGTTTAACTACATACACACATGCATAAATCACAACAAAAAATAAAAACCAGAGAGGAACACTTTAATACCACTGACAGCAATGAAAACTAATCTAAATGTCCAAGAACATGGAATTTGTTAGATACACTTTGGTACATTATTTATATACAAGAATATTTAGTCATTAAAAGTGTGGAAGATGATATACTAAGGAAAGGGTACGAACTTACAAAGATGCTATGATTATAATGGCATAAAATGTACAGATGCACGCAGACAGAAGAACTGAAAGAATTTAGAAAAACAAAAGACAAAATAGTAGCATTATGGCTGATTTTTTGGTATTATTTTAAGCTGGTATAGTACTGAATAAAGGGGGAAAAAACAAAATGTAACTGAGCACTTTTACTTATTCTTATGGAAAAAAGATTCAGCTAAGACAAACTACTAGCCTAGACTCTTCCTTGCTGAGCTTATACATATATGATAGCAACAAGTCTGATAAAAATAAACCAAGAATAAGTCAATGTGGATGCTTCAAAGCATGAGACACTTCAATTACACTCTGGCTCAATTTATTGACCATTTTGGTGTCAAGCAGATATCCTGCTTGACATTTATTTCCAAGGAAAAAGTTTACTTACACCCATTCATTCAGCACACTTGTGGGATACCTCTCCTGTGTCCTGAGGGCACAGGTGTAACCAAGATGACCAAGAGGGAAGGGCAAAGAGAGGAGCAGGGAACATTGGACACCAAACAAATACAAACCAGGTGCATGGGGGAGGCAGGTGCAGAGGGAGCCTACAGGAAGACGTGTTCAAAATGCATATAGTTTACATATATTCTAATCTGGGAATGAGGTGCCTTAAGTGAGGTCTCGGGATAAAGAGGCAAGTCTGGCAGAGCCTGCAGGCAAAGAATACATCATCTAATGAAAACATTTCAATATACTTAAATTTTCTTATATTTTTTATCCCAAAACATTCCTTATCCTTTAAAAGTAAGTAACGTAAGTGCAAACTGCCCAAAAGTTGCTTTCCTCTACTTTGCTAGTAAGTTCTTCAAGGGCAAAAATCAGTTCAAACATCAAAAACCAAATAGCAAAAACAATAAAAGACAAAACTCCCTAGAGTAGTAATGGGGAAACATTGCTTCCTTTTGTGTCTCTACCATGGATATTCCTCATCAGGAAAAGTGGGGGATAAGTAAGGATACCTGTCCTGCCTCCCTCTCAGATTTACTGCAAACAAAAAAATAATGTGACAAAATACTGAAGTGATTTGAAATGTATAAAGGACTTCACGAACATAAGGTAGTGATAATGCCTTTGAAAGTCACAATGCTCACCTATTTCACACTTTTAACTACAAGGAAACCCTGCTTGGAGTTCTATATGGGTAACAGGTAGTAGGCAAAGAAGGAAATGTACTTCCCAAGATATTTCCTTTACTTAATTACAACAACTTCAATTTACTGCAGGCTTGCTCTAAGCAAAAAATCATACAGGACACTTGGTCAACAACGGATTCAACCTCACGATGATGGGGTGTTCTCAATTTATAGATGAGGACAGAGAGGAGGAGACCAAGGCTCAAAGAAGTACAGCAGCCTGTTCAAAGCTACAGAACTGATAAGTGGAGAGCAAGGATTTCAATCCAGATCTCTAACTCCAAAATCTGTGCTCTTTCCCCCACAGGCTGTGCCTGGTATGGAGCTCCTGAGATCTTCTATGGAAATGCACACTGAGTGTGTAAAATGACAAAGTCTTTCACAATCAGATAAGAAAAGCCAAATTGTTATATATATATTCTTTAGACACAGTATGTCACAAGTCTAAAATATATTCACAGTAAGAAATGGTAGGATACTTTCACAATAGCAAAGTGTTCAAATGGATCAGCTTATATTCACTCTTAAGAAAAATGTGCTACTGAAGAATATGACCAAGCAATTCAGGAGGATTGCCAGTGAAACCTACTCAACCTCACTGAAAATCAAAATGATGCAATTACAATGATGACATTTTGCATTCATCAAGTTTGTTTATTTGTTTATTTATTTATTTAGAGACGGAGTTTTGCTCTTTGTTGCCCAGGCTGGAGTGCAATCTTGGCTCTGCTCGCCACAACCTCTGCCTCCCGGGTTCAAATGATTCTCCTGCCTCAGCCTCCCAAGTAGCTGGGATTATAGGCATGCACCACCACACATGGCTAATTCTGTATTTTTAGTAGAGACAGGGTTTCTGCATGTTAGTCAGGCTGGTCTCGAACTCCCAACCTCAGGTGCTCCGCCAGCCTTGGCCTCCAAAAGTGCTGGTCATCAAGTTCATTAAATCTAAAATCTGCCAATAGCAGTGAAGAGGAAGAGTGGAACACTCTCAAACTGCCAGTAGAGTATAAATTGGGAAATCTCTTTGGAAAACAAGTTGGCAAGGCTAAGTTGAGGTTGTGCATTCTCTATCATCCTGCAATTCCACTCCTAGGTATGGTCCCTTACATGTGTAAGAATGTTCATGGCAGCTTTACATTTAACAGAAATGGAAAACTACTGAAATGGCCAGCATGAGAAGACTGGACAAATTATGAATAATCAAACATTAGCATACCATATAGCAGTTAAGACTAAAGTTAAAATTAATTGGGGCTAAATATATCCATGTGAATAAATCGAGGGTAAGGTCGAATCACAAAAGAAAGTTGTAAAACGTTATGTAGAGAATGATACAATATAGGTCAGGTGCAGTGGTTCACACCTGTGATTCCAGCACTTTCGGAGGCCTAGACGGGTGGATCACTTGAGGTCAGGAGTTCAAGACCAGCCTGGCCAACATAGTGAAACCCCATCTGCACTAAAAATACAAAAATTAGCTGGGCACGGTGGCGCACACCTGTGGTCTGAGCTACTCAGGAGGCTGAGGCAGGAGAATCACTTGAGTCCAGGAGGTGGAGGTTGCAGCGAGCAGAGATTGAGCCACTGAACTCCAGCCCGGGTGACGGAGCATGACTCCATCTCAAAAAAAAAAAAAAAAAAAAAAAAGAGAGAGAGAATGATATAATCTACATAATATTTGATTAAAACTATATCACAGACAGAGGAAGAGGAAAAATAGGATGAAAGAAAAATAATTTTGTCAGCAATGATTTGTTTCTTAAGCTAAGTGGTGGCATGTGAGTATTTTACATATTTTATGTCTGAACTATTTAATAAAAGAACAAAGTACTGCATACATGGATATATTTCTCTCCTTTTTTTTGTCTTACCCTTCTCCCAACTAAATAGGTATCCAGGTAAGCTGCACTGCAAAATTATCTTAAAATGTTTTTTTTTATTATTATACTTTAAGTTCTAGGGTACATGTGTACAACGTGCAGGTTTGTTACATATATATACATGTGCCATGTTGGTGTGCTGCACCCATTATCTCGTCATTTACATTAGGTATTTCTCCTAATGCTATCCCTCCCCCCTACCCACACCCCATGACAGGCCCCAGGGTGTGATGTTCCCCTTCCTGTGTTCAAGTGTTCTCACTGTTCAATTCCCACCTATGAGTGAGAACATGTGGTGTTTGGTTTTTTGTCCTTGCGATAGTTTGCTGAGAATGATGGTTTCCAGCTTCATCCATGTCCCTACAAAGGACATGAACTCATCCTTTCTTATGGCTGCATAGTATTCCATGGTGTATATGTGCCACATTTTCTTAATCCAGTCTATGGTTGGACATTTAGGTTGGTTCCAAGTCTTTGCTATTGTGAATAGTGCCGCAATAAACGTACCTGTGCATGTGTCTGTATAGCAGCATGATTTATAATCCTTTGGGTAGATACCCAGTAATGGGATGGCTGGGTCAAATGGTATTTCTAGTTCTACATCCTTGAGGAATCACCACACTGTCTCCCACAATGGTTGAACTAGTTTACAGTCCCAGCAACTGTGTAAAAGTGTTCATATTTCTCCACACCTGTAATCCCAACACTTCGGGAGACCGAGGCAGGTGGATCACCTGAGGTCAGGAGTTTGAGACCAGCCTGGCCAACATGGTGAAACCTCATCTCTACTAAAAATACAAAAATTAGCCGGGCATGGTGGTGGGCACCTGTAATCCCAGCTACTCAGGAGGCTGAGGCAGAATCGCTTGAACCCAGGAGACAGAGGTTGCAGTGAGCAGAGCTCACACACCACTGCACTCCAGCCTGGGCGACAGAGCGAGACTCCATCTGAAAAAAAAAAAAAAACCACAGTAATAATAATAATGTATCAACATTGGTTCATTATTTGCAACAAATGCACCATATTCATGTAAAATGTTAATAATAGGGGAAAATGGGTGCAAATTATGTGAGAATTCTGAGAAATATATTTGTACTTTATAAATCTAAAATTTTTATAAAAATAAATTTTTCAAAAATCACCAATATGCAAGGAAACGAAATAACAGTAACAGAAAGAAAAAAATCAAGAGAAATAAACCCAGAAATGACATCTATGACACAATTAGTAAACAAATACATTATCCTGTCAGTACACTGTCTTCGAGAAGATAAAAACATGAGCATTGTAATATTTTAAAAATACTTAGAACTGTTAAAAATAAAAAATACAAAATTGAAAAATGGAATTAACAGCAGGTTATACTCGGCAGAAAACTGTATCAATCAATGAAAAGAAATAGCAATTTTAAAAACTGACAAAACAAAGGAGACAGAAAAAATGACTGAGAATAAATTAAGAGCACCAGTGACCTAAAGGACAATATCAAGCAGTCTAACATACGTGTAATTGTAGTCCAAGGAAGAGACGAGAAACAAGAAACAAAATGTTTGAAATAATGGTCCAAATTTCCTAAATTTGATGAAAAGCATAAACCCACAAATCCAACAACCCCAAGCAGAATAAACTTAAGAAAATTATGCCAAGTAGCATTCTAATGTAATTGCTAGGATTCAGTGGAAAATCTTAGAAGCAGCTATGGTGGGTGCAAGGGGGTCTACAGAAAAACAAAGAAAGACAGCAGACCTCTCTTCAGAAGCATGTAAGCTGACAGCAGAGTAGAGATGCCTTTAAAGTATTCAGATTGTTTTTTGCTGTTGAGATGTTCGAGCTCCTTGGATATTCTGGATATTAATCCCATCAGATGAATAGCTTGCAAATATTTTCTCCCATTCTGTAGGTTGCCCTTTCACTGTGTTTATTGTTTCCTTTGCTGTGCAGAAGCTTTTTTGTTTGATGTAATCTCATTTGTTTACTTTTGCTTTTGTTGCCTGTGCTTTTGTTTTTTAGAGGCAAGCTTCTGCTCTATCACCCAGGCTAGGGGGCAGTAGTTTGATAGTAGCTCACTGCAGCCTTGGATTGCTGGACTCAAGTGATCCACCTGCCTGAGCTCCCTGAGTAGCTGGGACTACAGGTACATACCATCACATCTGGCTAACTTTTATTTTTTGAAAAGACAGGGTCTCATTATGTTGCCTAGGCTGGTCTTAAACTCCTGAGCTCAAGTGATTTGTTGACTGCTTTTGAGGTCTTATTCATAAAATATTTTCCCAGACCAATGTCCTGAAGGGCTTCCCCCTATGTTTTCTTGTAGTAGTTTTATGGTTTCAGATCTTACATTTAGGTCTTTGATCCATTTTGAGTTTCAGATCTTACATTTAGGTCTTTGATCCATTTTGAGTTTATTTTCATATAGGGTGAGAGGTGAGGGTCTATTTTCATTCTTCTGCCTATGGATATCTAGTTTTCCCAGCATCACTTATTGAAGAGATTATCCTTTCCCCAGTGAGTATTCTTGCTGCCTTTGTCAAAAATCAGTTGGTAGCCAGGCATGGTGGCTCATGCCTGTAATCCCAGCACTTTGGGAGGCTAAGGCAGGAGAATCATTTGACCCCAGGGGTTTCAAGACCAGCCTACACAATATAGTGAGACTCTGTCTCCACAGAAAATTTTTAAAAGTTAGCTAGGCATGGTTGCACGTACCTGTAGTCCCTGCTACTCAGGAGGCTGAAGTACGAGGATTTCTTAAGCCCAGGAAGTAAAGGTTACAGTGAGCCATGATCATGCCATTGCACTCCAGCCTGGGAGATGGAGTGAGACACTGTCTCAAAAAATAAAAAATTTTTAAAAAGCAGTTGGCTGTAGACGAATACATTACTTTCTGTGTGGTCTATTCTGTTCCATTAGTCTATGTGTCTGTTTTTATGACAGTACCATGCTGTCTTCATTACTACAGCTTTGTAGTATATTTTGAAGTCTGACAGTGTATACCTCCAGCTTTCTTTTTGCTCAGGATTGCTTTGGCTATTGGGAGTCTTTTGTGGTTCAATATAAATTTTAAGATTTTTTTTATTTCTATGAAGAATGTCATTGGTATTTTGATAAAGACTGCATTGAGGCCAGGGCACAGTGGCTCACGCCTGTAATCCCAGCACTTTGGGAGGCCGAGGCGGGCAGATAACAAGGTCAGGAGATCGAGACCATCCTGGCTAACACAGTGAAACTGTATTTTTTGTCTCTACTAAAAATACAAAAAAAATTAGCTGGGCATGGTGGTGGGCGCCTGTAGTCCCAGCTACTCTGGAGGCTGAGGCAGAAGAATGACATGAACCCGGGAGGTGGAGCTTGCAGTGAGCCAAGATCGCACCACTGCACTCCAGCCTGGGCAACAGAGCGAGATTCCATCTCAAAAGATTGCATTGAATCTGTAGATTGCTTTGGATAGTATGGTCCTTTCAACAATATTGGCAGTGCCCACGCTCAGGGCCTGGCAGGGCTGACCCGCCTAGCGTGGCTCAACCACCCTTGGAGCACACTGCTGCTACCATGTCTTCCAGGGCCAGCAAGAGTGCCCTGCAGCGCCTGGTGGAGCAGCTCAAGCTGCAGGTCGGCGTGGAGAGGATCAAGGTCTCTCAGGCAGCTGCAGAGCTGCAACAGTACTGCATGCAGAATGCCTGAAAGGATGCCCTGCTGGTCAGTGTTCCAGCAGGAAGTAACCCCCCTCCTGGAGTCCAGATCCTGTGCTTTACCCTGAAGACTCTAGGAAAGAAGTCTGCAGAGGAATGCCTTCAAGTACAAAGTGATAAATGACTGCCTCCAAGCCTCAAGAGAAGGCTTTTCCCTAGTCAAGTGACATATAGTTATTTCAGACCTTTCCTGTAGCCTTGTCCTATAACCAAAATTCTACAGAAATTGGTGAGTTTCTACTCAACTGAGGAAACTGGGAGAAGAAATATAGCTCTAAATAATAACAGTATGGGTTTTTTGTTTGTTTGTTTTTGGTGAAGTGCTTTATATGTAAGACAAAAACCTTACCACCAGATACGTCAAAATGTACCTCTTTCATAAGTGAATTACTGATGTTTCTATACCTAGAATATCATGTATGTTTTATTTACTGGATGTTTACATTTAGGAAGGAAAACATTTTATTTAAAAAATTGAATATTTGTTATCTGTTGCTCCTGACAAATATTTTTATACCAAATTCTACAAAATGTGTTCTGCTCATGAATTTACAATTTCTAAATGAAGGCAAGAAAGTACAAATTGCTGGGGAAAAGAGTAGGTTTTACTAATTAACTGATGCCTTGATTTTTCCAAATGAGAAGGTTGTTTCATTTTTTAACACTTAACACGGGAGCTGTTTCTTAGCAAACTCATCCAGAAAGATTAATTTTATGTTGGGCATTAGGTTGCCCCATCGTATATATAGATTAGATGAAGCAGATTCAGTCTTTGTATTCTTAAGTTTTTCTGCTTGTAGTTGTGGTTGTACCTAAATACATTATTTCGTATCTTTTTTTTTTTTTTTTTTTTGAGACAGAGTCTCATTCTGTCACTCAGGCTGGAATGCAGTGGCATGATCTCAGTTCCTTGTAACCTCAGCCTCCCGGGTTCAAACAACTCCCCTGCCTCAGCCTCCCAAGTAACTGTGATATGTGATTACAGGTACATGCCACAACGCCCAGCTAATTTGTGTGTGTGTGTGGATTTTTAGTAGAGGCAGGGTTTTACCATGTTGGCCAGGCTGGTCTCGAACTCCTGACCTCAAGCAATCCACACACCTTGGCCTCCCAAAGTGCTGGGATTACAGGCATGAGCCACCATGCTCGGCCTATTTCATGTCTTAAGAAATGTTTAAATATGACTCGAAGAACATTGTAAATAGTTAAAAACAAAGTAATGTAAAATACTACAACCTAAAATAATTCTTAATGTCACAAGTGTTTTATTTATTTTGATGCCGTGCCTTTGATTTGATTTGGGGCTTTCAGAAGACAACTTTGTGTTTGCAATAATCTTTAAAGAGCTTGGAAATAAAATTTCTGCTTAATTCAAAAAAATTAATTCCTCTGATCCATGAGCATGGGATGTCTTTCCATTTGTTTGTATTCTCAAACTATGCAACTTAAATATAGGCAAATGATCTAAAGACATTTCTCAAAAGAAGACAAACAAATGGCCAAGAAATATATTTTTTAAATGCTCAACATTATTAATTATAAAGGGAAATGCAACTCTAAATCACAGTGAGGTATCACCTCACTGGAGGATGGCTATTATCAAAAGACAAAATAACAAATGCTAGTGAGGATGTAGAGAAAAGGGAACTCTTAAACACTCTTGGTGGGAATGTAAAGTAGTATAGCCGCTATGGAAAACAGTATGGAGGTTCCTCAAAAAACTACAAAAGGCTTGGCATGGTGGCTCATGCCTGTAATCCCAGCACCTTAGGAGGCCAAGGCTGGCCAATCACTTGAGACCAGGAGTTCGAGACCTAGCCTGGCCAACATGGCGAAACCCCGTAAGACATGCCTGCTTCCTCTTTCACCCTGATTGTAAGTTTCCTGAGGCCTCTTCAGCCATGCAGAACTATGAATCAATTAAGCCTCTTTTTAAATTACCCAGTCTCGGGCAGTTCTTCATAGCAATGTGAAAACAGACTAATACAGAAGCTAAAAAAAATGTTGATCACACAGAAGTAAAAAAGAGAACAGAGGATACTAGAGGCTGGGAAGGGTAAAGGGAGCAGAGAGATAGGAAGAGGTTTGCTAAAGGATACAAAATTACAGCTAGATAGGAGGAATTAGTTCTAGAGTTCTACAGTACTGTAGAATGACTATAGTTAACAGTAATACATAGTTTCAAATAGCTAGAAAGAGAATATTTAATGTTCACCCTCCCAAAATAATGTTCCAGACGATATGCTAATTACCCTGATGCGATCACTGTACACTTTATGCACCAAAACATCACTATATACCCCATAAATATGGGCCAAAAAAGTCAATTAAAAATGTAAAAGAAACCAATTTTTTAAATATTAAAAAAAAAGTACTCAGAAGGAAAGTGTGTCAAACTAGAACTCTTTACCTAGTGACATTATCTTTAAAAAATAAAGGCAAGGCCGGGCATGGTGGCTCACGCCTATAACCTCAGCACTTTGGGAGGCCAAGGCGAAGGGATTACCTGAGGCCAGGAGTTTGCGACCAGCATGGACAACATGGTAAAATCCCATCTCTACTAAAAGTACAAAAATCAGCCGGGTGTGGTGCCGGGTGCCTGTAGTCCCAGCTTCTCGGGAGGCTGAGGCATGAGAATTGCTTGAATTTGGGAGATGGAGGTTGCAGTGAGTGGAGATCATGCCAGCACACTCCAGCCTGGGCAACAGAGCAAGACTCCGTCTCAAAAAAATAAAAATAAAGGCAAAATAAAAGCTTAACATAAACCAAGCTGAGAGAGCTCATCGCTAATACACCTGAACCATACAAAATGTTAAAGGAAGTTCCTCAGGCAGAAGAGAAACCATACAAGATACAAATCTGGATCTACACAAAGTAACAAAGAGCCCTAACAAAGGCAAGTATGTGGGTAAATATAAAATATGTTGTCTGCCTACAACAAAAATAACAACGTTTTGTGAGGTTAATAGGATATGCAAAAGCAACATAGAGGATAACAACAGCACAGAGTCTGGGGCCTGGAAGAATACTGTCGTAAGGTTCTTGTGCATAACATCAAGCAGTGGGGTATTATTTGAAGGAAGATTGTGATATGTTAAAGATGTCTACAGTAAGCCAGGTGCGGTGGCTCACGCCTGTAATCCCAGCACTTTGGGAGGCCAAGGCAGGCAGATCACAAGGTCAGGAGATCGTGACCATCCTAGCTAACATGGTGAAACCCCGTCTCTACTAAAAATAGAAAACAGCCGGGTGTGCTGGCACACACCTGTAGTCCCGGCTAGCTATTCGGGAGGCTGAGGCAGGAGAATCGCTTGAACCCGGGAGGGTGATGGGGAGGTTGCAGTGAGCTGAGATCGCGCCATTGCACTCCTGCCTGGACAACAGAGCGAGATTGTCACTGTACATTAGAAGCCTATACTACCCCGAACTCGCCCTTATTATACAAATCTATAATGAGTTTTACGTTTTTCCTGGTTATTAAAATCATCTTCCTTCTGGCTTGTCGGATATTCTCCTAAATGGCCTGAGCGAGTCCCTTCATGGTCACCATCATTGCTAAATAAACACACTCACAGGTTACCACACAATGATCTAACTCTTATGACCACTAAACTATAATTTTAATTTTAAACTGCCTAACTATAAAATTACTTTCTACTATTAAAAACCTATACAATAAATATATTACATTTCATGTACCTGTGGTATATTTTCTGTAAAACCAAAGAATCTTTGGTGAAAAGTTAAAAATTCCAACTTGATCTGAAGTGGGAAAGCAATAAAGATAAAAATTATTCATGCTCATACATAATAAATCTGCCTGCTCCTTCCCATTTTCTATACCAATATAACTTGCATTATATTTGGAGGCTTAACATTAGAGCTTGGAGGCAAGGGATATCTCCAATAAATCATATTTTCTGTACAATCTTTAAGACAGCCTTTGATTTTTTGCTTTTCCAAAGTGAAGTGCTCAATAAACATCACTTTGAATCTCCTTTCAAATATATTCAATCCTCATCCTGGTTGTTTCCTCCCTTTACCCCCACCACCGCCCCCCCCCCAAAAAATGTATCATAGAAGTACTGGTTTAAGCTTCAAGAGTAGATCGTGTGTAAATCACCTGCATCCTTGCTAGGCAGAACGCCTTTCAGCCAAACTGTGATACAGCAAAATTCTTTATCTCAATCCCCATTTTCCTCCTGATTCTGACTTTAAAATGGAAGTGGGAATGTGGGCTTAAATGCCCCCCACCTCCCATCACATCCAGGATAATGAGTCATAGTTCCGTTGACTAGAAGTCTTTCAAAACATTAAGTTCTTTTCATTTTCCTTGAACATGATATATCCTCCCCAACCCTGCTTCCTTCCACTGCCTTAGAACATAGATTCTTTTGTACTTGGAAGGAACTTGATTTGTTTTGGAGCTGAATAATCACTTGAGATGAAGCATACAACTGAGATCTTATTAAAACTTCATTTAAAAATAAGATGGGGCCAGGCACAGTGGCTCACACCTGTAATCCCAGCACTTTGAGAGGGTGAGGCATGAGAATTGCTTGAGCCTCAGAGTTTGAGAACAGACTGAGAAACATGGCGAAAATCTGCTGCGACAAAAGTTAGCTGGGTGTGGTGGCATACACCTGTAGTCCCAGCTACTTGGGAGGTTGAGGTGGGAGGATCTCTTGAGCCTGGGAGGTCAAGGCTGCAGTGAGTCATGATCGCACCACTGCACTCCAGCCTGGGTGACACAGCAAGACCCTGTCTGAAAAGATCACAATAATAAGATGCATCAACTTTGATGTTACAACTATGCAGCCATAAAAAGGAACAAGATCATATCCTTTGCAGGGACATAGATGGAGCTGGAAGCCATTATCCTCAGCAAACTAATGGAGGAACAGAAAACCAAACACTACATGTTCTTACTTATGAGCTGAATGATGAGAACACATGGTCACATGGGGGGGACCAACACACACTGGGGTCTGTCGGGGAGGTGGGTGGGGAGGGAGAGCATCAGGAAGAATAGCTAATGGATGCTAGACTTAATGCCTAGGTGATGGGTTGATCTGTGCAGCAAACCACCATGACACCTATGTAACATACCTACACATCCTGCACATGTACCCCTGAACTTAAAAGTTGAAGATTAAAAAAAAAAAAAACTTTGAGCATTATGAGTGTTTCACAGATATTCTTGGTGGAGCAAAGCAATCAACACAAAATGCTAAAGCGATTGCTGCTAATGTTATGAGTGTCGGCAGTTGTTCTTTTAAAACTGTCTTTTAGTTACGTAAATCCTCCTTTAATTCATTTTCCTTCCCCTTTTTTTAATTTATTTTTTTGAGACAGTCTTACTCTGTTGCCCAGGCTGGATTGCAGTGGCACAATCTTGGCTCGCTGCAACCTCTGCCTCCTATGCTCAAGTGATTCTCCCACCTCAGCCTCCCAAGTAGCTGAAGACTACAGGCGTGCACCACTGGGCCCGGCTAATTTTTATATTTTTAGTAGAGGCAGGGTTTCACTATGTTGGCCAGGCTGGTCTCGAACTCCTGACCTCAAGTGACCTGCCCACCTTGGCCTCCCAAAGTGCCGGGATTACAGGCGTGAGCCACTGCACCTGACCCCTTTCTCTATTTTTTTAAAATGAAAAATCAATTTTGCCCAGTACAGGAAAAAAAAAATCCATGAACTATTGAAATTTTTTCTGAGATTTCAAGTAGGTCTTCATATTTATTTCATTTAAAAATTATTGATCCTTTAAGAATAATGTTCTAATTTTCACTACAATAACAAAACCATCATGACAATACTAATATTTAACTGAGCACTGATGATGGGTCAGATACTGTGCCAAGTGTTTGGGATCTACAATCTGTTAGATACAAAAGAAGTTCCTCTTCAAAGGTTTAGCTTGTTCAGCATCCTTGCTCTTCGTTCCCTACTTCCAAGGCCAAACTAACTTCCTTATCCTTTATGCCTCCCTGTCTCAGTTTCAGTAAACAACTTTCCCACTGGTCCTTATCTACAGAGCCCACATCTGCTACCCGCTCTGTAAATTACCCCTCCTGTCGCAATGGCTCTTCCCACCAAAACTGCCCCTTCCCCCATTGTAACCACATTCCTGCACCATTCAAGTTAGCCAATCAGGTTCTGCTTAGATTGTACGGTCCAACTCCACAGTGGAGATAGGACACAGCAGCAGGGACACACTGTGTTAGGGATAAAAACCCCTTCCCTCCTTCGTTCGGTGTGCTCTCATGGTGACCAAACTTGCGAGCAGCACCCTTCTGCAGAAGTAAATTTTGCCTTGCTGAGAAATCCTTTAAGTGCTCATTTTCTTTGCGACTCTGAGCTTTACTTCCAAAAGATTTCATCCAAGACTCACAGCAGCCCATGGGGAAGGCAGAGAATCATGGCCCATGTTACAGGCACAGACACAAAGGCCTCCCAGAAGCAGCAGCGTGCCCAGCTAGGAGGGGCAGGGCCAGGACCTGAACCCAACTCTGTCTGACTTCAGCATCTGAACCACAAAGCTATGCTGAATTTGGAGTTGTAGCTCTCTCTGAAATGAAAAAAATACAACTTAGCAACCAAGAGGCATTCTGGCCCTCTGGCTTTCTGGGACCTGCAGCTCAGAGGAAATCTCAGGGCTTTCACAAGCTGCTCACTTTGTAGGGCCCAGAATCCAGGTTGTTACCATAAAAATGTGGGGTTCTTCCCCCGCATAGGAACTCATTCTCCAAACAAGTTCACCTATAGGATCCTCGTGCCTAAGACATAAAAACAGAGCTGATCTGGTGAGAAGGTGAGGTCTGAAGCATCACCCACACCACCTCCCTGATCAGTCACCCTGAGGTGACTCCATTCTATTTAGGAGGTCTGGAAAGCAAAGTCTGGAAATCCCTAGACAGTCATTCAGACTAGACTAGTGACATGGATCTAGGGGGGCCTCTTGAAGGTTCCAACTTCAGCCATAGAGCCTGATGCAAACCACCAAACTGCACAAACAGAGGGGCCTTCACAAGCCCTCTCCCAAGACAAGTGAGCCCTGGCAGGGGGGCCAAGTGGTTTTCAAAGCAGGGTTCCTGGCTTATCACTGGGAACTGGCTAGAAATGGAAATTATCAGTTCTGACACCAGTCCTACTGACCCAAACTCTGAGGCTGGGGCCAAGCATTTCACGTGTTAACAGACTTTCAGGTCATTCCAATGCACATGCAAGTCTAAAAACCACTACGAAGAAACAGAGGCTGACCAGTATCCTGAAGTCAGCAGCTGTGAGGAAGAGAACACAGCATTTTCTACACTGAGCTTTCTCCCTATGGGGATAAAGCAAATTAACTCCCCCAGAGCTGCCACCCCAGCCTTTAATGAGTCCACCATATCAGGCACGTAAGAACAGTGTGTGTGTGTGTGTGTGTGTGTGTGTGTGTGTGTGTGTGTGTGTGTGTGTGTGTGTGTATGTATTTCCTGCTGGGCACCACAGCAGCAAAGGTCTTAAGGGAGACAGAGGGAGACAAACAACTCACAGAACAACAACAAGGTACCATTCCACAGGAGAGAGGCAAGCAGAGGTATACAAACCAGGAGGGTGGGCCACTCTGTCTCAGACATCGAGGAACATTTTCATCCAGATGACACCTGAGCTGCTGGAAAATGCAAATAGGAATTTTCCAGGCACAGAGAAGTGCTTTGGTGTCCAGATCCCCCAGCCCCAGCACCTGATACACACAAGGGTGATCCTGGTTTGGGTCAGAGCTCAGTAAAAAACATCTTCTCTGAACTTTTTTTTAAACAGCTTTATTCAGATGAAATCTGCACACTATAAATTCACTGACTTAAATCATACAGCTCAGTGGTTTTCAGGGCAAGAAACCGGCAGGATTGGCATCTAAACCCTGACCTGACATTTCGGGCAAACACCCAAACACCAAAGTTTTACAATTTTAAGCAGAGAATTTGGTTCTTATTGATACCTAGTTAAAATAAAAGTTTTCACCTGTCAAGAAAGATACTCAAAAAATAGTGTACATAATTATAAACACACCACGCTTTTTTTTTTAAAGCAAATCACATGAAATAAAATTTGTGAAAATTCCTGGGTTTGTAGGACACAAACACCAAATATTACAACAAATAGTAAGTACAACTTGGGATGAGGCTGCCTGATTTATGCACACCTGAACTTATCTGACACATCTTGTCCCCACAAAGTCTGACAGTTCCAGATAAAGCAGCATGCAAAATTGCCACCAATATAGCAAAGTGGCCTGAAGAAACAAATGTTCCAGTGAAAAACGCCCACATGTATCCCATCAATAATTCAATATTTACAGTACAAGAATAATTTGGTTACACAATTACAGGGCTCAACTGAACACAGTGGCAGTTTTTAAATGCATTTGAATTGCTTTTGTGTGTGTCTCAATTTCAGATGAATTTTTTTCCACAATTATTGATCATTCTAAAATTTAAACTCAACGGAAGGTATCTTAGTGGAAACCAAAAAAGGAAATTGAAAGAATGAAGATTGGCAGGAGCCTCAAAATGTCAAGAACACTCCTATAAAACAATGGAGACTAAAAACTCTGATGGTTGAAATGGTATGCAGAACTGTTTCATTAAGAATCATGATCACCAACAAAATGTTGGTAATAACAGAAGAGAAGTAAGACTGAGAATCAGAATACTCCCAACAGAAAACAAAACCTTCCAAACAGAAAACAATTTCTACAGTCAGCACAGCCTTGTTTCAATGAATGTGTTGACTTCCGTCCCTAAGTACCTTGAACTTTCATCCTTGCCTGTCACAATGAGCAACTCACAGCAACACTGTGAAGTTGCAAATTTTTCTGCCTCCAAAATCATGATTCCTATTTACAGAGAATCAAGCAGAACATAAAGGATTTGTTTAAATGTTTCCTAAACAGGTATTATAAAAAATATGAGCAAATAGTTATAAGATCTTGGCCAGTCTATTCCAAAATATATACATATTGGTTGTTTTGTTCTTTTTTTTTTTTTTATACTTTAAGTTTTAGGGTACATGTGCACATTGTGCAGGTTACATATGTATACATGTGCCATGCTGGTGCGCTGCACCCACTAACTCGTCATCTAGCATTAGGTATATCTCCCATTGCTATCCCTCCCCCCTCCCCCCACCCCACCACAGTCCCCAGAGTGTGATATTCCCCTTCCTGTGTCCATGTGATCTCATTGTTCAATTCCCACCTATGAGTGAGAATATGCGGTGTTTGGTTTTTTGTTCTTGCGATAGTTTACTGAGAATGATGATTTCCAATTTCATCCATGTCCCTACAAAGGACGCGAACTCATCATTTTTTATGGCTGCATAGTATTCCATGGTGTATATGTGCCACATTTTCTTAATCCAGTCTATCATTGTTGGACATTTGGGTTGGTTCCAAGTCTTTGCAATTGTGAATAATGCCGCAATAAACATACGTGTGCATGTGTCTTTATAGCAGCATGATTTATAGTCATTTGGGTATATACCCAGTAATGGGATGGCTGGGTCAAATGGTATTTCTAGTTCTAAATCCCTGAGGAATCGCCACACTGACTTCCATAATGGTTGAACTAGTTTACAGTCCCACCAACAGTGTAAAAGTGTTCCTATTTCTCCACATCCTCTCCAGCACCTGTTGTCTCTAACTGGTGTGAGATGGTATCTCATTGTGGTTTTGATTTGCATTTCTCTGATGGCCAGTGATGATGAGCATTTTTTCATGTGTTTTTTGGCTGCATAAATGTCTTCTTCTGAGAAGTGTCTGTTCATGTCCTTCGCCCACTTTTTGATGGGGTTGTTTGTTTTTTTCTTGTAAATTAGTTTGAGTTCATTGTAGATTCTGGATATTAGCCCTTTGTCAGATGAGTAGGTTGCGAAAATTTTCTCCCATTTTGTAGGTTGCCTGTTCACTCTGATGGTAGTTTCTTTTGCTGTGCAGAAGCTCTTTAGTTTAATTAGATCCCATTTGTCAATTTTGGCTTTTGCTGCCATTGCTTTTGGTGTTTTGGACATGAAGTCCTTGCCCATGCCTATGTCCTGAATGGTAATGCCTAGGTTTTCTTCTAGGGTTTTTATGGTTTTAGGTCTAACGTTTAAGTCTTTAATCCATCTTGAATTTATTTTTGTATAAGGTGTAAGGAAGGGATCCAGTTTCAGCTTTCTACATATGGCTAGCCAGTTTTCCCAGCACCATTTATTAAATAGGGAATCCTTTCCCCATTGCTTGTTTTTCTCACGTTTGTCAAAGATCAGATAGTTGTAGATATGCGGCGTTATTTCTGAGGGCTCTGTTCTGTTCCATTGATCTATATCTCTCTTTTGGTACCAGTACCATGCTGTTTTGGTTACTGTAGCCTTGTAGTATAGTTTGAAGTCAGGTAGTGTGATGCCTCCAGCTTTGTTCTTTTGGCTTAGGATTGACTTGGCGATGCAGGCTCTTTTTTGGTTCCATATGAACTTTAAAGTAGTTTTTTTCCAATTCTGTGAAGAAAGTCATTGGTAGCTTGATGGGGATGGCATTGAATCTGTAAATTACCTTGGGCAGTATGGCCATTTTCACGATATTGATTCTTCTTACCCATGAGCGTGGAATGTTCTTCCATTTGTTTGTATCCTCTTTTATTTCCTTGAGCAGTGGTTTGTAGTTCTCCTTGAAGAGGTCCTTCACATCCCTTGTAAGTTGGATTCCTAGGTATTTTATTCTCTTTGAAGCAATTGGGAATGGGAGTTCACTCATGATTTGGCTCTCTGTTTTTGTTGGTGTATAAGAATACTTGTGATTTTTGTACATTGATTTTGTATCCTGAGACTTTGCTGAAGTTGTTTATCAGCTTAAGGAGATTTTGGGCTGAGACAATGGGGTTTTCTAGATATACAATCATGTTGTCTGCAAACAGGGACAATTTGACTTCCTCTTTTCCTAATTGAATACCCTTTATTTCCTTCTCCTGCCTAATTGCCCTGGCCAGAACTTACAACACTATGTTGAATAGGAGTGGTGAGAGAGGGCATCCCTGTGTTGTGCCAGTTTTCAAAGGGAATGCTTCCAGTTTTTGCCCATTCAGTATGATATTGGCTGTGGGTTTGCCATAGATAGCTCTTATTATTTTGAAATACATCCCATCAATACCTAATTTATTGAGAGTTTTTAGCATGAAGGGTTGTTGAATTTTGTCAAAGGCTTTTTCTGTATCTATTGAGATAATCATGTGGTTTTTGTCTTTGGCTCTGTTTATATGCTGGATTACATTTATTGATTTGCGTATATTGAACCAGCCTTGCATCCCAGGGATGAAGCCCACTTGATCATGGTGGATAAGCTTTTTGATGTGCTGCTGGATTCGTTTTGCCAGTATTTTATTGAGGATTTTTGCATCAATGTTCATCAAGGATATTGGTCTAAAATTCTCTTTTTTGGTTGTGTCTCTGCCTGGCTTTGGTATCAGAATGATGCTGGCCTCATAAAATGAGTTAGGGAGGATTCCCTCTTTTTCTATTGATTGGAATAGTTTCAGAAGGAATGGTACCAGTTCAGTTCCTCCTTGTACCTCTGGTAGAATTCAGCTGTGAATCCATCTGGTCCTGGACTCTTTTTGGTTGGAAAACTATTGATTATTGCCACAATTTCAGATCCTGTTATTGGTCTATTCAGAGATTCAACTTCTTCCTGGTTTAGTCTTGGGAGAGTGTATGTGTTGAGGAATTTATCCATTTCTTCTAGATTTTCTAATTTATTTGCGTAGAGGTGTTTGTAGTATTCTCTGATGGTAGTTTGTATTTCTGTGGGATCGGTGGTGATATCCCCTTTATTATTTTTTATTGTGTCTATTTGATTCTTCTCTTTTTCTTTATTAGTCTTGCTAGTGGTCTATCAATTTTGTTGATCCTTTCAAAAAAACCAGCTCCTGGATTCATTGATTTTTTTGAAGGGGTTTTTGTGTCTCTATTTCCTTCAGTTCTGCTCTGATTTTAGTTATTTCTTGCCTTCTGCTAGCTTTTGAATGTGTTTGCTCTTGCTTTTCTAGTTCTTTTAATTGTGATGTTAGGGTGTCAATTTTGGATCTTTCCTGCTTTCTCTTGTGGGCATTTAGTGCTATAAATTTCCCTCTACACACTGCTTTGAATGCATCCCAGAGATTCTGGTATGTTGTGTCTTTGTTCTCGTTGGTTTCAAAGAACATCTTTATTTCTGCCTTCATTTCGTTATGTACCCAGTAGTCATTCAGGAGCAGGTTGTTCAGTTTCCAGGTAGTTGAGTGGCTTTGAGTGAGATTCTTAATCCTGAGTTCTAGTTTGATTGCACTGTGGTCTGAGAGATAGTTTGTTATAATTTCTGTTCTTTTACATTTGCTGAGGAGAGCTTTACTTCCAAGTATGTGGTCAATTTTGGAATAGGTGTGGTGTGCTGCTGAAAAAAATGTATATTCTGTTGATTTGGGGTGGAGAGTTCTGTAGATGTCTATTAGGTCCACTTGGTGCAGAGCTGAGTTCAATTCCTGGGTATCCTTGTTGACTTTCTGTCTCGTTGATCTGTCTAATGTTGACAGTGGGGTGTTAAAGTCTCCCATTATTAATGTGTGGGTGTCTAAGTCTCTTTGTAGGTCACTCAGGACTTGCTTTATGAATCTGGGTGCTCTTGTATTGGGTGCATATATATTTAGGATAGTTAGCTCTTCTTGTTGAATTGATCCCTTTACCATTATGTAATGGCCTTCTTTGTCTCTTTTGATCTTTGTTGGTTTGAAGTCTGTTTTATCAGAGACTAGGATTGCAACCCCTGCCTTTTTTTGTTTTCCATTTGCTTGGTAGATCTTCCTCCATCCTTTTATTTTGAGCCTATGTGTGTCTCTGCACATGAGATGGGTTTCCTGAATACAGCACACTGATGGGTCTTGACTCTTTATCCAATTTGCCAGTCTGTGTCTTTTAATTGGAGAATTTAGTCCATTTACATTTAAAGTTAATATTGTTATGTGTGAATTTGATCCTGTCATTATGATGTTAGCTGGTTATTTTGCTTGTTAGTTGATGCAGTTTCTTCCTAGTCTTGATGGTCTTTACATTTTGGCATGATTTTGCAGCAGCTGGTACCGGTTGTTCCTTTCCATGTTTAGCGCTTCCTTCAGGAGCTCTTTTAGGGCAGGCCTGGTGGTGACAAAATCTCTCAGCATTTGCTTGTCTGTAAAGTATTTTATTTCTCCTTCACTTATGAAGCTTAGTTTGGCTGGATATGAAATTCTGGGTTGAAAATTCTTTTCTTTAAGAATGTTGAATATTGGCCCCCACTCTCTTCTGGCTTGTAGGGTTTCTGCCCAGAGATCCGCTGTTAGTCTGATGGGCTTCCCTTTGAGGGTAACCCGACCTTTCTCTCTGGCTGCCCTTAACATTTTTTCCTTCAACTTTGGTGAATCTGACAATTATGAGGAAATATGTGTCTTGGAGTTGCTCTTCTCGAGGAGTATCTTTGTGGCGTTCTCTGTATTTCCTGAATCTGAACGTTGGCCTGCCTTGCTAGATTTGGGAAGTTCTCCTGGATAATATCCTGCAGAGTGTTTTCCAACTTGGTTCCATTCTCCCCATCACTTTCAGGTACACCAATCAGACGTAGATTTGGTCTTTTCACATAGTCCCATATTTCTTGGAGGCTTTGCTCATTTATTTTTATTCTTTTTTCTCTAAACTTCCCTTCTCACTTCATTTCATTCATTTCATCTTCCATTGCTGATACCCTTTCTTCCAGTTGATCACATCAGCTCCTGAGGCTTCTGCATTCTTCACATAGTTCTCGAGCCTTGGTTTTCAGCTCCATCAGCTCCTTTAAGCACTTCTCTGTATTGGTTATTCTAGTTATACATTCTTCTAAATTTTTTTCAAAGTTTTCAACTTCTTTGCCTTTGGTTTGAATGTCCTCCCGTAGCTCAGAGTAATTTGATCGTCTGAAGCCTTCTTCTCTCAGCTCGTCAAAGTCATTCTCCATCCAGCTTTGTTCCGTTGCTGGTGAGGAACTGCGTTCCTTTGGAGGAGGAGAGGTGCTCTGCGTTTTAGAGTTTCCAGTTTTTCTGTTCTGTTTTTTTCCCATCTTTGTGGTTTTATCTACTTTTGGTCTTTGATGATGGTGATGTACAGATGGGTTTTCGATGTGGATGTCCTTTCTGTTTGTTAGTTTTCCTTCTAACAGACAGGACCCTCAGCTGCAGGTCTGTTGGAATACCCTGCCGTGTGAGGTGTCAGTGTGCCCCTGCTGCGGGGTGCCTCCCAGTTAGGCTGCTCGGGGGTCAGGGGTCAGTGGTCAGGGACCCACTTGAGGAGGCAGTCTGCCGGTTCTCAGATCTCCAGCTGCGTGCTGGGAGAACCACTGCTCTCTTCAAAGCTGTCAGACAGGGACACTTAAGCCTGCAGAGGTTACTGCTGTCTTTTTGTTTGTCTGTGCCCTGCCCCCAGAGGTGGAGCCTACAGAGGCAGGCAGGCCTCCTTGAGTTGTGGTGGGCTCCACCCAGTTCGAGCCTCCTGGCTGCTTTGTTTACCTAAGCAAGCCTGGGCAATAGCAGGCACCCCTCCCCCAGCCTCGCTGCCGCCTTGCAGTTTGATCTCAGACTGCTGTGCTAGCAGTCAGCGAGATTCCGTGGGCGTAGGACCCTCCCAGCCAGGTGTGGGATATAATCTCGTGGTTCGCCGTTTTTTAAGCCGGTCTGAAAAGCACAATATTCGGGTGGGAGTGACCCGATTTTCCAGGTGCGTCTGTCACCCCTTTCTTTGACTCGGAAAGGGAACTCCCTGACCCCTTGCGCTTCCCAAGTGAGGCAATGCCTCGCCCTGCTTCGGCTTGCGCACGGTGCGCGCACCCACTGGCCTGCGCCCACTGTCTGGCACTCCCTAGTGAGACAAACCCGGTACCTCAGATGGAAATGCAGAAATCACCCGTCTTCTGCGTCGCTCACACTGGGAGCTGTAGACCGGAGCTGTTCCTATTCGGCCATCTTGGCTCCTCCCCCCAGTTGTTTTGTTCTTATTAAATTTTTTTTAACAAGACACACATGACTTACACCAGGCAAACTGTCAGACTAGATTAAATGTATTGAGCTCTTAATCATAAGACACATACAACACAATGAGGCTTGTTTACTTGGATTACACATAAATTAATTATAATGCACTTTACCGTTGTCTTGCAGGACAAAGAAGGAACATACAGTATTATGCTGAAGTACTAAGAAGAACAGTGGAAGGTGTGGAGACAAGCTCGGTTGGGGAGACCCTAACCTAGCAGCACTAGAGGAATTAAAGACACACACACAGAAATACAGAGGTGTGAAGTGGGAAATCAGGGGTCTCGCAGCCTTCAGAACTGACAGCCCCCAACAGAGATTTACCCACGTATTTACTGACAGCAAACCAGTCATTAGCATTGTTTCTATAGATGTTAAATTAACTGAAAGTATCCCTTATGGGAAAGGAAGGGATGGGCCGAATTAAAGGAATAGGTTAGGCTAGTTAACTGCAGCAGGAGCATGTCCTTAAGGCACAGATCGCTCATGCTATTGTTTGTAGCTTAAGAATGCCTTTAAGCGGTTTTCCACCCTGGGCAGGCCAGGTGTTCCTTGCCCTCATTCCTGTAAACCCACAACCTTCCAGCTTGGGCGTTAGGGCCATTATGAACATGTTACAGTGCTGCAGAGATTGTTTATGGCCAGTTTTGGGGCTGGTTTATCGCCAGATTTTGGGGGGCCTGCTCCCAACAGGAAGGTATTGAATTGTTAAGTGAAAAAGGTTTATTCATCAGAGATCACAATGAAAAAGTTGTGTTCTTCAAGTAACAGAAATTTCTAGGAATCACCCAATTGATTTCTAGATTTGATCAATTTTTACATGAGTGCCTGGAAAACTATAAAGGTAGAAGGACAAATATGACTTTTATTTATCCAAAATAGCTCATGGAGAATTAATCAAAATAAGGGAAAATATGTACAAAATAAAGTGGGAACTCAAATAAGTAAATAAACCAAACATCAAATATTGCTACAAATTCTCCAGTAGCAAATTGCTTTATGTATGCCATTATCGTGTGCTACTCTAAAACAGAAAAATCATGTTCTACAGCAAACCAACTTTTAACTGTCAAAATTCATCTGAAATTAAAGTATACACAAGAATAATTCAAACGCAGTTTTGTCTTTTCAACAGAATGAAATAAGTTCTGAGCAACTTTAACCTTATGTTGCATTTGCAATCAGTCACGTAAAAACGTGACTTTTAGAAGACGTGAAGATTCCACAATGCTTTCACATTAGTAAGTACTTAAAATATATTCTGGACGCAGTTCGCTTTATCACTTAGTTATCCCTGGGAAAGCTGCCTTCCCAGTCCCTAAAGTTGCTGACTACTTCAGATTTTCCAAGTTACACGTTCTTCTTGAATTTATCTTTTACATTACATGTAGTATTTTAATCACCCATGCCAACTTAGTATTCAAGGGTCTAAGGATAGTGAGGTGGTTTGCCCATTATAAAGCATTGAGATCTTGTAGCACAAAGTACACAACATCTTAAAGACTCTAAAATATATTTTCTGACTCAGAAGGAACACCTGAGCATGAATAGAGAGTTCATTCAAAATTTAATAAACATTGCACAAACGGTCACATATTGTATAATTCTATGTATACAAAATGTCCAGAATAGGCAAATCAGACAAAGTAGATTAGTGGTTGCAAAGGGCTGGAAGAAGAGGAAAAGGGAGAATGGTTTCTAATGGTTATGAGATTTCTCCTGGGGGTGATGAAAATGTTGAAGATAGATAATGGTGATTATTGTACAACTTTGTGAATATAATAAAAAGCCACCGAATCATGCATATTTTTAAAGGGTGAGTTTTGTGGTATATTAATTATATGTCAATATTTTAAAAGTTACCAAAGGTCAAATATGCCATTTTAACTGCAATTTAGAAAAACAATTTTAGGCTAGTTTAGAAAAAAAAATGAAAAATGTCTGATTCCTGATTTAGACATATGAAGAGTTTAACAGAAAATACAGAAAATTACTGGACTATGAAACAATGGTGATTAAAGATGAACAATGAAATTAATAGAAATTATTCTGACATCAAGCAGCAAATTATAGTCTGGGCACAGTGGCTCACGCCTGTAATCCTAGCACTTTGGGAAGCCGCAGTGGGCAGATCACGAGGTCAGAAGTTCGAGACCAGCCTGGCCAATATGGTGAAACCCCATCTCTATTAAAAATACAAAAATTAGCCCGGTGTGGTGGCACACGCTTGTAATCCCAGCTACTCAGGAGGCTGAGGCAGGAGAATTGCTGGAACCCGGGAGGCAGATGTTGCAGTGAGCTGAGATCATGCCATTGCACTCTAGCCTGGGTGACAGAACAAGACTCCATTTCAAAAAAAAAAAAAAAAAAGCAAATTATAAAAAAATTTCAGATCTAATGAAAAGCAGTAATTAAAGACACAAACTTCAAATAGAAGTAGCAAATAAGCTTGTAGATTTGATAATTCAGTTAGTAAAATGAAAAATATAACAGGTGTATCAAGCAGTCGATTAATAAAAATATTTTTCTGAATTTAAGTTGGTAATGTTTTATATTTGTCAGCTTTTAAATATTTGTAATTTATTTTCTTGTTTTTAGTTAATGTTAGCTTTTCTACCTAATTTCGTTTTCTTAATTTTGTATTCTTTTCGTTAAAAAATGTCCTCCTCCTCAAATCGTTTAAGATTTGCTGAGAGTTCTCAGCTTGTCCAGATTGGGGAAAAAACTCTAAAATTGTTATAAAATGTTAAGCCTATGAAGTCAGGGAGAATTGACATCTTTATAAGAATAAATTGTTCTTTTAAATTCTGGAATATACGTGCAGGACGTGCAGGTTTGTTACGTAGGTAAACATGTCCCATGTGGTTTGCTGCACCTATCAATCCATCGAGAATAAATTTTTCTAAGAACAAATTGTGACTTTTTGTTCAAGTTTCCTTTGTGGCTCTCGGCAGACTCTCAATGTCTTCACAATGCTCTTGCACACTGCCCATGAAATTTACTCCTAGCATTTTATCTAGGAAGTTCCCTTCCTATATTAACTCTGATTACTCTTTATATACAGAGGCTATTTCTTATTTAGTTTTCCTTCATCATTATCATGACATTTCACATCAGAAGGGTGTGTGGACCCCATCCCTAATAAAATGTAAAAGGCACATGCTGGGAACCAGCCCCCATCTGAAGGCCAGAACATTACTAATACCAGTGGCCCCACTTGTGTGCTGGCCCCATCCTATTGCCCTGAATAACCCCCAAAGACACCACCACCAGTTTTGCATACATTATCCCTATGATTTATAAAAGTGAAATAACATTGTAATATGAATTCTTCCGTATTGTTTGGCTTTGCTGCTACAATGCTAATGCCACTATAACAATGGTATCAAATGGTATGATTTTGAGACTTGTTTTATTAAATGTCATGTTACTGGGATATATCAAGTTGTGAGTAGCCGTGGTTCACACTTTTCCATTGCTGTGTTATATTTCATCATGTGAATATACCATAATGTACTCAGGCTCCTCACAATGGGCATGTGGTCATTTCTAGGTTTTTGCTACTGCAGACCATACAGCTATGAACATTCTTGGTTTCTTGGTATCCACATGAAGGTTTCTTTGTGGCCTAGACATAGCAGTGAAATCTATTAGTCAATAGCTACACAAATATTCAAACTTATGTGATAATGTCAAATTGTTTCTCGAAGTGATTATACTAATTTCCACTTTCCCCAGAAGTATGAGTTTCCACTGACCCATAATCCATTATCAGACTTAATTATTGCCAGTCCTGTAGATGCAAAATCGTATCTTACGATGGTCTTATTTCCCTGTTTTCCAAACAGCTTTAATGCCTTCCCGTGATTTTATTTGCCAAATTGCTTCTTCTGCAAAATGTCTATTGTCCATATGTTGCTTGTTTTTTCACTGGATGTATTTTAATTGACTTGTAGAAATTCTTTATGTAGTCTGAAATCTAATCCTGTTAGATATGTTGCAAATATAGAACTTCTGCAGGATTGTGTCTTATTATTTCACTTTCTTTACAGTTTACCTTTGTGAAAATGTTATTTCCTATCCCAAGTTTAGAAATGTATTTTCTGACTCTAGGGAAAAGAGAGATCAGACTGTTACCATGTCTATGTAGAAAAGGAACACATAAGAAACTGCATTTTGATCTGTACCCTGAACAATTGTTTTGCCTTGAGATGCTATTAATCTGTAACTTTAGCCCCAACCTTGTGCTCACAGAAACATGTGTTGTGTGGAATCAAGGTTTAAGGGATCTAGGGCTGTGCAGGATGTGCCTTGTTAACAATATGTTTACAGGCAGTATGCTTGGTAAAAGTCATCGCCATTCTCCGTTCTTGATTAAGCAGGGGGCACAACGCACTGCGGAAAGCCGCAGGTACCTCTGCCCAAGAAAGCCTGGGTACTGGCCAAGGTTTCTCCCCACTGAGACAGCCTGAGATATGGCCTCGTGCGAAGGGAAAGACCTGACCATCCC
The DNA here is from genome assembly GCF_000001405.40 of Homo sapiens. Taxonomy (NCBI): domain Eukaryota; kingdom Metazoa; phylum Chordata; class Mammalia; order Primates; family Hominidae; genus Homo; species Homo sapiens. The sequence goes on along the minus strand of NC_000010.11, from coordinate 125,940,673 downwards.
CCAGCCCGACACCTGTAAATGATCCGTGCTGAGGAGGAATAGTAAAAGAGGAAGGCCTCTTGAGGTTGAGACAAGAGGAAGGCCTCTGTCTCCTGCGTGCCCCTGGGAACAGAATGTCTCGGTATAAAATCCGATCGTACATTTGTTCTATTCTGAGATAGGAGAAAACCGCCCTGTGGCTGGAGGCGAGATATGCTGGCGGCAATGCTGCTCTGTTACTCTTTACTACACTGAGATGTTTGGGTGAAGAAAAGCATAAATCTGGCCTACGTGCACATCCAGGCATAGTATCTTCCCTTGAACTTATTTGTGACACAGAGTTCCTTTGGTCACATGTTTTCTTGCTTTCTCCCCACTATCACCCTGTTCTCCTGCCACATTCCTCTGGCTGAGATAGTGAAAACAGTAATCAATAAATACTGAGGAAACTCAGAGACCGGTGCTGGTACAGGTCCTCCGTATGCTGAGCACCGGTCTCCTGGGCCCACTGTTCTTTCTCTATACTTTGTCTCTGTGTCTTATTTATTTTCTCAGTCTCTTGTCCCACCTGATGAGAAATACCCACAGGTGTGGAGCGACAGGCTACCCCTTCACTGACATATCTTCCAAAAGTTTTTGTTTTGCCTTTCACATTTAAATGGATTAAGATTAAGAGGTGGAGGTTGCAGTGAGCCGAGATCATGACACTTCACTCCAGCCTGGGCAACAGAGCGAGACTCTGTCTCAAAAAAAAAAAAAATAATAATAATAATAATGACAGTAGAAATTATTTATTTTATTGACCCTGTCTTTAATAAGAATGCTTCTAGGTTCTGCTACCTTAAAGCATGATGTTAGCATTTAGAATGAAATATATATAATTTTATTATGTAAGGCAATCATCTGTATTTTCCTACTTTAAAAGTATTTTTAAACTAGAAAGGATTTAGACTTATGAATGCCTCTTCATCATTCTTTGGATTTATTAATACCATGAGTTATATTAACAGGTTTCCTATTAGGGAACCATAGATGACAAAATGGTAAATTAGTATCCTTAATTTAAAGAGATACGGGGATTAGTCACTGCACAAAAATATTTAAAATGCCCTGAAATCACTGTTCTAACTTATTTCAAAAATTCTATACCTACAGAAAGATAAAAGAATATTGCAATGAATTCTTAAAATGTTGCCACATTTGCTTTATTCTGATATGTGTACACTTTTATTTTTCACAGAACCATTTAAGTTACAAATATCATAATGCTTCTCTAAGTACTTTAGCATGTATATCCTGAGACAGTCTCCTATATAACCCAATACCATTACACTGAAAAGCTTGACTTAATATTATCGAATATGTAGTCCATATTCAAATTTCTCCCAATTGTCCTTTTTCTTTTTAGCTAGGTTTCTTTTTTTCTCTGCAATCCATCAGATTCAATGAAGAATCATAAACTGCATTTAGCTGGTGTGTCTGTCTCCTTTATTCTAGAACAGATGCCCATCTTTCGTTGTCTTTCACATTCACATTTAAGAGTCCAGGCCAGTTGTGTTCTGGAATATGCTACAATTTGTCTGATTGTATGTGCATAATTATATTCAAATTAAACACTTTTAGCAAAAAGAATACATAGATGATACTGTATATTTTCCACTACATCATATCAGGTGGCATGTGATGTTGGTGTGTTTCATTATTAGTGATTCTAAGCTTGATGACTTGGTTACAGTGGAGTTTGCCAGATCTCTCCACTGCGAAGGTATTAACATTATTCTTTTTGATGCTCAAATGCTTCCAAATTTGGCTAGTGGGAGACCCTTCAAGCTGGTTCTGTATACTTTTACCACTCCCTAGAGTTTTGGCAGGGGGGTGTTTGTTTTTTGAGACAGAGTGTCACTGTCTCCCAGACTGGAGTGCAGTGGTGCAATCTCGGCTCACTGCAACCTCCGCCTCCCAGGTTCAAGCGATTCTCCTGCCTCAGCCTCCCAAGTAGCCAGGACTACAGGCACCTGCCACCATGTCCGGCTAATTTTTGTATTTTTAGTAGGGACAAGGTTTCACCATGTTGGCCAGGCTGGTCTCGAACTCCTGACCTCAAGTGATCCGCCCACCTCGGCCTCCCAAAGTGCTGGGATTACAGGTGTAAACCACCGTGTCAGCCACTCCCCAGAGATGTTTAAAGCACCTCTTTGCTTTCGTGGCACACCGAATATTCTAGGCTCACCTTGTAGTTTTCATGCCCCAATACCAGGATCATCCAATTTGCTAAGCCATTTCTCCTACTTCTGTTAATGGGAAATATATTTAGCAACTGAGGTCTCACACTGTGTGCTCATTCCTACTGGGCAATCATTGTTTCTAGACTTTTCAGTGGACAGTCAGGATTTTTTTTTTAATCATAAATTCATACTATTCACTCCAGTTCAAATCCAACATGACTATATTGTTTTCTTCCTTCCATATTTACATATTCTTTCTTCCGCAGTGAGAATCCTGTTTTCCAAAAGCATCGATATAGTTTCTCAATTGTTCAATCCCAGAATACATACAAAATAGTATCAAAACTACCAAGAGACTGAGTAATGTTCAGTAGGCCTTTACGGTCTGTGTCTTTAGAATATATATACCAATAAACATATGGAGTCTGAAAAATGTGTTTACAAGTTCAATGAATATCTGTGTGGCTTGTCAATAAACTAGGTCTACTTGCTTCTGTTTGTATGATATTTCAGTTTTTTCCGTCTTTGTAAATGTTTAGTTTTGAATCGGTACAACATTAGCGTGGTTTAGCAGCTACCTGTTAAGCGTGTTAAAGTTACTTTTATAGGCAGCTTTAAGCCCCGTTCCCTCACCTATCCCTTCCACCTCATTCCCACTCACCTCCTGTTGTGGGTATTTCATTTCATTCATGTTTCATTTATCCTTTTGCTTATTTTTTGCAAAACCTATATACTATAAATATACATATGCACAAAAGGTATATACATCATTCTAGCTATACCTTTTGCAGTTTTCATTTTATATATCATATAAAATCACTCCCCATCAGTTCACTGAGATCATCCTATTTATTTTTTAATATAGTTGCGTGGTACTCCATTGTCCATACCATAGTTTATTCCATCAGACTCCTTCATATGGGAAATACCCTGAAATCTTAAAGCTTATACATGAAAAAAGTTGATAGAGGTCTTTCCAAATATGACATTCTAAACATTGACTCAATACCAAAAACAAGTTGTGAAGCAGAATCTTTTTGAAAATGTCTGTAATAAACTACGATCCAAATTAAAACCACAATGACAAACAGCTTTCACAGGTACTACAAAGTCTAAAATTAAAAGGACAGAAAATACCAAGTGTCAGTAAAGAGATGGAACAGTGAGATCTCTCATACAATCATGCAATGTATTAAAAGAACTTCCTTACACTGTGGGTGAGATTATAAGTCACGACCTTGAACAACTGTTTGGCAATATCTAGCCAAAGTCAGTCACATACATACCATATAACCTAACATTTCCACTTTTAGCGATACACTCAACAGAAATACATACATATGTTTACCAACAAACATGTACTAGAATGCTCATAGAGGTATTATTTTATTTTTTTTTTTGAGACGGAGTTTGGCTTTTGTTGTTGCCAGGCTGGAGGGCAATGGTGCGACCTCTGCTCACTGCAACCTCCGCCATCCGGGTTCAAGCGATTATCCTGCCTCAGCCTCCGGAGTAGCTGGGATTACAGGCATGCACCACCACGCCTGGCTAATTTTGTATTTTTAGTGGAGATGGGGTTTCTCCATGTTTGTCAGGCTGGTCTCCAACTCCCAACCTCGGGTGATCCACCCACCTCAGCCTCCCTAAGTGCTCGGATTACAGACGTGAGCCACCACGCCCAGCCTAGAGGTACTATTCATAATAGCCAAAAACAAGAAACTATACAAATGTTTATCAATACTGGAATAAATAAATGGTGCTATATTAATGGAACAGCAATGAGAAAGAAGGATCTTCAACTATCTACAACAATATGGATTAATCTTACAAACATAATGTTGGGGAAAATAAGTCAGATCCAAATAAGTACATACTGTATACTTCTATTTACACAGAGTTCAAAAGCTGGCAAAACTAACCCATGGTGTTAGAAGTCAGGGCTGTGGTTTCCTTGGCAAGCATGGAGATTGAATCCGGAAAGGAAGAAGAGGAGGTACTTCTGGGGTTGTGGCAATTTTTTTTTTTTTTTTTTTTTTTGAGACAGCATCTCGCTCCAGTGGGTTCACTTTGTGAAAATTCAGCAAGCCATAAACTTATGATATGTGCATTTTTCTGTATATCCTTTTTATTTCTATAAAAAGTTATGTTTAAATTTCAGTTAAGGAATGAAAAAAAGGACAAAAAATAAATCACTAAATTCAACTAAATACCTACAAACAAATGGAAAGACTATGATGGAAATCAGGATTATTGTCTTAGATTCAAAAGTGTCAAGCTATTAGGTCAAAATTATAGCCTTATGAAGTCTGGTGTTTGAGCTTTAAATTATACATTTTGCACAGTATTCTCTGATGTTTCCATTTGTCCTAATATAAAAATGTTTCTACATATATACTAACAAGTAAAACTGATGCTCCAGCAATATGTACCATGCTTTTCCTGTAGTTGAAAATCTACCATCAAACATGCTACTACCTAATGACGAATTCAGAGAAGGTAAAGAAAGTATGTAAACCTTTCCCTCACTGGTGGCCCTTATTAGCTTAAAAATGTAGTCTTCATATAATATAGCAAGACATTTATGCAAGTCTAACATTTTTAGACTAAAGAAAAAAGTGTAATTACTATATTAATAGAAAGACTTAATTATCTTTCTATTCCAGCCACTGAAGTTATTATGACAGAATTGTTATACAAAGGTAACATAATAACATGTAGCCAAAATATATAGGAGAAGATATTATAGAAATATATTGGACAATTAGTTAATAAATGTTATTTTTCAAATGTTATGACATTTGTGACATTGGTCAGCTTTTTATATTTTTAATTATACTTTTTGGCATTCTAAAAGACAGATTTATAATCTTTTTTGTGTTTATAATCAGCATTCTTTTTCTTAAAGACAACTCCCCAAACTGCTTCAGAATCACAAAATCTTGATTTGCCCCAATTGAGACTGAAGTTCCCAACAAGACTTTAGTTTCTTATCACATCAAATATATATTAGATGATAACCCTGCTGTCTTATACCACCTGGCAACTAGGAAGTAAGAGACAAAATTAGTTGAAGGAAGTCATTCATATATTCATTCATCAAGTAAATATGTAAGGCTTCTGGATGCCAGGTGCCATGTAAAGCTATGAGGATACAACAGTGAGCTCAGATGCGGCCCCTGCCTTCAGGAAGCTTATAGTTCCACAGGGCAGAGAGATAACAATCAGATAATCCCCAGTTACAAACTGCTGTCGATGCCACGAAGAAATATTATGAAGATGACCACAAAGTAAAATACAAAAATAGGCTGACTTTCCGTGAAGGAATGAATGGGGGGATGTCCCAAGACAGGGTGTCTCTATCAGAGTAGGAGGAGATGTCTGGAGAAACAAGCAGAGAGATGAAGGCCAGCAGCTCTGCCCACACCCCCAGGCAGAAGAGATTGGGGCATGCACAGCATAGCCTCCACCCTGCTGAACTGCAGCACTGAGCAGACCTGGGGAAGAAACAGCATCGTGCTGGGAGCCACAGCTCAGCCAGGCCCATGGCACCATCCTGCAGGGCAGGCACCAGCTGCTCCCGAGCAGCAGCAACTGGCAATTCTAGCAAGACACTGTTGTCACCTGATGATTCAGAGTTGTGAGGACAGCCAGACTGGGATAGAATCCTGGTTCTGCCACATTCCAACTGTCTTTCTCTTCGTGATTTGCAAAAAAAAAAAAAAAAAAAAAAAAAAAAAAAAAAAAACGGTAGGGGTACAGGTGGTGGGAACTGAGTTGCTGCATGCTAGGCTGTTAGGTGCCCTGCACAGAGCTCAGTACACAATGCTAAATAAATGGCAGCGGCTCTCATCATGGACCTCTCCCACCTCCTCCTCCAGTCTGTTCTGTCTCTTCGACTTGGTTTGGGGACCAGCCTTAATTCACGCAGGACTGGAATTCTGCCCACAGCTCAGTCCCCATAACTAGCCAGACATCCCGGAGCCTTCATCTGCCTGCCCAACATTGCCACCTACTGCCCAAGGCTGGATTCCCTTGGAGCCACGCTCAGCTCAGCCCTCAGCCAGTGCTATAAGGTAGATGCTGCCCCAAAACAGGCAGAATTATAATAATACGTGTTTAGGGATATATTCATGTACAGTAAACTATAAAGAAAAGCCAAGTAATAAAACGCAAACTATCTTTCAATTATAAAAACAGTCTTCCTGCTGCAGTAGAAGGGTCACTTTAGTAAAGAAATTAACATTTCTATTATGAAACTTTAAATACAGCACAATTTTAATATGTTTTTCTTCCACATCACATTATGTTGAAATTAGCTATTTAACTGATTGTATGCATTTTAAGAGCAGGACTGTGTTTTATTATACTTATTTCCAAAACCAAACAAAATATAGAAAAATCAACCAATGAAACTTGCAGATGCCAATAAAACAAGCCTCAATAAATTTAAGAAGATTGAAATTATATCAAGCACTCTCTCAGATAACAGTGGAATAAAATCGAAAATCAACTCCAAAACGAACCTTCAAAACAATGCAAATACACGGAAGTTAAGTAACCTGTTCCTGAATGAGCACTGGGTCAAAAACGAAAACAAGATGGAAATTTTAAAATTCTTCAAACTGAATGACAATAATGACACAACCTATCAAAGCCTCTTGGATACAGCAAAGGTGGTGCTAAGAGGAAAGTTCATAGCCCTGAACACCTAAATCAAAAAGATTGAAAAAGTGCAAACTGACACTCTAAGGTCACACCTCAAGGAACTAGAGAGCCAAGAACAAACCAAACCCAAACCCAGCAGAAGAAAGGAAATTACCAAGATCCGAGCAGAACTAAATGAAATTGAAACAAACAAAAAAGACGAAACATAAATGAAACAAAAAGCTGGTTCTTTGAAAAGATAAATAAAATTGATAGACCATTAGCAAGATTAACCAAGAAGAGAAGAGAGAAAATCCAGACAACCTCATTAAGAAATGAAACAGGAGATATTACAACTGACAACACAAATACAAAAGCTCATTCAAGGCTACTGTGAACACCTTTACACACATAAGTAGAAAACCTAGAAAAGACGGATAAATCCCTGGAAAAAATACAACCCTCCTAGCTTAAATCAGGAAGAATTAGATACCCTGAACAGACCAATAACGAGCAGCAAGATTGAAATGGTAATTTAAAAATTACCAACAAAAAAAAAGTCTAGGACCAGACAGATTCACAGCAGAATTCTACCAGATATTCAAAGAAGAATTGGTACCAAGTCACCCTAATACCAAAATCAGGAAACGACATAACCAGAAAAGAAAACTACAGACCGATATCCTTGATGAACATAGATGCTAAAATCCTTAACAAAATACTAGCTAACCAAATCCAACAACATATCAAAAAGATAATCCACCATGATCAAATGGATTTCATACCAGGGATGCAGGGATGGTTTAACATATGCAAGTCAATAAATGTGGTACACCACACAAACAAAATTTAAAAAAAAATGACATGATCTCAATAGATGCAGAAAATGCATTCGACAAAATCCAGCATCACTTTATGATTAAAACTCTCAGCAAACATGGTACACAAGGGACATACCTCATGTAATAAAAGCCATCAATGACAAACCCACAGCCAACATAATACTAAATGGGGAAAAGTTGAAAGCACTCCCTCTGAGAAGGGGAACAAGACAAGGATGCCCAATTTCACCACTCCTCAACATAGTACTGTAAGTCCTACCCAGAGAAATCAGACAAAAGAAAGGGCATCCAAATCGGTAAAGAGGAAGTCAAACTGTTATCGTTTGCTGATGATATGACTGTTTACCTTGAAAACCCTAAAGGCTCCTCCAGAAAGCTCCTACAACTGATAAAAGAATTCAGCAAGTTTTTCCGATGCAAGATTAATGTACACAAATCAATGTACCCAAATCAGTAGCTCTTCTATACACCAACAGCGACCAAGGGGAGAATCAAATCAAGAACTCACCCCCTTTTACAACAGCTGCAAAAAAACTAAAATACTTAGGAATATACCTAACCAAGGGGGCAAAATACCTCTACAAGTAAAACTACAAAACACCTCTGAAATAAATCATAGATGACACAAACAAATGGAAACACATCCCATGCTCATGGATGGGTACGATCAATATTGTGAAAATGATGATACTGCCAAAAGCAATCTACAAATTCAACACAATGCCCATCAAAATACCACCATTATTCTTCACAGAATTAGAAAAAACAAATTCTAAAATTCATATGGAACCAAAAAAGAGCCCGCAGAGCCAAAGCAAGACTAAGCAAAAAGAACAAATCTGGAGGCATCACACTACCTGATTTCAAACTATACTATAAGGCCATAGTCACCAAAACAGCATGGTACTGGTATAAAAACAGGTACATAGAAACAATGAAACAGAATAGAGAACCCAAAAATAAGCCCAAACACTTATAACCAACTGATCTTCAACAAACCAAACAAAGTGGGGAAAAGACACCCTTTTCAACAAATGGTGCTGGGCTAATTGGTTATGCACATGTGGGAGAATGAAGCTGGATCCTTATCTCTTACCTTATACAAAAATCAACTCAAGATGGATTGAGGACTTAAACCTAAGATCTGAAACTGTAAAAATTCTAGAAGATAACATTGGAAAACCCTTCTAGACATTGGCTTAGCAAGGATTTCATGACCAAGAACCCAAAAGCAAATGCAATAAAAACAAAGATAAATAGTTGGGACTTAATTAAACTAATGAGCTTTTGCATGGCAAAAGAACAGTCAGCAGAGTAAATAGACAACCCACAGAGTGGGAGAAAATCTTCACAATCTATACATCTGACGAAGGACTAATATCCAGAATCTACAACAAACTCAAATCAGTAAGAAAAAAACAATCCCATCAAAAAGTGGGCTATGGACATGAATAGACAATTCTCAAAAGAAGACATACAAATGGCCAACTAATATATGAAAAAATGCCCAACATCACTAACGATCAGGGAAATGCAGATCAAAACCACAATGTGATACCACCTTACTCCTGCAAGAAAGGCCATAATCAAAAAATCAAAAAACAGTAGATGCTGGTGTGGGTGCAGTGAACAGGAAACACTTCTACACTGCTGATGGAAATGTAAACTAGTACAACCACTATGGAAAACAGTGTGGAGATTCCTTAAAGAACTAAAAGTAGAACTACCATTTGATCCAGCAATTCCACTACTGGGTATCTACCCAGAGGAAAAGAAGTCATTATTCAAAAAAGATACTTGCACATGCATGTTTATAGCGGCACAATTCACAATTCCAAAATCGTGGAACCAACCCAAATGCCCATCAATCAACAAGTAGACAAATAAACTGTGGTATATTTATGCTACGGCATATTACTCGGTCATAAAAAGGAGTAAATTAACAGCACTTGCAGTGACCTGGATGAGATTGGAGACTATTATTCCAAGTGAAGTAACTCAGGAATGGAAAACCAAAGATTGTATGTTCTCACTGATATGTGGAGCTAAGCTATGAAGATGCAAAGGCATAAGAATGATACAATGGACTTTGGGGACTTGGGGGTAAGGGTGTGGAGGGGGCAAGGAATAAAATATTACAAATAGGTGCAGGGTATACTGCTCGGGTGGTGGGTGCACCAAAATCTCACAAATCACCACTAAAGAACTTACTCATGTAACCAAATACCACCTGTCCCCTAATAACTTGTGGAAAATTTTAAAAAAGGAACTTACAGAGGCCAAAAGCATGCCCATGTATATAGTACTTGATTTATAATAAAGGTGACACTGAAGAACAATGAAGATGGGCCAGGTGCGGTGGCTCCTACTTGTAATCCCAGAACTTCTGGAGGTCAAAGCGGAGGATTGCCTGAGCCCAGTAGATCAAGACCAGCCTGGGAAACATAGCAATACTTCATGTCTAATAAAAAAAAAAAAAAAAAGTTGAGTGTGGCATGTTGTGCCTGCTGTCCCAGCTGCTCAGGAGGCTGAGGTGGGAGGATTGCTTGAGCCAGGGAGGTTGAGGCTGCAGTGAGCCATGATCATGCCACTGCACTCCAGCTGGGGTGACACAGCAAGACTCTGCTCAAAAGAAAAGATGGTCATTTTAGGCCAGGCGTGGTGACTCACACCTGTAATCTCAGCACTTTGAGAGGCCTAGGCAGGCGGGTCACCTGAGATCAGGAGTTCAAGGCCAACATGGTGAAACCCCATCTCTATTAAATATACAAAAATTAGCCAGGCACATGTAATCCCAGCTATTCAGGAGGCTGAGGCAGGAGAATCGCTTGAACCCAGGAGGCGGAGGTTGCAGTCAGCCAGGATCATGCCACTGCACTCCAGCCTGGGTGACAGAGCAAGACCTCGTCACAAAAAAAAGAAAAGATGGTCATTTTAATAAACGGTGCCAAAGTCAACTGGATAGCCATGTGAAAAAGTTTCCTACTTGATACTGAGGCAGGAAAATAGGGTCTGGAGGCAGGCAACATCAGGCCAATTCACACTTCAGCTATAACAGGAAATATCCTCTCCATAAGGTGTATGCCGTAAATTGCCTTGTAACTTTACTTCATCCTCTTCATTTACATAGGGTGTACCTCAAGTAGAGGGTAAACTCATAAAAACTCTGTAACAGGAACTTTGAGCCCCTATGCTCAGAGCTGCTTCCACACTGTGGCGTGTAGTTTCATTTTCTATAAATCCCTTCATTCCTTCCTTGCTTTGTGCGTTTTGTCCAATTCTCTGTTCAAGATGCCAAGAACCTGCACACGCTCCACTGTTAACAATACCATACATAAAAATCCCTTCCAGATAGACAGGCTACATGTGAAAAGGCTTCTAGAAGATAACATAGAATTAGGTAAAATTTTTCATAAAGATCATGTTGGGCTCAAAAAAATACCCCAAAATATGCAGCTGTAGACTTCAACCTGAGAGCACCTGGGAAGCAGCAAATACAGGCAGTGCTTTCTCCGAAGTTTCACTTATTTGATTAAGAGAAGTTCCCCCAGGAGGAATGCTGTTGTCTGTCATAAACCCTGCCCTCCTTCCTGGGATCTACATTAACCAGACTCCTATGGAAACAGAGGAAACTAAAAGGTCTCCACACTCAGGATACCACACCAGACAGACTTTTCACCTATTCTGAAGGCTGCTACCTGAGGGACTTTTTTCTGCATAAGAGCCTTTGTTCCCAGTGCAGTTCCTCCCCTCGCTCTCCCATAGCTTGTCGCCACTACCATCCAGGGGCCTTTAAGCTCCTGTTTCTTTCTGCAGCTCAAATTGCTAGCTAAGCTTCAACCACCTGGCTCTTCTGTGAGTCTCATATTTCGTGGACTCCTGTGCATACGCACATCATCAGGCTGTATGCCACTGTTCCTGCTAATCTGGCTACTGTCAAGTTTATTACAGAGACTCAAATTATCGAACCTTCAGGGAAAAGAGAGAAAGTTCAAAACTCCCCTGCAACCAAAAACGTTATCCATAAAGGAAAATACTGATAAATTGCACTATAGCAAAATTAATCATCTTTATTCAAATAATCATTCAGAGAATACTGGGTAGAATATGACCAAATAACTTTGGTCCATAATATAAGAATTCCTACAAATCAGTAATTTTAAACAAGAAGACAGGTAACCCAATAGAAAGCTAGGCAAGAGACCTGAGCAGGCCCTTTCCCAAAGAGAACAACTAAATGACCAGTATTAAAACATGAGAAGATGCCCTTCCCTACTTAGGCATTACAGAAATTCACATTACAAACACCATGAGATACTACTATACATCTATCAGAAAGACTAAAAGTTTTTAAAAGCTGACACGATAGTAAGTACATGGAAGTGTCAGAGGGGTTTGAAAAAGAGCAACTCCATCTTGAATAGGAGCTGGGAAAAAAGGCTGAGACCTACTGGGCTGCATTCCCAGAGAGTTATAGGATGAAATTCTTAGTTATAGGATGAAATAGGAGGTCAGCACAAGGTACAGGTCATAATGACCTTGCTGATAAAACAGTCTGCAGTAAGGAAGCTGCCTAAAACCTACTAAAACCAAGATGGTGACAAGAGTGACCGCTGGTCTTCCTCCCACTGCTACACTCCCACTAGCACCACGACAGTTTACAAATGCCATGGCAATATCAGAAATTTACCCTACATGGTCTTTAAAAAAAAAAAAAAAAAAGGCACGAATAATCCACCCCTTGTTTAGCATATTATCTAGAAATAACCATAAGAATGGGTAACCAGCAGCCCTCGGGCTGCTCTGTCTATAGAGTAGCCATTCTTTTATTCTTCTACTTTCTTAATAAACCTGCTATCACTTTACTCTATGGACTCGCCCTGAATTCTTTCTTGCACCAGATCCAATAACCCTCTCTTGGAGTCTAGATCAGGACTCCTTTCCTACAACAGAAGGATGGGAAACAACTGGAACATTCATCCACAGCTGGCAGAGTGTAAACTGATATAGCCACTGCAAAATTTTTAGCAGTATCTCCTAAAACTGTACGTACACTCTATAAAGCACTTGCACTCCCAGATACAGATCAAATTAAAGTACACACGTGTGCACCAAAAGGTAAGTACAAGAAAGTTTAGGGCCGGGCACAGTGGCTCATGCCTGTAATTCCAGCACTTTGGGAGGCTGAGGCAGGCAGATCACCTGAGGTCAGGAGTTCGAGACCAGCCCGGCCAACGTGGCAAAACCCCGTCTCTACTAAAAAAAATTAGCCAAGCGTGGTGGTGGGCACCTGTAATCCCAGCTTCTTGGGAGGCCGAGGCAGGGAGAATTGCTTGAACCCAGGAGGTGGAGGTTGCAGTGAGCTGAGATTGCGCCATTGCACTCCAGCTTGGGCGACAAGAGTGAGACTCCATCTCAAAAAAAAAAAAGTTTATAATGGCATTACTCATAATGGACCCAAGCTTGGAAGAACCTGAATGTCAGCCACCAGCAGAACAGATAAACATATTGTGCAATATTAGTAAAACTGAATGCACACAACAATAAACAAACCACGGCCATGTGCAACACCATGGATAGAACTCACAAGTCTAAAGCTGACAAAAGAAGCCAAAAGAAAAGATCGCATTTATAAAGCGAATAATAGGAAAACTAATCTATAGTGTAAAAAGTCAGAATAGGAGATACCTTTTGCTTGAGCCCAGTAGACTGAGCTGGGTGTGGCATGTGTGCCTCCTGTCCCAGCTACTCAGGAGGCTAAGGTGGGAGGATCGCTTGAGCCAGGGAGATTGAGGCTGCAGTGAGCCATGATCATGCCACTGCACTCCAGCTGGGGTGACAGAGCAAGACTCTGTCTCAAAAGACAAGATGGTCATTTTAGGCCAGGCTCGGTGGCTCATGCCTGTAATCCCAGCACTCTGGGAGGCTAAGGCAGGCAGATGACCCTGCCTCGAGAGGAGGTAAGAGCAGCAACTAGAAGGAAACAGAAGAGAGGCTTCTGGGTTGCTGGTCATATCCATTTCTTAGGTGTTAACTAGGTGAAAATTTTGAGTTGTACGTTCATGATCTCCTTACCTGTATGCCTCTTATACCACAATAAAAAAAATTAAGTATGAGACTAACATAATAGAGCTTAAAATGTGCAGAAATTGAGGGAGCTCGCCCAAGGAAACCATTACTAAACAGATACCAAAAAGATTTCAGGCAGGAAGAAAATGATCTCAAGTGGAAGATCTGGGATATAAGAAGAAATGAAGAGCAGGAAAAAGACAGGTGAATATATGGATAAAACTAAACAAACGTGAAACGTATAAAACAATAGAAGTAATGTCCCATGAAATATAAAAAGAAAAATGATAAAATATATCAAAACAACTTTGACGGATCACAAGATAATTATGCTGAATAAAAAAACTCAATCTCAAAATATCAGACAGTGTATGGTTTCATTTACATGTGTTCTTGAAATAAAGTTACAGAGATGAAAAACAGATTAGTGGTTGCCAGGGGTCAGGGAGTGAGGAACGTGTTTGTGACTATAAGATGGGTAGCACAAGGGATCCATCCTTCTGATGGAACTGTTCTGTATCTTGACGATGGTGATGGTGGTTAGGTATCTAATCTATGTACACGATAAAATTTCATAGAACTAAATACACAAAAAAAACTAAAAGTGCACATAAAACTGGTGAAATATGAACAAGGTAGTTACGCAAGATGTTACCATTGGGAGAAACTGAGTGAAGACTATATGGGATTTCTATTATTTCTTAAAACCGCCTGTGAATCTGCAATTATGTCAAAATAAAAAGTTGAAAATATACTGTAGTAGCATAACTCAAGAGGAGTTTAATGCGATGAAAGTATTCTTAAGTTATCCTATCACCCAGGAGGAGGATAAATTTTAGACTTTCATAACTTAAATATGCACATTTAAATTAGCATGACAGTTACTAAAAGAATATAAACAAAGACTAGAACTTAAAATGACTAGAGAAGAAAAAATATCCCACCAATTGAAAAGAAGGCAAGAAAGGAAAAAAAGAAACATAAGTAGGATAAATAGAAAGTGACAAAATGACACAAACACATATGCATGTACATACACACCACTCACCATCTATACAGAATCCAAGTATGTCAGAATACAAATACATGCAAATGGACTAAGTAATCCAGTTAAAGATGGATAAATTGTTAAAATCTCATTCCATGCTATTTTTAAGTCATATTTAAAATACAAAGATATTGAATGATTTTAAAAGGTATTAAAATACGTATCAGAGGAGCCAGGCTTGGCGGCACATGTCTGTAATCCCAGTGACTCAGGAAGCAGAGGTGAGAGGATCACCTGAGACCAAGAGCTCAAGACCAGCCTTGGCAATATAGCCAAACTCTATCTCTAAAGAAATAAAAACAATTATTTGGCGGTGGTGGCACACATCACTCTAAAGACTGAGGTAGGAGGATCATTTGAGCCCAGGAGTTCAAGGCAGCAGGGAGCCACCTGTGAACACCTGTGAACAGCCCCTGCACTATAGCCTGGGCAGCACAGTGGGAAAAAAATACACACATACACGTGAAAGATACACAGTGCAAAGTCTAACCAAAGTTACTATAGCTATATCATACGTAATGTTGAAAGCATACATAAATGAAGGAAAACATTTCATTTTGATAAAAGTTCAAATTAAAAAAAGATGTATATTTTTTGAATCATATGCACCCAAGTACAGCCTCAAAAAGCAAAAGTTGACAGATGAGGAGACAGACAAATCCATGCTTCTAGTAGGATATTTAATATATCTCTCAGTAAATAAAGTATAAAAATAATTAGGGAGGATGAAGATTTAAAACTATGAAAAAAATACTCAATGCAAACATATAGAACATGAGATTTAACTACAGAAACAGACTTCCCTTCAAGAAAATGTGGACAAGTTCAAAAATTAACCATATAGACGAGTGTTAAGTAACAAATTTCTAAGAAAGTGGACAGATCACAATTTCTGGTAACAATTTTAGAAACTTTCTAAAAGTATACTTTTAAATAGCCCATAGCTTGAAGATAAAATAAGGCAAATTCATCATCAGTTCTACATATTAAAAACTGTAGGATATAATTAAATCCATTCATAAGGGGAAAATGATAGTCTTTTTTTTTTTTTTTTTTTTTTGAGATGGGGTCTCACTCTGTCACCCAGGCTGGAGTGCAGTAGCAAAATCTTGGCTTACTACCCTCCACCTCCTGTGCTCAAGTGAGCCTCCCACCTCAGCCTCCTGAGTAGCTGGGACCACAGGCTCACACCACCACGCCAGGCTAATTTTTTGTGTGTTTGGTAGAGATAAAGTTTCACCATGTTGTCCAGGCTGGGGAAATTTATAGTCTTAAATGAGAACATTAGAAAAGGAACTTGGAAAAAACATCAACAGACTGGGCACAGTGGCTCAAGCCTGTAATCCCAGCACTTTGGGAGGCCGAGGCAGGTGGATCACGAGGTGAAGAGATCGAGACCATCCTGCCCAACGTGGTAAAACCCCATCTCTACTAAAAATACAAAAATTAGGTGGGCGTGGTGGTGCACACCTGTAGTCCCAGCTACTCGGGAGGCTGAGGCAGGAGAATTGCTTGAACCCAGGAGCTGGAGGTTGCAGTGAGCCGAGATTGTGCCACTGCACTCCAGCCTGGTGAAAGAGCGAGCGAGACTACATCTCAAAAAAAAAAAAAACTAAGCATCAGTCAATAAATCAGACAAAGAACAAGTTAAATTCAAAGAAAGAAAAAGGAAAAACATAACAAACAAATGAAATACAAAAGAAACACACAATAGAATCAGCCAAGCTAAAACTTGTGGGTTTTTTGGTTTTCAGATAGGGTCTCATTCTGTTGCCCAGGCTGGAGTGTAGTCGCTCAATCACAGCTTACTACAGCCTCCCCCTTACAGGCTCAAGCGATCCTCCCACCTTTGCCTCTCAAAGTGCTGGGATTACAGGTATGAGCCACCATGCCCTGCTAAAACCTGGTTCTTTAAAAATACATTATAAAATTCACAGACCTTTAGCAAGATTTGTCAAGAAAAAGCAGTCAAAAAACAATCTTGCACAGGAGGACTGTACTACAGATAGAAAGACTCTGAAAGGAAGTCATAACTTGCAGGCCAAGAACGATGGCTCGCACCTGTAATCCCAGCACTTTGGGAGACCGAAGTGGGAGGAATGCTTAAGTTCAGGAGTTTGAGACCAGCCTGGGCAACATGGCAAAACCCTGTCTCTACCAAAAATACAAAAATTAGCTGGGCATGGTGGCACGTGCCTGTGGTCCCACCTACTTGGGAGGCTGAAGCAAGAGGGTGGCTTGAGCCTGGGAGGCGGAGGCTGCAGTGAGCCATGATTGTACCACTGTACTCCAGCCTGGGCAACAGAGTGAGACCCTGTCTCAAATAAACAAATTCATAATGTAAAATTATGAATACCTTTATGCCAACAGACTTTAAAGCATAGATGAAAAAAATTTTTTTTTTTTGAGACAAGGTCTCATTCTGTCGCCCAGGCTGGAGTGCAGTGGCACAATCACAGCTCACTGCAGTCTCGACCTTCCTGGCTCAAATGATCCTCCCACCTCAGCCTCCCAAGTAGCTCACACTACAGGCACCCACCACCACACCAAGCTAATTTTTATTTTTTTTTTGCAGAGATGGAGTCTCACTATATTGCCCAGGCTGGTCTTGAACTACTGTAGTCAAGTGGTCCTCCCACCTGAGCCTCCCAAAGTGCTGGGATTACAGGCATAAGCCACCATACTTGGTGAGATATGAATTTTTGGAAAAAAAAAATCAAAATTGACTCAAAAAGTAGAAAAAAATCTTACATAGATTAAATATATTGAATCAGTAATGAAAAAACTTGCCATAAAGAAATTTCCAGGCCCAAGTGCCTTCACCAAAAAGTTCCATGAAACATACAAGAAAAAGAGAAACCAACCAACCAAACAAAAAAAACTCTGCCACTAACACAAACTGAGAGAATAAAAAAAGAAGACTCCCCAGTTCATTTTATAAGGTTAAAATAAAAATAACCTTGATATCAAAACCCAACAAGGCAAGTGCAAGAAAAAATATTTATAGGCCATCATTATTCAACGTGGATCAGAAATCATTTTTAAGATGTACTGGCCAGGTGTGGTGGTCATGCCTATAATCCTAGTACTTTGGGAGGCCCGAGTGAGAGGATGGCCTGAGCTCAGGAGTTTGAGACCAGCCTGGGCAACAAGGCAAAATCCTGTCTTTATAAAAAATACAAAAATTAGCTGGGCATGGCAGCACACCTATAGACCCAGCTATTCGGGAGGCTGAGGTGGGAGGATCACTTGAGCCTAGCCGGTTGAGAATGCAGTGATCCCTGATCATGCCACTGTGCTCCAGCCTGGGCAACAGAGTGAGACCCTGTCTCAAAACAACAACAGAAAGATGTACTGACCACCTGTGATGCTGGCCAGGATGGCGTATGTATGCTACGGCCTGTCATTTCCACTGATCACAATTTGAAACTCTGGACAAAATATAAATAGCAATGATCCAAGTACTCTGAAAAGTAACCAGCAGACAGGTTGGGAAACGTCAAAACCTGAAGAATTATCTGGATGGCGGTGGTGAGAGATCATATTCTGGGTCATAAAACAAACCCTGAAGTTAAACAATTAAAATTCAGTGAATTATTTTCTCTGACGACAGAATTAAACTAGGAATCTAGAACATTTCTAGAACATCCCCAAATATGAGAAGTTAAATGGCGTACTTCTAAATGGCCCATAGGTCAAAGAGAGTGTCTTAAGAAAAATTGGAAAACAGTTTGAACTTAATAAATATGACATCATCTTATCAAAATATGTGCTTACAGGGCAATTTATAGCACTAAATTATGAGAAATGAAGCATCAAATCAATAATGTAAGCATTTACTTTAAGTAAAAAAAGAACCAAATAAACTCAAATCAGGCATAAGAAAAACAGACTAAATCAGTAATATTTAAACAAAAACAGTAAAGGAAAAAAATTCAACAAAATCCAAAGTTGGTTCTTTGCAGGGGTGGTGGAAGGTGGAAAGCAATCAAATGAGGAAGCCTCTAGCAGACTGACAAAGGAAGAAGAGAAAACACAAATTACCAATACCAGAAATGAAAGGATTATTACAAATCCTGTAGACACTAGAAGGCTAGAATGGATACTACAAAAACAAAACAAACAACTATATGCTTCTAAATTCTACAAATTAGGTGAAATAGATCAATTCCTTGAAAGACAGACTACCAAAACTCAAGAAGAAACAGACAGCTTGAATACCCCTGTATTTATTAAAGAAACAGAAGTGGCACAGCACTTTGGAAGACAATTTGGCAGGTTCTGATAAAGTCAAACGTACACGGACCATGTGACTCAGCAATCCTACACCCTTAGTCATTTGCACAAGTGAAATGAAAACCTATGCTCAGACAAAAAGCACTTTGTGAATTCCAATCCACTTATAATTTACCAAAAAGTGAAAATAGTCCATATTCCTCCAATGACAAACCAATAAGCAAACCATGTAGTATTTATACAATGGATTACTATTTGGCAATAAAAAGGAATAACTGTT
The DNA here is from genome assembly GCF_000001405.40 of Homo sapiens. Classification (NCBI taxonomy): domain Eukaryota; kingdom Metazoa; phylum Chordata; class Mammalia; order Primates; family Hominidae; genus Homo; species Homo sapiens. The sequence continues at coordinate 125,921,350 of NC_000010.11, read as the reverse complement.
GATACAGTACATGAAAGTAGCCAGACTCAAAGGCTACAGCCTGAACGATTCCATTTGTATAAAATTCTGAAAAAAAAGCAATGCTAGAGGAACACAGATCAGTGATTGCCAGAAGTTTACAATGGAAGGTTTTACTATAAAGGGCAAGGTAATTTTTGGAGTGATCATATAATTTTGTAATCTACCAAAAACAAACATAATACATGGGCAGATAAGTTCACGGATTGGAAAGTTCAATATTGCAAAGGTCTCCCAAAAATGACCTATCAATTTAATCCCAGTGGAAATTCCAACCAGTTTTGTGAAGGCTGCTAAGTCAACTCTAAAATGGCCAAGAATAGACAAGATCACCGGAGAGGAAGCAGGAAGGTGGACACAAATATCTTCTGATTGATGAGTGAAATCATTAGAAGGCCAGCAAAAATACAAGTAAGCCAGAATTTCTAAAGCACCACAAAAGAACACTAGTTAGTAGTGCATATAGGTATCTCCCAAATTTGTTGTAAACATAGGCTTTTAAAAAAAATTAGAAACTGATATTTAGAGATATAAACTCATATTAAACCTTTTAAAAAACAAATTCTAATCAAGGGCCTCACCTAATTTCATAAAAGGTTGTACAGAACCAACCATTGCTGCAAACGATGTGCTGCCCTGAGATGTGAGGATCCCAGTGGTTCCTCTGGGTCAACAGCAGCTACAGCGGCTGAGCCCAAACTCTGATACATTATCTATCTACGATCATTATTTTTAACAATTTATATCAATGCTACCCATAAGTCACAGAGAAGCAGAAATGTTTATGTGGCCTCCTGCCAAAAACAATCACTTGCACTTATTTCTAGTATTCCAGAAGACAGTATTAGAAGTTTTTCAATTTAGAAAAACATTTACAGCAAAGAAAAAAATCTCTGTAAATTTCCTGCTTAACCAATCTAGTGAATTCTGATGAGCCATATAAATTCATTTAGCCACCTTATGAAAGACTTAATCCAAAGTCACTTCTAACTTCTAGAAGAGCTAATGTATTATAATCACAGTTGTGAAAGACTCAAAGGCCAGAAATGTCAAGGTTTGGTCTATATCTTAAGTCCAGAAAAAAAATAAAAGCAACATGTACAGGCCAAATGATTGCCAATTTTTTCGGCCTATGTCATCCTTCTTCACTATAGCCTGAAATTACATTTCATGTTTGACAGTTCTCAGCAAGGAGACAAAACAAGCTTATGAGTAAAATAACAGAAAGCAGAGCCACAGAGAGTACGAGAGACAGGAGTCATCTCCCAAGTCCAAGTTCAACCTCTGTATTATTAGACAGGGCCTCAGTGTCTTTGAACTGCAAGGAATTAATATTGATTGTAGCATGAGTAAAACCTATCTTCTACTCATCATGAAAAGTCACAGTCGTTTTGTTTAAAGACTCCAGAATTACTATAGGCAGAAACAAATAAGAAGGTTACACACCTACTGTTTGGTGAAACGAGGAATCAGGAATGAGCATTCCCAAGAGAATACAATTACAAAAGTAAAATCATCTAGAGTTTTTGGGCTGCTTAGAAAGCCCAGAAAGAAGTGCCAAATGAGAAAATAATCAAATTCAGTGGAAAAACTCACTTGAGGGTATCATGGTCAGCTGCGTTTCCACCCCTTTGATGCACTTCAAATCCTGTGTATTCCACAAAGACTTGCTCCTTTCTAAAGGCTAGGGTTCACGTTCAACAGAATAACAGCAACCACCATGAGCCTCAGGGCTGGCTAGTCTTTAGTATTCTGCCTTATTCAAAGAAATGAGTCTTTCCCTCATTCATAAAGATCTCCCAGGTCCATTACAAAAAAAGGAGCAGCAGCCAGGCGCAGTGGCTCACACCTGTAATCCCAGCACTTTGAGAGGCCAAGGGGGGAGGATCACCTGAGGTCGAGAGTTCAAGACCAGCCTGGCCAACATGGTGAAACCCCAACTCTACTAAAAATACAAAAATCAGCCGGGTGTGGTGGTGTGTGCCTGTAATCCCAGCTACTAGCGAGGCTGAGGCAGGAGAATTGCTTGAAACCGGGAAGCGGAGGTTGCAGTGAGCCAAGATCATGCCACTGCGCTCCAGCCTGCGGGACAGAGCAAGACTCTGTCACAAAAAAAAAAAAAAAAAAAAAAAAAAAATTCTTACCTCCTGGAAGTATTTTACTAGTGTTGGTTTCTATTTGACATTAAACACTTCCCCAGGCCAATGCATTAGCAGTTAGCTCCTTACTGAATATTATCTGTAGCAAACAGTAGCTGACTCCTAGCTCTCTTCAGTGAACTTGAATTTAAATTTATAGAATTCTCATGACTTCTATTTCATCTTGAAACCCAGAGACTCCTTCCCTTTCCTAGTGATTTACCTTTCAATTATATGTAGACTGAACCAGTCCCAGCCATCTTTAGTTGGTCTCTATTCAAACGTACTTCTGTTTCTTGATTACATCTTCAATTATTTTAGTTATTTCTGAGATTCTCCCCTGCAATTTCTCCAACTATCTAGGGCATAAAGAGTGCATGAATAACATTATAAAGCCTATGTAAGACTTCAAATAAATAATCTTTCTGAGCCTCAGTTTCCTCATCTGTGAACCAGGAATAATATTTACTGAACAAAGTTGTTCTAAGGATTAGTGAAATATATGTAAAGCACTTAGCATTTAATAGGTGATCAAATGGTAAATGGTGCTTATAAAATGTCTTTATCATGGTAAAGTATATATAACTATATATATATATATATATATATTTTTTTTTTTTTTTTTTTTTTTTTTTTTTGAGACAGAGGCTTGCTCTGTCACCAGACTGGAGTGCAGTAGTGGTGCGATCTCAGCTCACTGCAAACTCCGCCTCCCGGGTTCAAGGATTCTCCTGCCTCAGCCTCCCAAGTAGGTGGGATTACAGGTACCCGCCACCACACCTAGCGAATTTTTGTATTTTTAGTAGAGACGGGGTTTCACCATGTTGGCCAGGATGGTCTTGATCTCTTGACCTCGTGATCTGCCTGCCTCAGCCTCCCAAAGTGCTAGGATTACAGGCGTGAGCCACTGTGCCCAGCCCGATTTTAACCAGTCTTAAATGTACAGTTATTGGCATTAAGTGCATTCACGCTGTTGTACAACCATCACCACCATCCATCTCCAGAACATTTTCATCATCCCGAAGTGAAACTCTGTACCCAGTAAGCAATAAGCCCTCATTCCTCTCTACCCCAGCCTCTGGCAACCACCAAACTACCCTTTTTTTTTCTTTTTTCTGACAGGGTCTCACTCTGTCGCCCAGGTTGGAGTACAGTGGCATGATCATAATTCACTGAAAGCTTGAACCCCCAGATTCGAGTGATCCAACCCACCTCAGCCTCCCCAGTAGTTGGGACTACAGGTATGTTCCACCACACCTGACTTTTCTTTTTAAAGTAGAGATGAGGTCTCACTATGTTGTCTAGCCTGGTCTTGAACTCTTGGGCTGAAGTGATCCTCCCGCCTTATCCTTCCAAGATGTTGGGATTACAGGAATGAGCCACTGAGCCTGACTACCATTCTACTTTGTTTCTGTGAATTTTACTGATCTAGGTATCTCATATAAGTGGAATCATATGTAAGGGAGGAAAAATATTTTTCCTCCACCCTTCTAATTTCTTGGCTGGGGCTCTTGTACCAAAAGACAGATTAACAAGAGAAAAGCATACACATTTACTTAATATAAGTTTTATATGACACAGAAGAAATTGACTTTTCTGGAAGTAACTTGATCTAACTAGGAACCTTTGTAAGGAAATAAAGACCTGAAGAAACAGTTAAACCTATGTCTTTATATATTAGGTTCGTCAAAAGACTAAATTACAAATTAGGTTTTATATTATCAGAGGACTACAACAAATTTATAGATTTAATTGGCTTTTATTCATGATTCATGAATCTGGGCACCTTCCACTCTACAAAACAGAATGAGAGCTCCCACTGGGCAATAGCAGAACCACAGGTTTTATGAGGTAGCAACAAGGAAACAGAATAGAAAAACCTGATTGGTTAACATCAAGCTACTTCGGTTACTTTTTTGTAATAGTTAAAGCAGAGGGGACTTCCTTCTTCCGCTGATTCAAGTAGACTGGAATCTCATGTTTTCAGGAAAAACTGGTCTGTTTGGGGATCTATCTGCTTCCTTAAAGTTTCAGTTTGATGACACAGCATTTAGCATAAGTAACTCCATTTTGGTTTGGTCTGATCTGTTGAGGGCTAGTGCAGGAGCTCAGCCCAAAAGAATGGCCTCCCATAATTTTTAACAGTTTGATGAAAAGTGGAGAGAAGCAGAAAATTGTGAGAGGACAAAAAGGGGTAGGAGCTAAGCGTAGTAAACTGGGAGGAACAGCAGGACGTATCATTCAGATTCGATTCAGCGTTATCTTCAGAGAGAAGGATGTTCCTTCCTCCAGGGACAGAGAGGGCACCTCTCACCCAAGGGCCTTGTGACCTGCGTCAGAGAAGAGGGTGGGAAGGTCAGAGTGTTCTTCCTGTCATTTCTGAGATTCCTTCAGCTTCAAACATTCAATATGCTAAGGTGGCTATTTTGGAGATTATCAAGAAGCTGATCACATAAAATACTTGTTCTTTGGTGACTGGTTTATTTCACTTGGCATAATGTCTTCCAGGTTCATCCATGGTGTAGCATGTGTCAGAATTGCCTTTCTCTGTAAGGCTGAATAGTATTCTACTGCATATAGTGTATATATATACCATATTTTGTTTATTCATTTGCAGATAGACACTTGGCTTGCTTCCACCCTTTGGCTATTATGGATAATGCAAATGGTATATTTTAACTACAGATTTTTTTATATCAAATAGACATAATCAAAAGAATTTATCCTACGCCCACAGAGAAGGCAGATGGGGTCCCTGATCGATTACAGGGGTTCTCTTTTTAAAATGCCTTCTTCATAAACCTATGTGAGGGGAATACTGACAGTACCTACTTTTTATAGATGAGAATTCTATTTAAGAGCCCTCATGTCTGGGTGTGGTGGCTCATGCCTGTAATCCCAGCACTTTGGGAGGCCAAGGCAGGCGGGTCAAGAGATCGAGACCATCCTGGCCAACATGGTAAAACACATCTCTACTAAAAATGCAAAAATTAGCTGGGCGTGGTGGCATGCACCTGTAGTCCCTGCTACTTGGGAGGCTGAGGCAGGAGAATCACTTGAAGTCAGGAGGCGGAGGTTGCAGTGAGCTGAGATTGCACCACTACTGCACTCCAGCCTGGTGACAGAGCAAGACTCCGTCTGAAAAGAAAAAAAAAAAATTCTCATTACTTTCTCATATTACACAGAGGAGCTACATATGACAATTAACTAAACTGAAGAAACAGACAAACTGCTAATCTCAAGCAGTTATTACAAACTGTCAAGTTAATATAGACAGCAACCTGCAGTTTGAAAATGCCAATCACTACAAATCACAGGGAAAACATCTGTGCTTCAGTGGAAACACTACACATTGTTTAGATCACACTCCTTCAGACTTTTGAGATAGGATCTCCCTCCGTCACCCAGACTGGAATGCAAGGGTATGATCCTGGCTCACAGCAACCTCCACTTCCCTGGCTCAAGGGATTCTCCCACCTCAGCCTCCTGAGTAGCTGGGACTACAGGCTCATGCCATCATGCCCAGCTAATTTTTGGAACTTTTTTTGTAGAGACAGGGTCTATGTTGCTCAGGCTGGTCTTGAACTCCTGGGGTCAAGTGATGTCTACCTCAACCTCCCAAAGTGCTGGGATAACAGGCGTGAGCCACCGCACCCAGCCCCTTTAAGGTTTTCTAGTCTAGCCTTTCACCTGTTTTATGGTATGTGAAGTTGAAAAGAACAGATAACGCAAATGATTCTTGTTTATAAACATGCAAATCAACCTGCCTTGGAAAGCCAATCCTTCTCCATGTGGCAAAGCCACTTATGCATCAATTTCCAGTTTATTTCAATATTCTGAGTAATAGATGTGTCCGTCCCTTTGGGTTCCCTTTTGAACTGGTTGTAACATCTCACTGCTCACTTCATTAATAAAATAACATTTATATCTATATGAATGATAGTTTTCCCTGTTTTTGAAAAGTTACCCTTTAACAAATGTAACATGCACAGGTGAGTTAACGCCATGCTTCTCAAAGTGTGGCCTGTGGAAAGAGCAGCCTGGCAGTCCCCTGCAGTATTTTTGACAGAAATGCACAACACTGGGCCCCGACTCAGGAGTGTGGAGTTGTAGCTGGATCCCTTTCACCAACACATTAGCCATCCTAGGTTAATACACATCACTGACCAGCCTCAAGGAATAGGAGTGCTGGATCTACCAGTCTCTCCCGACCATTCCCTGGGCTTTGTCAAGTGCTTTCTGCCTGCCAAGCTCACTCTCAGATCAGATGGGGCCTCCCTGCCAGCAGTTCTACCTCATCCCCTCCGCACCTAAGTCATCCCCTCCGCACCTAAGTCAACCCGGGAGTTCAGACCTCACTTCTGATCTCCACCACCCCTCCTCCCCTTCTACGGTGACTCAAACCTTCAGGCAGCGAAAATAAGCTCACAAACTAGGAGACTACAGCTTCAGACCACACATTTTCCACTGAGCCAATATCTGAGCAAAAACTAGTTTTCTGGAGTTGGGGGGATGAGGAAGATTTGATATTAAAAGTGTCCTTGGTGGCCTTTCAAAGTTCAACATCATCTAACAAAAATTTTATTCCTTTTTCATTTCTGTTAGGGAATGTTTAGTTTTTCCTCTTTGATAATGAAAATATGGTTAACAAACATTGCTTTGGACCAATCTTCCTTTTCACTAATCACTGAGGTGTGTCTATCCACAAGTTCTCAGTCCAGCCTACATTTTCCAGTCTTCCATTTACCTATTCAACCAATACCTGACTGTCATGTGTCCTCCCTGCAAACATGCTGGTGACAGCGTGAGCAGGCAGGGCTGGTTCCTGTCCTCATGAAGCTTACACTACCTGAGGCTGGGGTGTAGAAACTGACACATAAAAAGACCACTGAGACTTTTTAAATATATATATATGGCATACAAAGATGCTGAGCTGGAGCTTTGGAAAATGAAGAAAAAGTAATACAAATTTAGAATGTGACATTGAGGAATGAAGACCATCACTTAACATATCCTATGTTTAAAAAATCTAATGTCCATAGGAAGTTGTCTGGGAGGCGGGCAGGGTTTCATACTGTAATGAGTACTTAGAAAGTTTAGAAGAGTTCTAATGGTTCTTAATTTAAGAATTATAAGAGGTAGATTCAGGTAGAGAGAGATTCCCATGATATTCACTGCTGGGTGGAGAAGGAGATCCATCCCCCTCCACTCACAAACATCTTCTTTGTGTTTTTACTCGACAGTCCTTCATTTAGCTGATCCATCTGTATTTATATTTGTTCTCTTCCGGATCTTGTTTCATAGTCAATATCAAGTGTTTTTGTGTAAACTGCCTGGTCTTGACAGGCCGGGCACGAAGGTAGGCACCATTCACACAGCACTGCATTTAATCTTCACAAGACCCCTGCAAGGTGGGTCTCAGCCTCCCCTGATACAGGTGAAGCAGGAGGCTCAGGGCTGCTACAACTTGCCCCCAGTCCCAGAGCTGGTATACAGCAACCCAGATTGACAGATTCCAATACCCATCCATGCTGCCTTGCCTAACCATGTTGTTGGTGCCAAAATTTTGTAAATTAACCCAGGTTTATGTAAAATTAACTCAAAGTTAACATATGCTATTTGGAAGTAGTGGTGGCAATGACTTATCAGAGAACTTTTAAGAGAAACAGCTGTGGCAAACGAGCCTGAGTCACACTGAAGTTATCTGTAATCAAGTTACCAACGGGCAACTGATTAGTGAATGAAGCTGAGCGCCAGGACTCACGACAGCTGTCTGTTTCATAAACACGCCCTCCTTCCTCCTTTTGGCCGACTGCTAAAGGGTTTAGGTGTCATGCAGAATGAGTTTGGGTGTCATGCAGCATTTAGGTGTCACCTGAGTTTAGGTGTCATGCAGAATGAGTTTGGGTGTCATGCAGCGTTTAGGTGTCATGCAGAATGAGCAACAAGCAAAATGTAGGTGCAATCAGATAAGGGTGGAGAATTACCAGTATCTTTAGAATCACCTGTTGGGCATTTCTGTTGATAATCACCAATTCAGAACAGCAAGGACTGAGAAGCCACAAGATTCCCTTAAAAGGCCTCATTCATTTGCATACTTTTCTGTTTTCAGGAAACAAAAATTATGTTTTGTGGGCTCACAGTCAATAGATTTTTGTTCTGATTTGTATTTCCATGATACATAATTTTGTGGTTTCTTTGAAGTTTAAAGAATTCTGAATGTATATGCTAACACTGATTCACATTAAAGCTAAGCAATAGGCTGGACACGATGGCTTACGCCTGTAATCCCAACACTTTGGGAGGCCGAGACGGGCGGATCACTTGAGGTCAGGAGTTTGAGACTTGCCTGGCCAACATGGTGAAAGCCCGTCTCCACTAAAAACACAATTAGCTGGGCATGGTGGTGGGCACCTGTAATCCCAGCTACTCGGGAGGCTGAGGCATGAGAATTGCTTGAACTCAGGAGGTGGAGGTTGCAGTGAGCCAAGACTGGGCCACTGCACTCCAGCCCGGACAACAGAGCAAGCAAGACTATGTCTCAAAAAATAAAATAAAAACAAAGGTAAGCACTATATATTAAGTAGATGATTGAATATTTTAACCAAGGGTGTAAATTATTAACCAGGATATTTAAAAAGCAATGAATTGAAGTTGCTGACATTTTTAAGAGAGCTGTTTCTTTCCCTAAAGTTTTAATCTCAAAAACACACACACACACACACACACACACACACACACACACACACACTTTGGTGGTGCCAATAAAAAGGAAACAAAAATAAAATGGAGAAATGGAGGTAATGATGATCCCCAAGCTAAAGGAAGAGGAGGAGGGGGGTAGATATATGTTATTTTCATTCTTTCCTATTTCACTCTTCACTGGAAAAGCACTTGAGTTACAGTTTGTGCTTCTGTTAGTCCTTCAATATGGTAAAACAAACAGGTTTATCTCATGTGCAAATAATCGATGAGGAGTGGCTGCCTCCAAGAGCCTGGGTATTGTTGACCTTAGTGGGAAGGATCTGAATCAGGTGCCAGGGCCACACACGTGCTGTGTGTTTGTTGATCCCGCCTTATGTCAACCAGTCAACATCAAAGACGATCAGGGCATTGCTAGGCAACCACTTCTTCAGTCTTCACTAGTCAATTATTGTGATTAGGATATTTTAGTTCTAACATTTTGTTTTCCTAAATGGAACTTGATAGATGGATAGAATGGATTCTACATCGCATTTTTTCCCCTCTAACTATCATGCACAGATGCTGTTGAGTATATCATCTCCTCCTTCTGTGCAGGGAGCCCGCCCTATATAAGGTTAACAGGAAGGACACAAAGGTATGCAGTGGAGAAAAAAACAGAAATAAGGACCCAGGCGTAACTCTGAAGGAGCTTCTAACCATGTTGTGCAGATGAGGAAGACTCAATAATTAGTAAGTTATCCAAAGAAATTAGGGCTTTTTACTAGCAGAACAGTAAAAATTCTAAGTTTGGTAACACATTGAGTTGAGGAGGCTGTGCGAAAGAGGTATTCACTCATATTGCTACTAGAAGTATAAACTGGTATAACCCGTCTAGAGGAGAGTGATTTAACAATTATCAAAACTAACTACCTAGTCCACATCTAGACATTCATTCTGCAGATATACTTGCCCAAATGCAAAATGTCAGATACACATTGTTTCTTGCAGCTTTGCTTATAATTGTAAAAACAGCTCTTCTAAGTTTCCTATTGCTGCTATAATTAGTTACCACAAATGTAGCAGCTTAAAACAACAGAAACTTATCTTATTATGAGCCCAGAGGTCAGAAGTCCAAAACGCGTCTTGCGGAGCTAAAATCAAAGGCTGGTTCCTTCTGGAGGCTCTAGGGGAGAGTCCGTTTCCATGCCTCTTCCTTCTGCTGACGGCTTTCCACACACCTTGGCTCTATGATCGTGTATCACTGCAACCACCACTTCCATCTTCGTATTGCCTGAGTCTGACGTTTCTTCTTCCCACTTATAAGGACGCTTGTGATTGATTCCATCGTGCCCACCTGGATGATACACGCTCCTCTGCCCATCTCACAATCCTTACTCCCAAGGCCCCTTTGGCTATGTAAAGTAATATACTCCTAGATTCAGGGATTTGAATGTGGACATCTTTTTTTTTTTTTGGAAAGACGGAGTCTCACTGTGTCACCCAGGCTGGAGTGCAGTGGTGCAATCTCGGTTCACTACAAACTCTGCCTCCCGGGTTCAAGTAATTCTCCTGCCTCAGCCTCCCAAGTAACTGGAACTACAGGCACATGCCACCACACCCGGCTAATTTTTTGTGTTTTTAGTAGAGACGGGGTTTCACTGTGTTAGCCAGGATGGTCTCAATCTCCTAACCTCATGATCCGCCCACCTCGGCCTCCCAAAGTGCTGGGATTACAGGAGTGAGCCACCGCACCCAGCCTGTGGACATCTTTTATTCAGCCTATCACAATAGCAAACGTCTGGAAACAAACTGGATGTCCATCAGCAGTGGACTGATTCAATAAATTATGATAAATTCATACAACAGAATACAGTTGTTTAAAATACGAGAAAATGTATTATGTACTAAACAGAAAACTCACCAAAATATAATGTCAGGTGAAAAAAGCAAAGTACAGAACAGACACAGGAATGCAGTATACATAATTTGCTTCTATATACAAGGTTTAAACTATCTCTGGAATGATATACCAGAAATTAATCATGGTGGTTACCTGTAGGACAGGAAGAGGGTGGTGGCATTGCAAGAATGAGACTTTTCACTAACATTCTTTCATAATTTTTTATCTTTGAAACTTGTAACTATATTACTTATCCAAAAAGTAAAATAATAAATTCTAGAAAGAGTAAAAAGAAAACAAAGTGTAAAAAAAGTTATAGATGGGGGATAAGTACCCATTGTAGGACTCTTTATGCTAGAGCTGTACAATTTTTAAAAATTAGAAGTATGTATATGTTACCAGGAATGCCAGGATATATGATCAAGTGACTGAAAACTATGAACAAAATAAAAAACAGAAAAAAGAAACAAACCCACAAGTGCTTCAGGTATTAGAATTATCAGACATGAACTTTAAAGTAATTGGTAATATTATCAAACTTAGGTTTAAATAACTAGTAGTTTTTTTTTTATCTTGGTGCTAGTTACAGAGATTCATTTACATTGTGATAATTCATCCACCTGTACATTTAAGATGGCACACTTTCTCTCAGGTATATTATACTTCAATACAATTTTACAAAAGTAGAAAACTTGTGGGATGTGACTAACTCTGGGGTGGGGGAAATCTATAATCGTAAACACATGTATTTGAAAACAAAACAAAGTACTAAAAAACAATGATATGATAGGTGTGGTGGCTCACATGTATAATCCCAACATTTTGGAAGGCCAAGGCAGGAGGTTTGCTTGAGGCCAGAACTTCAATACCACCCCAGGCAACATAGTGAGACCTGTCACAGCAAAAAAAAAAAAAAAAAAAAAAGTTAATTGGTCATGGTGACGCACACCTGTCGTCCCAGCTACTTGGAAGGCTGAGGAGGGAGGATTGGATCACTTGAGCTCAGTAATTTAAGGCTGCTATGAGCTATGATTCATCACTGCACTATAGCCTAAGTGACACAGTAAGACCCTGTCTCAAAAAAAAAAAAAGAAAAAGAAGAAAACCCCACTGATCTAAGCATCCATCTCAAAAATCCCAGCAAATTAAGCCGAATGAAATTAAAATGATGGAAATAATAAGGATAAAAGTGAAATCAATGAAAAAAAAACAAAGACATAATAGAGAAAATATAAAAAGCCAAAGCTGTTTCTTTGAAAACAGTATTCCAGTTGCTAATCTCTGTGGCAGCCAGCCTCCAAGATGGCCCCCAGTGATTTTCACTTCCGCTATCCAGGCCTTGTGTAGTTCTCTCTCATATTAAATGTGGCTGACCTGTGTTATCAAAAAGATAGTTCAAATTTCCTAGGCTACATTATAAAACACATGGCAGCTTCCACCTTGCTCACCCTGGGTGAAAGTAGCTACCATACTGCAAGGACATTCAAGCAACCCTACAGAAGTTAATGCATTACATTACAGAGGTCTCCTGCTAACAGACAGCATTGACTTGCTAGCCATGTTAAGTGAGCCGTCTTGAAATTGGATGCCCTAGCCTCAGTCAAGCCTTCGGATGACTGCAGGCCTAATCAACATATTGACCAAGACAGAACCACCCAGCTAAAGCATTTCTCAAATCAGGACCCACAGAAGCTCTATATTAGTTTGCTATTGTTGTATAACAAATGAACATCTCAGGAAATATACATATATTGTCTAGTATATTTTCTCTTATACAGTTTCTGTGGGTCAGGATTTCATTTAAGAAAATACATGTTCTTTTTTAAGTGGTTTTTTTACTTTTTTTAAATTTATTTTTTATTTCAATAGGTTTTTGGGGAACAGATGGTGTTTGGTTACATGAGTAAGTTCTTTAGTGGTGATTTCTGAGATTTTAGTGCACCCATCACTCGAGCAGGGTACACTGTACCCAATGTATAGTCTTTTCTCCCTCATCCCCCTCCCACCCTTTCCCCTGGGTCCCCAAGTCAATTGTATCATTCTTATGCCTTTGCATCTTCATAGCTTTGCTCCCACCTATGAGTGAGAACATATGATATTCGGTTTTCCATTCCTGAGTTACTTAACGTAGAACAAGTCTCTAATTCCATCCAGATTGCTGCAAATGCCATTATTTTGTTCCTTTTTATGGCTGAGTAGTATTCCATGGTACATATATACCACATTTTCTTTATCCATTCGTTCACTGATGGGCATTTGAACTGATTCCATATTTTTTCAGTTGCAGATTGTGCTGCTATAAACATATGAGAAAAGGCCAGGCACAGTGGCTCACACCTGTAATCCCAGCCCTTTGGGAGGCCGAGGCAGACAGATCACCTGAGGTGAGGAGTTCGAGACCAGCCTGACCAACATGCAGAAACCTTATCTCTACTAAAAATACAAAATTAGCTGCGTGTGGTGGCGCATGCCTATAATCTCAGCTACCTGGGAGGCTGAGGCAGGAGAATTGCTTGAACCCAGGAGGCAGAGGTTGTAGTGAGCCGAGAGCGCACCACTGCACTCCAGCCTGGGAAACAAGAGGGAAACTCTTGTCTCAAAAAAAAAAAAAAAAAGGGAGAAAAAACATATTTATTCTCTCGTATTTTCTGTGGGTCAGGAATTGGGGCACAGCTCAACTGGGTTCACTGCATAGGCTCTCACAAGGTTGCAGGCAAGGTGTCAGCTGAGCTGGGTTCAAGCTCATTCAGGTTGTTGACAAAATTCATTTCCTTATGTCTGTATGATTATGTAGCTATGTTTTTTATTGGGTATTGGCTGGAGGCCACCCTCAGGTCCTAGACACCACCTGCTGTTGGGCTTTCTCAATATGGTCACACACTTCCTCAAATCAGCAAGGAGAATCTTGCGTGCATGCTAGCAATATGTCTATCTCATATCCTAATGTATGTCTCTCTCCTCCTCCTCCTCTCCTCTTCCCTCTCCTTTCTTCTGTGCACACACACACACACACATACACACACACACACACACACACATCCCAGGAGTAACAACCCATCACATTTGCAATATTACGTCAGTTAGAAACAAGTCACAGATCCTACTCACGTTCACTCGATTTCATCCAAAAGGCTGAGCAGTGATCCCATCCACACTAAAAAAGGAAGAGATCATACAGAGTACAACACCAGGACATTGAGATCATGGGAAACATCTTAGAAGTCTGCCTATCACAGATAATAAATACTTGTTGTTGTTTGAAGACATTAAGTTTCAGGTAATTTCTTATGCAGCAATAGATAACTAATTAGAGTTGTGCCTAACTAATTAGGCACAAGTTAGAATATAAGGAGTGAAGAGTTATCACTATAGATCCTACAGATACTAAAAAGAGTTTGTTTTACTATAAGCAAGCCTATCACAATAAGACAATTTAGATTAAAAGGCTGGTAAGTTTTATGTTTTGTATATTTTACCATGATAAAAACATTCTATAAGCATCACTTACCATTTGATCACCTATTAAATGCTAAAGGCTTTACATACATTTCACTAATCCTTAGAACAACCCTGGTTCAGTAAAAATTATTCCTGGTTTACAGAGGACAAACCTAATGCTCAGAGAGGCTACTCATTTATTTGAAGTCTCACAGCCTTCATAATGTTATTCAGGCACTCTTTGTACCTTGCCACACTCTTCTCTAGATAACTGGAGAAACTGCAGGGGAGAATCTCAGAAATAACTAAAATAATTGAAGATGTAATCAAGAAACAAAAGTACAATGTTTGAATAGAGACCAACTAAAGATGGCTGGGACTGGTTCAGTCTACATGTAACTGAAAGGTAAATCAGTAGGAAAAGGAAGCAATCTCTTGGTTCAAGATGAAATAGAAGTCATAAGAATTCTATAAATTTAAATCAAGTTCACTGAAGAGAGCTAGGAGTCAGCTACTGTTTGCTACAGATAATATTCAGTAAGGAGCTAACTGCTAATGCACTGGCCTGGGGAAGTGTTTAATGTCAAATAGAAACCAACACTAGTAAAACACTTCCAGGAGGTAAGAATTTTTTTTTTTTTTTTTTTTTTTTTTTTTGAGACAGAGTCTTGCTCTGTCCCCAAGGCTGGAATGCAGCAGCGTGATCTTGGCTCACTGCAACCTCCACTTCCCAGGTTCAAGCAATTCTCCTGCCTCAGCCTCGCTAGTAGCTGGGATTACAGGCACACACCACCATGCCCAGCTGATTTTTGTAGTTTTAATAGAGATGGGGTTTCACCATGTTGGCCAGGGTGGTCTCAAACTCCTGACCTCAGGTGATCGGCCCACCTTGGCCTCTCAAAGAGCTGGGATTACAGGCATGAGCCACTGTGCCTAGCTGCTCCTTCTTTTTTTGTAACGGACCTGGGAGATCTTTACAAATGAGGGAAAGACTCATTTCTTTGAATAGGGCAGAATATTAAAGACTAGCCAGCCCTCAGGCTTATGGCGGTTGCTGCTATTCTGTTGAACGTGAACCATAGCCTTTAGAAAGGAGCAAGTCTTTGTGGGATACACAGGACTTGAAGTGCATCAAAGGGGTGGAAACCCAGCTGACCATGATACCCTCAAGTGAGTTTTTCCACTGAATTTGATTATTTTCTCACTTGGTACTTCTTTCTGGGCTTTTTAAGCAGCCCCAAAGCTCTAGGTGATTTTACTT
The DNA here is from genome assembly GCF_000001405.40 of Homo sapiens. Taxonomy (NCBI): domain Eukaryota; kingdom Metazoa; phylum Chordata; class Mammalia; order Primates; family Hominidae; genus Homo; species Homo sapiens. The sequence continues at coordinate 125,905,911 of NC_000010.11, read as the reverse complement.
TTGTAATTGTATTCTCTTGGGAATGCTCATTCCTGATTGTTTCAGTAAACAGCCTTGAACTCCTGGCCTCAAGTGATCCTCCCACCTCACCTTCCTGAGTAGCTGGGACTTCAGGCTGCAGAAACTTTTAAGAGAAAATAGAGGGAACAGAGCCAAGCTCATTTTTTGAGATTAAGATAAACTTGATATCGAAACTAGACTTGTCACAGAGAGTGCAAGAGGGGGGAGTTATCTCCCAAATCCAAGTTCTGCCTCTGGATTATTAGACATGGCCTCACTGTCCTTGATCTGCAAGGAATTTATACTGATTATAGCATTAGTAAAACTTATGTTCTATTCATCATGAAAAGTCATTTTTTAAAGATTCCAGAATTATTAGAGGCAGCAACAAATTGAAAGGTTGTACACCTACACCTGCTGTTTGAAAAACACAACTTACCAAAGCCAAACAGAAGAAGTATGTAAACTCCTATGTCTAGTAATAGGTAGAATCTGTAATTTAAAACTTTCCCACAAAAACAATTCCCAGTTCCTGATGGCTTCACTGGTGAATTCTTCAATGAAAGGGAAAAGTAACACCAACACTACAGAATTTCTTTTTTAATTTTAGGGACAGATTTTTTTTTTTTAATCTTAGTGACAGAGTCTCACTATGTTGCCCAGGCTGGAGTGCAGTGGCTATTCACAGTCACGTTCCAGTGATCCTCCCACCTCAGCCTCCAGAGTAGCTGGGACTACAGGCTACAGAAACGTTTTTTTTGTTTTTTTTTTTTTTTTTTTTGGGACAGAGTCTCGCTCTGTCACCTGGGCTGGAGTGCAGTGGCGCAGTTTCAGCTCACTGCAAGGTCCGCCTCCCGGGTTCACACCATTCTCCTGTCTCAGCCTCCCTGGTAGCTGGGACTACAGGCGCCCACCACCACACCCGGCTAATTTTTTTTTGTTGTATTTTTAGCAGAGACGGGGTTTCACCCTGTTAGCCAGGACGGTCTCGATCTCCTGACCTCGTGATCCGCCCGCCTCGGCCTCCCAAAGGGCTGGGATTACAGGCGTGAGCCACCGCGCCCGGCCAGAAACTTTTAAGAGAACAAAAATAAAGGGAACAGAGCCATGCTCATTTTTTGAGATTACAATAAACTTGATACCAAAAGTAGTCTAAAAAATTACAAAAAGTAAAACTACAGGCTCATCAGTCACATGAACACAAGCCCAAAAGTCATTTTTAAAAACAGCACACTAAGCGGGGTGCAGTGGTTCATGCCTGTAATCCCAGCACTTTGGGAGGCCGAGATGGGAGAAGTGCTTGAGCTCAGGAGTTCCCTTTATTTTTGTTCTCTTAAAAGTTTCTGCAGCCTGTAGTCCCAGCTACTCAAGAGGCTGAGGTGGGAGGATCACTGGAACTTGACTGTGAATAGCCACTGCACTCCAGCCTGTGCAACATAGTGAGACCCTGTCCCTAAGATTAAAAAAAAAAAAAATCTGTAATGTTGGTGTTATTTTTTCCCTTTCATTGAAGAATTCACCAGTGATGCCATCAGGAACTTGGGATTGTTTTTGTGAGGAAGTTTTAAATTATGGATTCTATTTATTTCATAAATATAGGGGTATACATACTTCTTATGTTTGGTTTGGTAAGTCGTGTTTTTCAAACAGTAGGTATACAACCTTTTAATTTGTTTCTGCTTATAATAATTGTGGAATCTTTTTTTAAAAAAATGATTGACTTTTCATGAGTAGAAGATAGGTTTTACTAATACTACGCTCAGTGTTAATTCCTTGCAGTTCAAGGACACTGAGGCCCTGTCTAACAATACAGAAGAAAAACTAGGATAGTGGCAAGACTAGCCTGGGGAACAAAGAGAGACTCCAGTTCAAAAAAATAAAAAATTAGCCAGGTGTGGTCACAGCTGTGGGATCACATTCTGTGGTCCCAGCTACGCGGGAGGCTGAGGCAGGAGAATAGCTTAAACCCAGGAGGTGGAGGTTGCAGTGAGCCTAGCTTGTGCCACTGCACTCCAGCCTGGGCGACAAGAGTGAAACTCTGTCTCAAAAAAACAAAACAAAACAAACAAACAAACAAAATATATATTTATATATAGAGAGAGAGAGGCTGCCTAGAGAGGAGTAATACACTAAACTAGCAATGCTAGTTTCAATTTAGGGTGAATTACTTCAGTAGAGAACCAAAGTACGTGCACTAGCCTGAATATGTTTATTTAAATTAAAAAAATTAAAACTTAAAAAAAAATTAGAGATGGGGTCTCGACATGTTGCCCGGGCTGAATCCAAACTCCTAGGCTCAAGCAGTCCCCCCGCCTCAGCTTCCCAAGTAGCTGAATAAGCTGATTAAGTTGTTTTGTTTCTCTCAGGGAGTGCACAACAGGTGGAGGGAGGAGGCAGGGGTGTGGGGATGAGAGCACCTTCCCAAGAAAAGGCCTGGAAGAGTTTCTAACAACCAGGAAAGGTCTGGGGCACAGCAAAAGGAACTGGCCTTTGCCTCTAGGAGAAAGGAATGCCTCCTCCCTTCTTCCAGCCTCCCTTAAGAAAAATACCCAAGAACGCCCCCAGCCCTGTGAGCACAGAGCACTGGTGTGAGTTGTTTACTTGTTAATGAGTTTGCACCACTGTCTGCATGTAATGAGTCATTCAGGTCATTCTGGGATGATGCTGGTATGCACAAACCCCTCCTTTAATCTGGTTGGCTAGTTCAGAATAGACAAGTTTTAACACTGCTTCCTTCTCCCATCAAGAAGTAAAGCCCAGGTTCTGAGGAACAGACTCCATCTGGAGACCATGTTTGGTGAACCTGAGCTTGGGGAAAGACACGGCTTCAAGCCTCAAGTCGTTTTGCCCCTTCCTGTGGCTGACAGCATCAGAGGTCAGGATCACAATGAATTTTACCATTTTGATGGGGATTTTAAAACATGACTGTTTAAAAGACACTGCTTTGAAAATTTTTTTTAATCTTGATTTATTAAGCATTTATTTCTTGATAAGATTTGAATTATAACCTAATTGATAGACTTAATATTCTTCGGGGCTAAGACTACATGAGAAAAAAATGTTATACAGATTTTTTAAATGATTCCTGGGCTTAAGGAAAAAATTACTTTTAAATCCTTACCAGTCTCCCAGATAATTAATGAGCAGGTGCTGGCTGGGAGTGTAAAGATTTTTAGGTCTTATGACCTCGTGGCCGCTTGGTCCAAAAAATAAGTTTACTTGCCTCCTTCCTTATTCTTACCGGATAGAATGAGACTCGTTTAAAACATCTCGTTTAGGTTAGAAAAGAAAATGGGACACCATATTTGTAATCGACCTAACATTTATAAGTACCTGATTTAAATGAACTTTACCCAAAGCACAATCCACAAGAGGCACTTCAAATTTCACTGGAGCACAGCCCTTTGTGTTGTAGAATAATGTAGAATAAAATGGCTTTCTTTTTTTAAGTACACCACAACACTCTTAAGGAAATGAAAGTAGGTAAGGCATCTATCTGTGAACAGCAGTGCTATCCATTCCATGAATGTTTAGGGTTTACTCCGTGTTAGGCACTAGGGACGGGATGGCAAACAGGGCAGACAGGTCCCCTGACCTCTTCCACCACCCTACAGTCGAGTGAAGAAAGTAGAATTTTTTATTTAATTATTATTATACTTTAAGTTTTAGGGTACATGTGCACAATGTGCAGGTTAGTTACATATGTATACATGTGCCATGCTGGTGTGCTGCACCCATTAACTCATCATTTAGCATTAGGTATATCTCCTAACGCTATCCCTCCCTCCTCCCCCCACCTCACATTGCTCTTGTCTCCCACGATGGAGTACAGTGGTGCTATCTCGGCTCACTGCAACCTCCACCTCCCAGGTTCAAGCAATTCTCCTGCCTCAGCCACGTGAGTAGCTAGGATTACAGGCGTGCAACACCACACCTGGCTAATTTTGTATTTTTAGTAGAGACGGGGTTTCGCCAGTTGGCCAGACTGGTCTCAAACTCCTGACCTCAGGTGATCCGCCCGCCTTGGCCTCCCAAAATGCTGGGATTACAGGCGTGAGCCACCACGTCCAGCTAGATTTTAAATATTAACAAAATAATTACAAGTTCTGATTATTACTATTAAGAGAAAAGCGCAGAGATAGAATAACATCAGAGAGGGGGCACCACCACTTTAGGAAGCCAGGGAAGGGTTGCAGGAGGTGAAATTTAGGCAAAGATTGAAGGACATTAGGAGTCAGACCTGCCATAGCAGGAGGGAATAGCATCCCTGGCAGAGAGGAAAGCTTGTTCAGAGCCACAGTCCTGAAAGAAGCTTGTTTGAGGGACTACAAGAAGACCAATGTGCTTGAAGCATAATACATCTAAGATCAGATGTGTGATGAGTTTGAAGAGGCAGCTAGATCAACGTAAGGACTTTGGAGGGCTTTTGGCAGGAGAGTGACATGATCTGATTTGATGTATATTTTGAAAGGTCACTCCAGCTTCCAGGTAGCAGTGGAAGAAGACATGCAAAAATCACAATCATAACTTACACGGCATGGTAGCTTGGAGTACGGAGGAAGAGGAAGCACATTTGGGGTATATTTTGGAAGTGGAATAAACAGACCTGCTGGTGGATGGAGAAGGGTGGGGTGAGGGTTGATAATGAGGAGCCAAGGATGACTCATTTTCAGGTTGGAGTAACTGGGAAGGCTTGGAAGACTAGTGGAGAAACAGGTTTGGAGAGAGAAGTCTCAGTCCCTTAGTCATTCACCTCAGTTTCTTAGTCACTGAAATACCTTAGATCTCTTATCTACCATTTCTTTAAAAACATGCGTGAGCCCAGTAGGCAGTCCTGGCTACTCGGGAGGCCAATGGGGAAGGATCCCTTGAACCCAGGAGTTTGAGGCATACCTGGGCCACACAGCAAGACCCTGTCTCTCTAAAAACAACAACTACAAAAAAAAAAGGGGGGCAGAAAAAGGCTGGGCACAGTGGCACACGCCTATAATCCCAGCACTTTGGGAGGCCGAGGCGGGTGGATCACATGAGATCAGGAGTTCGAGACCAGCCTGACCAACATGGTGAAACCCTGTCTCTATAAAAATACAAAATTAGCCAGGCATGATGGCGTGCACCTGTAATCCCAGCTACTTGGGAGGCTGAGACAGGAGAATCGCTGGAACCTGGGAGGCGGAGGTTGCAGTGAGCCAAGCTAGTGCCACCACACTGCAGCCTGGGTAACAGAGTGAGACTCCGTCTCAAAAAACAAAAAACAAACAACAAACAAACAAACAAAAAAAAACAGAAAGAAACGTGTAGCAGAAAACTGCTGCCTGCTGGATTTTTAAAATACATATATATAGCAAGAGCTTACAGAACAGGTAGCACCAAGTGGGAGCCGGGGGGCTTCTCTTGATGCTGCATTTGATAAATATACAGTTTTTACTCAGATTATATGTTTGCTTAGATTTGGGCTAAAGATCCCCAAAGCCACCCCTTGGTATTAAAACTCATTAAGAAATTAAGGAAGAGATAGTACTATTGAACTATTTTCCAAAAAAAGAAAAAAAAAAAAGGACAAAAACCCAAAACAAATGGGAAGTGATGTACGTTTTCCATGTTATTTTATACATGAGCTATCTTTCCAACACTGAAGTTGGTTTAGCAAGAAAATAATTAAAGACGTCAATGTGCAAGCCAAGAGCCAAAACCACTCTCAACAGCCCAAGGTTGTGAACGTATTTAATTTGCCCTTTCCCTGGGAAGTCATTTCTTGGATCATTGACTTACTATTATTCTGTAAAACAGTGGTAGCCCCTGCCTTCCTCTGCTTGCTGCCAAGAGTATGATCCAGCTGTGGGGTCTGAAGAGTTTATGTTTATTGGATTTTAATGACTTAGTTAACAAAGGTCATTCCTAAAAGTAATAGAAAACTAAGGGTGTGGAAACAGAACGGAAAAGACTGACTCGAGGGTTATTTCTAGTAGTTCCTTGGTGTTGTCCTTAGATACATGTTTAATCCTTAAAAGCAATTATGAAGGAGTCTTCCTCATAACCAATTTACTGATGCTATATTCAACTACACTTGTAAAATGTTATTTTAGACCTCTCAGTAACAAAAGGAACAGGGTTTAAAATATGTTAGATAATATCGGCATAAACAATGTACTGTTAACATAATATTGCTGACAGTATAACTGTAATTCACTGTAATACTTGATGCCACGTCTGTAGTGCTTCCATTATGGCTGACAGTAGGAAATAACTTCCGTCTCAGGTGAAATCTGGTTGGATACAAATCTCCAAGTTAAAAGAAACCTCAAAGATCATTTAATCTTGTCCTTTTAAATATTTAGTAACTGTGAATGGTAGTAAATATTTATCCAAATTATGTTTCTTAGACTGTAAAAGAATTTCCAGGCTGGGTGTGCTGGCTCACGCCTGTAATCTTAGCACTTTGGGAGGACGAGGCAGGAGGATCACTTGAGGCCAGGCGTTCGAGAACAAATTGGGCAACAAAATCAGACTTTAGCTCTATTCAAAGTAAATAAAATTAAAAAGAAAATTAGGGGCCGGGCACGGTGGCTCACGCCTGTAATCCCAGCACTTTGGGAGGCCAGGGCGGGAGGATCACCTGAAGTTAGGAGTTCAAGACCAGCCGGACCAACATGGAGAAACCCCATCTCTACTAAAAATACAAAATTAGCCAGGCATGGTGGCGCATGCCTGTAATCCCAGCTACTTGGGAGGCTGAGGCAGGAGAATTACTTGAACCCGGGAGGCGGAGGTTGCAGTAAGCCAAGATCACATCATTGCACTCCAGCTTGGGCAACAACAGCGAAACTCTGTCTCTAAATAAATAAATAAATTAGCGGGGTATGGTGGCACACACCTGTAGTCACATCTAGCCAGGAGGCTCAGGTGAGAGGATTGCTTGAGTCCAAGAGTTCGAGGGTGTACTGAGCTATGATCGCACCACTATACTCCAGCCTGGGTGACAGAGCAAGACCCTGTCTCAAAAAAAAAAAAAAACAACAAAACTTGAGCTAAATGGTGATTGAATTATTTAAAATTAAATTGATGAAATAATTTAAGAATATGTGGAAAGAAAGAAATTTACAGTCATTCCTCAGGTATAAATTAAATATTTTCCACCTCAAAATCCAATGACATGAGATATAAATGTATAGTTCACATAAGTAATACATTTCTCACATGGTTACAGAACCTTTCTGATCAGGCTCCGGTTGAATTTTCCAGCCTTATCTCATTTCTCCTCCCTCCTTCCAACCCTGTTTTTTCCTCCTCCTCTCCTTAGCTACAGCTTTACTAATCTTCCTACCGTGAGCCTCAAACCCACGCTGCTCTCAGGTCTCAGGGCCTATGTACAAGTAATTCCCACTGCCTGGAATCCCTTGCCCTCATTCTTTGCTGGGTCATTCTGCAGACCCAGTACTACTTCCTCTTGGGAGCCTTTGTCCATCTCCTCTTCCCCCAATCTCCGAACCCCACCAAGACCTCAGGAGTTCTTGAGCAAGCCTCTGCTTAGTTTTCCTGGGATGACCAAAACTAACACTGTCCGATCCGTTGTTCAATCCTCAATCCCTAGAACAGAGCTGCAACATAACAGGCACTATAAATGAATGAATGGATAAAGACAGCACTGAAGAACTTGAAATTATAGTTTACACATGAAAACAGTAACATAAATCTGAAGAAATAAAGTTCTTTTTTTTGTTTTTTCGAGATGGAGTCTCGCTCTGTCACCAGGCTGGAGTGCAGCGGTGCAATCTGGCCTCACTGCAACCTCCGCCTCCCGGGTTCAAGCGATTCCCCTGCCTCGGCCTCAGCGTCCCAAATAGCTAGGACTCCAGGCACGCGCCACCACACCTGGCTTTTTTTTTTTTTTTTTTTTTTTTTTTTTTTTTTTTGTATTTTAGTAGAGATGGGTTTCACTATGCTGGCCAAGATGGTCTCAATCTCCTGACCTCGTGATCCGCCTGCCTCAGCCTCCCAAAGTGCTGGGATTACAGGCGTGAGCCACCGGGCCAGGCCAAGTTGCTGTTTTTAAAAGGTATATTTCAACTCACTTCTCTAAGGCGGGAATATACACAGCCTGCCATCAGTTTGACATAAAACAAAAATTTTAGCGTTCTTGTATGCTAAATTTCTTTTACTAGGTTAAAAAAATGTAGAATCCAAAGAGCTGTAAATGCAAATGACAAATACTGTACAAAATCTATCAAGCAACTATAAGTCACAACTTGCAAGCTTTCTCCTCAGCAAATGAGTTAAAAGGAAAAGTATTTGAAACTTTCTTGGTGGAAAACGAATGACCTTTAAAAATGCCAACATTTTCCCCAGAGAATAGATTTGGTCTGAGTTCTTCATTTCTGAAATTGTACAAGATAAGACGACTTGGTTTGAGAGTCAAACTGCATCCTTCTATAAAGGTTTTAGATAAATTTTAAGTCTCCATACAAAACACTCCCCTTATTTTGAGAACAAAAGGAACAATAAGACAGCTTAGGCGGGGCAGAGAAAGAAAGGCCTTGAAACAAAGTCCCTGGAAAGGTAAAAACAACAACAAAAATAGTAAGTTAGAGCTCGTGTTTAGATCTGATAACTCAAAACTGCACAACTTTTGCCATACATCGAAAGCAACATGGGAAAACAGAAAAAGAGATTACAAACATTTTTTGAGTGTCCTAACTTGTAGAACCCCTAAGAATGAATCAAATACACTTGGACAAAGCTCTTCTTTTCTCTCTCTCTCCTTCAAGTCGCAGACTAGGGGTGTGGGGCGGGGGGCGGGGAGTAAGACGGGGTCTCTAATAAATACAAGACCCAGCCTCGGACGTGTTTAATTGCTGACATTTTAGAAGAAAAATGGGCTACTTACAATTAATGAACCAAACTACCAAACTAAAATCATGAGTAGGAGGAGGAGTAAATGGAACCGTCCGGGCGAAGTTTCAGGAAGACGCACGCTGGGGTCGCTGCGCCCTTCCCCACCCATACCTCGGGGCTCTCCAGTCGCTCCCAGCCCCCAGCGCGGACTCTAGGGCGCCGGCGGCCCAACCATACAGACTTGGCAGGATGTAGCCCCCTTCTCCCCTCTCCAGGAGAGAAAAGCGCGAGGAGACGCAAACCGTATTTCCGTGTCCGAGCGTTGAAACCTGCGGAGTCGCGCGCGGGGCGCCCACACTCGTTCCCGGGGAGCCCCAGCCCGGTCGCCCGCCCCGGTCCCAGCTCCAGCCCGGGCCTCCCTTACTCTGGGGCTCCATGGTCGGCTGCTCCCCGGCCTCCGCGGGCGAACCCCCGGACTCCTAACGCCTCTCAGCCAGGGCCGGCGTCGCTACGGTTGCCCTGACAACCCGGAGGCGAAGTGGGCAGAACTAAAGGGACGGCGAGCGGGAGGGACCAAAAGCCGCAGGAAGTGAGGGAGCGCGTGAGGACCCGCGCGTCGCCGGGGACACTGAGCGAGGGTAGCGGCCAGGTCACCGGCTGAGGACACTGCTCCTGAAGCCCGGTCAGGCGGTCGCGCCCTCCCTGGCGGCCCCCGCGGCCCCGCAGGACCTGTGCCCCGACGTCGCCGACCCGCGGTCCCCGCTGTCGCCGACCCGCGGCGTCCGTCGGGCGAGTGGGCCTGCCCGCGGGTAAGGCGCCGGCCCTGGGCCGCCCTCCCGGGAATCGGGAGCCGCCGCTGCAGGTAACAGCGGGGCCCCGGCGGCGGAAGGGGTCGGGGGTCGGCGCAGGGGCGGGCGCGCCCCGAGCCGGGTGGGCGGCCCCGGCGCACCTGTTGTAGCCGCCTGGGGGTCCCCTGCCCGCAGTTGGCCGTGGACGTTCCCCGCCCCGACTCCGAAACGCCGAGGGCGGCCTCCGCGCCTCCTGCTCCGGGAGCCGCGCCTCAGCGGGAGGACGGAGCCCTGCGGGCAGCCCTCGCACCAGGGGCTCCCTCCGAGCCCGGGCATGGGCCGGGCCTGGGGCGGTCCCTCGAGCCCCCCTGACGGGAAGCGTGGAGCAATGCGAGCCGCCGCCGTCGTCGCTGTCGTCCCCAGTGAGCCTGGCGCGTCTCCTGAATCGCGAGAGCCAGGAGCACGGTTTTGCCCGGCTTTGCCCCGTCATCCCCGTGTCCCATTTCAGGCAGGGGGCCCGGGTTGGATCTTTCTCGCTGGCTTCGTTTTTTGTGTGTTGATTTGTTTCAGTCCTTCGCGTTTCCGGTTGAGTTACGGAATCTGCCCACACGTTTTGTGGCCAAACTTTGTAGGGCTGTGAAACAATGTAACATTATCCCACACAATAGTCTTTCATACTGGTTTTAAAACACAGTGATTCAGGGTTTGCTTTAAGGAAGCTTTGAGGATCACAAGAGATTATTATCTGGTAGGTTGTAAAAATTCAAACAACCAGGAGAGTATCATAGGTTCCGGAACACCAGAAGGAGGAAAGAAAAATGGAGACGAGAGAAAAAGGATAAGCAAGAAAGTGCAGGGGCATTAAGGGTGTGGGGGGCTGCAGGATTGATTTGGTATTCAGGTCTGGAGATTATGGCCCCTCTATTAATTCCAACCGCTGCTCCAGACAGTACTTGAGGGAAATGGAAGGAAGAGCCGTTTTGGGGGTCATGGAAGTGATTACTAATCTTGCCAGTAGAAAGATTTCCACTCCATGGATGACAAGGACACTAAGGAGAATTACTTTCCTCTTAGGGAATCATTGAGAGGTTAATTGAACTTGAGAAGCATATATTCTGTGATGGAAACTGACATTTATTATATTCTTCCAAATTAGGTTTTCCCCCTCTCAGACTATATGGGGACTTTTTCAGATTAATTGTCAAAACAAGAAGGTTTATGTGTGGATATTGACAAGCAGCGTGATATATACAGAACACATAATTCTTAAGCTGAAGTATTAAGGTAATAAATTAAGGGTGGAAAGTAAACACTTCATGGAACCTTAACTCCCTGTTCCTGAAATTTAGAGACAGGGGCTTCATTTTTAGACAGAAAGTATAAAGATCAGCAGTACTCCTGTATCCAGTGGTTCTCAAGTTCTAGTTTACATATCATTAGCAAAATCACAAAGCGGTCTTTTCATTCAAGATACAAATAGAGTGATCAGTATATCATAATCAAAAGTGACAAGATAGTGATTTAAAAAACACCTGGCATTTATTGACAAAAGAAAAGGTAGGATTAAGTCTGCTCAAACAGTAAAGGATTAGCATTAGTATTTTTTTAAAAAGAAGAAACAACAGTGCAGGTCTCTATGCTAAAGTAATAAGGACTGAAGAAGTTTTAAGTTTGGAAAAAATGGGGATATGTATTGGTGAAACACTTTGTAATCATATAGAATGATTATTTTATCAGCAGCTGTTAAGTTGACTTTGAGGAAATTTTGAATTGAAATACTTTAGGTGACAAGTAAAGGCAACTGTGAAAAGCAACATTTGATTTTAGGGGACAGGGTACCTGTGAAAGAAGACTGGTTAGGAGTGGAAGTCAGGCGTAAAGGCACTGAAATGTCCGAGGCAGGGACAATATTCAGTTTCTCTTCCTCTATCACCTTGTGCAATGTACCTGTTAAATGTTTGTTGAATGAGTGAGAAGGGCTTTAGAGAAATTGTTTTGGATATAGGGATACACTTTACTATTGGAGAAAACACCCGAGATCAGAAAGTTGCTAATGAGATAGGGGTGGGGGATGAATGGTAAAGACACTCTACCTTTTTGGAGTTTTCTACCATTGTGTTTTATTTCTTTTCACGGGCATGTTCAGTATGTTATTAGTGGTCAAATGAAAAGGAATAAAGTTCTATATATATTTTTTTAAGTCTCCAAGCTCATTACTAGATAGAATAGTTACATTATTGTTTACTTTGCTGATGTTTAACTAAATGTAGCAAACTGAAGCATTATGGATCGGGAATAACAAAGTAACAATGAAGAGACAGATGTAGTCTTTTTCTTATTTAAATCTCTTGACTACCTCAGAATTCAAAGTAGAAATAACTTTAGTGGGAGGTTAACATTATTTAATGCAAATAGGTTGATAAAAAATGTAGCAAATGAACATGTTATTAATAGTTCTGTCTTCTAGCCTTACTGTGGTAAGTTGAAGGAAGTTTTCATTTTTGTTTTTGTTGGTTTTAGGGTTTTTGTTGATTTTTGTTTTCTTTACCAGAGTGAGGGTACTTTTTTCTCTATCTGATACTTTCTGAAACTCTTAGGGAGTTCTGTCAAAGGTGGAAAACAATCAATTTCTATTTTTGGTGTTTTCCTCTTTGTTCTCCAAACTTGTCATGGTCTACATTCAATTTGTTGCACTCAAATGGAATGTCTATCTCTCCGCCCTTTACTCGTCCACAGTCTAAAGGACACTGGCCGGGCGCGGTGGCTCACGCCTGTAATCCCAGCACTTTGGGAGGCCAAGGCAGGCGGATCACGAGGTCAGGAGATCGAGACCATGCTGGGTAACACGGTGAAATCCCGTCTCTACTAAAAATACAAAAAATTAGCCGGGCATGGTGGCGGGCGCCCGTAGTCCCAGCTACTCGGGAGGCTGAGCCAGGAGAATGGCGTGAACCCGGGAGGCGGAGCTTGCAGTGAGCCGAGATTGGGCCACTGTACTCCAACCTGGGTGACAGAGCAAGACTCCGTCTCAAAAAAAATAAAATAAAAGTTAAATAAATAAATAAATAAATGGGACTGCAGGAGCATGCTGCCCCAGTTTCTGGAAAGTCTTTCAGGATTAGGCTAATGCCCACTAAATGCACTTCGCTCTCCTACTGGGGGTGCTACACGGTTTAGCATTTAGCTCTGTAGGATGCTTTCCTATAGAATTTTATCTCATATGGATGGATCTTGTACCTCTGACTGGATTAAATATGTTTGGAGCTAAGTGCATGACTTACGCTTCTTCTGTGTTGCTTTTAGCACATGGTGGTCTTCATTGTGTACCTGATAATTTAAGTAGGGTAATAATAGAGAGGTCAAACCTTTAGTTAGGGGTCATTGCATTAATTTCTAGCTTTGCCCTTTTGGAAAACCAGAAGCTATTATTTTGTCATTGATAACTTGGGATAATAAAACCTGCAATGGTTGTCTGATAGTCTAGTTGTGAGAATCAAGATAAATGTGATTATAGATTATGAATGAAAATATCTTGTATGTCGTAATGAACTTTTTTAATATAAAGGGCTGTTATTGACTTAGGCATAGAGCAGACATTGATTCCACATTCACAATGTGTTAGGTACTTCCTGGGCTCTGGAATTGCATGTCATAAAGGGTAAACAGGAAATGACCAGGTGCTTCCGAAGCAGAACAGCCTGGGCTGAGGCACGAAGGCCGGGAGAACAACTAAGCCGTGGTTTATTGTGGCTGAACTGGAGAATACTTCTTCATGTGTATTAGCAGAAAATGGGAGGAAGTAAGCCCAGAAAGGCAAATGTGGGCCAAATCAGAAGGAACCTAAGGACCATGAGTTTATTTTCCTTAAAGGTAATAAGGAGGATTTGGGTCAGTGACTGGATCAGTTTTGCATTTGGAAAGGATCACTGGCAACACTCAAATGACAGATTGGTAGAGAGCCTAAATGAGAGACAAAAAAATTGGAGATGTTGCTGAAGCTCAGTGAAGAAATGAAGAGAACCAGGAGAGCGATGGTGGGAATAAGAAGGAGGGGCCACTAAAAAAGGTAGAATTGGCAGATCTTGGTGATATAGGAGATGAGGAAGGAGAAGCCAGGGATGACAGTGGGGTGATAGACTGGATTGTTCTGTTATTCATTGAACTCTAAAGAAGAAAAAAATTTTTTGAGGAGTTTAAGAAGTGGGGTAGATGTGTTCAGTTTGAGATGCCTGTCATATACGTTGGGAGGTCCCATAAGTAGTAGTAGTTGGACATGTGGGTCTGGAACGAAAGGAAAAAGTCTGAGATGAAGATAGAATTTGGATTAAGCATTTAGTGATTGAAGTTAAAATGTGATGATTTTCTCCAGGGATATTATGTGGAATAAGAGGGTAAGGGATAGAGCCCTGAAGTATGCACATTTTACCTTGTGGGGAGGGGCTGATTGTGGAAGAACCCGTGGAGACTAAAGACCAGTGGTCAGAAAAGGGAGCTGAAAATCTGGGAGGATTAATGGAAGAGTACCTACTCCTGAGGAGTTCATGCATTGGCATTCCCCAAAATGATTATATTTTCCTCTAGCCACCGTAGAACGCACAACACAGTTCATCTATTATTGTTTTATTAAAGTTCATGTAAAATGACTACCCATTACTTTGTTAACAACAGAAATCTTGATATTTATGTTTAAAAATATTTTTTAAAACATTTTTAAACAAATTTTTTAGATATAGAGTCTTGCTATGTTGCCTAGGCTGGTCTGGAACTCCTGGGCTCCTCCCGCCTCAGCCTTCCAAAGTGCTGGGATTCCAGGCATGAGCCACTGTGCCTGTGGCTATTTATGGGTTTTTTGTCTACATTTGGGACAACAAATCAAGTAAAATGTAACTTTAGAAGTTGATTATGATTATGCCTCAAGCAAATACTTAAAAAAAAAAAGAGAGAGAGAGATGGATAAAAGTTCATTTTGTGTATGTCTCAGGTAAAGTATGTTAACTTGGGGAGACCAGCAGTAACCTGTTCTTTAAATCTCAGCTTTTATTGAATCTCACACAAAATTTTTCTCAGATGTGTCACTAGACTACTTAAATAAGCCAGATTAGTATTTTTGCATACTTTATTAACTCTGCTTCTACTCAGAGTAAATTAGTTTTCGGAATGGAATGCAGTCAAAAAATCATCAAAATAATATCACAAAGCACTGAGTGGTCCAGTCATTTGAACTTCTGACAATACCTTTGACTTAGAAACTTATTTGTAGGGAGTGGTATATTAATACTATACATAAACATTGATTGAGCTCGGGGGGGACTTTCTGTATATACATTAAAAAATATGTTTTTTTAATAGAGACGGGGTCTCTATTAAGTGACCTCTATTTTTTAAGTGAGACGGGGTCTCACTGTGTTGCCCAGGCTAGTCTCAAACTCCTGGGCTCAAATTATCCTCCCCACTTGGCCTCCCAAAAGGATGGGATTACAGGCATGAGCCACTGCCCCAAGCCTAAAATTTTTTTAAGTACCGTTAGAATGTAAGGATTCTTTTTAAAAAATTTGATTGTGCAGGGTTGGTTATTCAACCAATATGCAATACAATATTCAATACTGTATATTCATCACTTCTCGGCCTTTTGGCTAAGATCAACTGTAGTATCTGTTGTTATTAATATAATATTGTATATTCAACCAATTGTCAATACAAGGCTGGTTGTATCTGATATGAACCAACATTGAGTTAAAAATGGACCTTTTTTATTTTTAAAAAGCTAATTAACTAGATTTGCTTACTTAAAATCAAAGCAATCAACTCGTTACAAGTCTAGAAATAAGGATTTTAAAATAGATTTTGAATTTTGACCTTATCTTTTTCCAGAAAGACTTTAAATTGATACTGGAAACCAAATAGGATATATTTTTGGGAGATTTCAGGCTATTAAAACAAAGGCAAACAAAGAAGTGACCTTCTAAAAGTCCTAGTAATGATTAGGTCCATTGTTTCAATTAAAGCATACCATGCTTGAGAGATAAAGTGTATTAAATATTTGACTGTAACTTTGTGTTAGAAATATGTTTTTCAAATCTATAAAAAAGATTTACAAATCTATCTATACCATGTTTTTCAGTTTTATGGTATTTCTTCCAGACCTCTCTTCCTGACATCGCCATTAGTGTCAAGTATTTCTTCAACCCCCAGTGATGCAACGTGAGCCTATTTTTAAAAATGTAGTCTGGAAGCAATATGTAACATAGTCAGGAAGCAGTATGGATATATGGTTAAGCATATACACTATACACTGAACTGGGGTTAAGCAGAGATCATACTGCCTGACTTTAAGCACCTGCTCTACCACAGATGATCTTCTAGAAGCCGTATAAATTAAACCTCTGAAGGTTTACATTTCCTCATTTGAAAAATGGAAATAATAAAGTAAACCCTCATGGGGTCCTTAAGAGTTTAAATGAAATAATCCATATAAAGTGCTTAAGTGCTGAACATAGCATCTGGTGTGCAATAATCACTCTATAAATGCTAATTGGTAAAATTATCATCATTGTTATTGTTAGTCCAACTATAGTAGTAGTATGGAACCAGGCTTCTCAAAAGTGTGGCCTGCAGATCAGGGCCAGTGCAGACTTACTGGTTTGCAGTGAGATCCGGAGCTTGTGCCAGAATGTAAATAGGCGATGTCACTAAACATACTGATTACTGTTCAGCTGACTTTTTAAAAATAGCAAGACCTCTTCAGTGTAGGAAGCAGTTAGTTGATTTACATTCTGGTGCAAGCTCTTTACCTTGCCACAAACCAGCACCAGAGTTGACGTGGAGTGTTGGACCAGTGATCCCGCTCTCCAAAAATAATAGTCCTTTATTCTGAAGACGTTATTATTCACTCATAATACCTCATTAACTTTCTTTTTTTCTAAACATAGTAAAAATAGAGTGTAAGTATATTGTTTATGAGTTCAGCAGATATTTATTGATCACATAGTTTGTGCACAGCCCTGTATCTTATTTTGCAGGAGTTGCAAAGCGGGCTCAGAAATTAATCTTGGCTTTAGGAAGTCTACCATAAACCCGCAAAAGGAAATAAGTGAAAATCTAAATAAATGTGTTGAATATATGCAGTGAGTGTTTGCAATAGTGTTATAAGTTGGTTCCAAAGATTTCAATATAGACGGATGTTTCCTTTTGCTGAGCTGCTACCACAATGGGACAGAATTAATTATTTTTTTGGAAACGGAGTCTTACTCTGATGCCCAGGTTGGAGTGCAGTGGCGCACTTCAGCTCACTGCAACCTCCGCCTCCCAGATTCAAGCAATTCTCCCACCTCAACCTCCTGAGTAGCTGAGATTACAGGCATCCGCCACCATGCCCAGCTAATTTTTGTATTTTTAGTAGAGACGGGGTTTCACTATGTTGGCCAGGCAGATCTTGAACTCCTGACCTCAAGTGATCCACCCGCCTTGGCCTCCCAAAGTTCTGGGGTTACAGGCATGAATCACCACGCCTGGCCAGGACAGAATTAATACCTTTTACTTTTTCAGCATTATGCTATCACAATAAAGTTCAGAGTTTGCTTTATTAAGATAGTGTTTGAATATTCTAGGAGATTCAGAAACCTGCAGTACTAGGGAAATCTGAGTTTTAGATATAATAACAAAATTATAAATTTTAAAGATTTGTATTGTAGAAGATTATCCTTAAGTGTTTTTTAAATTACTAATTTACTATTTCACCCTTCATGCAAATATATGAATTATAAATGATTGATTGTTCCATAGAATATGAAGAGACATTAAATAAATCTTAAAATATTTATAAAGTTTTGGTTAAAATGAGCACAATTTCTTCTCAAAAAAATTCACTGCCAGCCTGGGCAACATAGGGAGACACTGTCTCTACAAAAATAAAAAAATAAAAATTAGCCAGGCATGGTGGTGTGTTCCTATAGTCCCACTACTCGAGAGACTGAGGCAGGATGATCAATTGAGCCCAGAAGTTGGAGGCTGCAGTGAGCTATGATCATGCCACTGCACTCCAGCCTGGGCGACGGAGTAAGACCCTGTCTTTAAAAAAAAAAAAAAAAAATGCATTGCTCAAACAGATAATGTTGAAACAAATTCTGGGGTAATATAAACATAATAATTTTTAAAAGGCAAGGCGTGTATATTTTACATATAAATATGTATATTATATAGTACAGGGTTTACAAACTATGAGTCAGATCATGAGACAGATTTATTTTTGCAGACTAATTTACTGTTGAGTGGGCTTAGGGAAAAAAGGAAAATAATGCAAAATGTTCAAGTCAAGAAGTGTTATTTCATTTTTAATATTTCTTAGAATGTTTTACATGGAAGTGGATATATTGGTTTCTCTTATTGCCATGCTTGGTGCACCTGCTCATAATCACGTTTGTTGTGCCTTTTGCCATAAACTGTTACCTAATCTCACTAATGACTTTAAGAAAATTGAAGGTGGGTGTTAGAAAGATTATAGGTAATATTAAAGAATATAAGGCAGGCATGGTGGTGTGCACCTCTACTTCTAGCTACTCGGAAAGCTAAGGCAGGAGGATCACTTGAGCCCAGGAGTTGAATACAGCCTGGGCAACATAGACTCTGTCCCTATTTCTAAAATTTAAAAAAAAACACACACACAAACACATACAATGTAAAATAAAGAAAAGACTGTAACCTGAAATTTAAGAGGAGAATTTTAAGGAAAAAAAGAGTAAAAAATGAAATTTGGATCAAGAAATGACTAGGTAAGTTAGACCCATGGCACTGTAATCACAACTTTTTTACCATAGCAGATCAGGTATTTTGCGATCTGGCCCCTATCTCATCTTTGAACTCATCTTGTACCAAAGTCTTTCTCTGCAATTAGGTACCAGCCACACTTGCCTTCTTTTAAGTAATTGTCTGTAAGGTTGAGTCTACATATCATAGACAAAGAATTTCTATTTCCACACCCCACCCTCAGCCTCACCTAACCAGACCTGCCTGTTCAAACTGTGTCCCTACCATGTTCACATTGCAGACACATATTAGGCACTCAAGTATTGGTTGAACAGGTAAATGGAAAACCCAAAAATGGAGGCATTGAGGATGAGAAAACTTGAAGACACAGAAGACCTATTAGATTATGAATGATATCGATGGTAAAATACAATCAGATGTTGCCCTTAGAAGCATATGATCCCTAAAGGATAGAAAATGACTCATTCACTATTTACTCAGCCCGTAATTATTAATTAGTCACCCACTGTATTTGGATTTAGGAGTGGAAATTACCAGTGAAGAAGGTGTAGCTCCAATAACAGTGTAAGTAAAGAGACAGAAAGACATGGGGAAAAGATAATCACTAGTACAAACGGTTCAAGAGTCCCCTCATACTTGATGTTGCCTCCTCAGCATGTGCAGTTTACAAGCGGTCCCACAAAGATCAGTGATCTGCTAGAGCAAGCGTGATACATGCCATTGTCTGAATCTCAGTGCAGCTTTGTACTTTTCAACATGATAACTCTTCTGAATTGATCAAGAAGAAAGCAGCTTTAATAAATGTTGAAAGGAGTTAATTTGGGGTTTGGATGTATGATTCAAGGGACGACCAGGAGCCTCTACAAATATTCCAGTTTGTGGGTTTGTGAGTCTTAAAGAATTCTAAGAATAGCAAGAGTCTATCATATATCATAAACAGAAGGGAACAAAAAAGTCACATAAATCCAGAAACATAGTGAATTCCTGATAGAAGTGTTTAAACTCTATGCAGCAGTAGTAAACTACCTTGAACTTAGCTAAGAGTGAAATAATGAAGGACGTAACTATGCAAGATAGACTGCAGTGGAGACACTAAGCCCTGCTTCATAGAGCTCACATTCCAGTGAAGGGCACCAACAGAAAACAAAGAGGGAAAATGTATACATTATGTTAGGTGGTGGTCTTAAGGAGAAAAAATGAAGCAGTTAAAGAGGTTAGGAAGTGGTTTTTGGGAGTGTGGGAGAGCGGTAAAAGTTTAGATAGGGTGGCCAGGGAAGCATTTACTGAACTGCCATTTGGTAACGACCTTTATGCAGCAAGGAAGCTAGCCATTTGGATATCTGAGGGAGGAACATTTCAGACATACAGAAGGGTGAACACCAAGTTCCAGAGGCAGGCATCTGCCATGGTGTTTGAGGAATAGCAGGGGAGCCGTCTGGCTAGGGAAGACTGAAGTAGGAGCTGTTGCAAATGAGGGCAGAGAGGCGATGGGTCCAGATCATACAGTGATTGTTGGTCCTCTTAAGGATTTTGGTTTTTCCTCAGAGTGAGATGAGATGGGAAGTATTGGAGACTATTGAGCAGAGGAGACATGAGCTGACTTTAATAGGATGACTCTGACTGCAGGCTTGAGACCTGACTGTAAGGGGCTAAGGGTAGAGGAAGGCCGGTTAGGAGGCTATTGCAGTAATCCAGGTGAGAGGGGTAGTGGCTCAGACCAAGTGTTCACAGTAGAGGTTATGGGGCACTTGATATTTTTTGAAGACAGAACTGACATGATTGAATATATTAGTTTTCTATTGCTTCTATAAGAAATTACCATAAATTGAGTGGTAATTTATTGTCTTAACAGCTTCGTAGATCAGAAGTCGGTTGTCGGTCTCACTGGACTACAATCAAGGTGCCAGCAGGACTGTGTTCGTTTCTGGAAATTCTAGAAGATGATCTGTTTCCTTGCCTCTTCTAGCTCCTAGAGGTCACTCACATCATTCTTCGGCCGTGGCCCCTTCCTCCACCTTCAAAGCCCACAACATTGCATCTCTCCGACCTTCTTCCATAGTCATATTTTCCTCTGACTGTGGCTAGGAGGGTCCTCTGATTGTTAAGACTCATGTAATTAGATTGGGCTCACCAGGATCGTCCAGGATAATCTTCCAATCTCAAGGTTATTAATTTAATCACATCTGTAGAGTCCCTTTTGCCATGCAAAGTACATATTCATAGGTTCCAGGGATTCCTACATGCACATCTTTGGAGGCCATTCTACATACCACATCAGTCGAAGGACCAGATGTGGGATTTAAGATAGAGAAAAATCAAGGGTAACTTCAAATACTTTGATCTGAGCAATGGGAAGGAAGGAATTAACTGAAATTGGGGGGACCAGATTTGTGGCTTTGGGGTACATGTTGGGAGCTCAGTTGCAGGCGTGTAAAGTCTGAGTTTCCTATTAAATATCCAAGTGGGAGATGATGCATAGGTAGTTGAATACATGACACTGAAGTTTAGATCGATGGATCCTAAGGACAGATACACCCATACATCCAAGTATGGATGGCACTAAAGCCATGAGATGAGATGAGACCACTTAGGCCCTATTAAAGAGAGAAAGGGGAAGAGAGGTCCAGGAACTAAGCATTGGGAACTTCCAGATATCTACCAAGTGCTAAAATTATGTATTTGGGTATTTGATACATGAAAAGTAAGCAGTAATATTGGCTTGAATACAGAAAAAAAAAACACACAAAAGAGGAGCACTGAATGGTGAAACATAAGTTACTCAGGACAAATTAATGCTTTTGCTTCACTTAATGCCTTACAAACTTTGTCTTTCCATTTCTGTGAACTGTATTTCTAGAATTACTGGACCAGAGCCAAACACATAAATGACTAAGACATAGCTTCATCTTACATTGACTTCTAATTCTACCTTGTTAAGGTTGTCTGTTAATTAGATATGTATTATTTTCATGGATGCATGTTTAAGAGCTGTAATAGATTGATTTCAAATAGCTGTCCTTGACAAAGTGTGCCATCTACAATATACATGTATGATAGCTTTGAAAGAGCAAATGTCAATCTTTCAGATTTAAATTTCTTATAGTGGAATGTAGTTTATACTTACAACAGAACAGTTATGAAACTTTATTTTGAATGACATCTAACCTACCATATTATTTGTTTCTCTTTCTTTAGACTGGTACTGTTAAATTTGCCAAAGGCCAAGACATAGATCTTTGGTACATATTTAATTACCTCTAGGAAAAAACATTTACATGGCTTACACCAGTTGCAAGATGAATAAGGAGAGGTATATGAATGTTATTGGAGTCAATGGGCCCAACTCCTCTAGTTAGGTCTCAGCCACTCCACCCTCCAAATTTGGAATCCAAACCATATAGCAGCAAAAGGTCCTTCTGAGTAGTCGAAATAGATGTTCCAGAGTCTATAAATGTCATAGTTTTGCGCCTCAGACTCATTGGATTCAATGGTAGCATCCTTTGTGGACTCAAGCTTTACAAATGTGTCTGTCAAACAAGCTTGTCTGGCTTCTAATGCACCGGTTAGGAGAGCAGGTTAGAAAGGCAGAGAAGAGCCTCACAAGGTAAGAGGCCACACCACACAGTGGCATGGGTTCTGAGTCCCCAGGGAAGAGCAGGGCTCCAGGAGAGCAGTCTGGTCTTTGGCTTCTGTAGATTTCGGAGACATCTGAGGACATCATTCTGTTTTGGCAACTGATGTAATGGTGACCTTGAGTCACAATGAAAAAGTTAAATTGTGAGTATAGTTTATTTAAGAAGGCAGAAGTCTGGTTATCTGTTTCTGCAAGTCAAACCACCCTGCAACTTAGTAGCTTACAAAAACAGTGACCATTTGTTGTCTCATGATACTTTGGGTTGTATGGGCTCCTGTGGATGCTGCTTCTGCTCAGTTGGCTGGGGTTGCAGTCATCTGGAGGCTCGACTGGGCTGGGGCATCTTAGGCAGCTTGTTCACATGGTTGAAGGTTTATGCTGCTGTGGACTGGAAGTTCAGCTTTGGTCTCTTCCCGGTGGCTTGGGCGTGGGTACCTCATAGAATGACAGCTGGTTCTAAAGAGGAGTGTTTCAAGCATGGGAATATCTTGGAAGTGATTCAGTATCACTTAACTGCATTATTTTAGTCATAGTGACACTGGTCACAGGGCCAGCTCAGATTCAAGGGGAGAGGAAATAGACTCTACCTCTCCATTTGGAACAGTGGCAAATAATCTGTGGCCATCTTTAATTCCACTATAACAGAGAAGTGGTTAAGGCTAATGTGTGTGGATACATTGCACAATGTGTGATGAAGGGGCCAGGTAAGTCTCAGGTCTTTAGAAAGAAGACTATTCAGAAAACTTGATTATTTCCTCAGGGTTCAAAGTGGTCAGTGCTTTATAAGTAAGAATTTACTGTAATTATAAGATTATTACACTCTTAGGGAGTATTATAAATAAGAGAAACATTTCTTTTTGGTAAAAATAATAGCTGTTCTTTTTTTAAGGTAAAACAGTTAAGAAATACTACCTAAGGCAATCATTGGTTATAATATTTAATAGCAATTTAATTTACATGTAGGCTGAGAACCCTTGGAAGGGATTCTAATCAGAACAAAAGAAAAATAGAATATAAAATTAAATTTTAACTTCTCTGAAGAGTGGAATTTTCTGATTCTTGGATACCTTCCCAGAATTAGCTTGTGCGATGATCTCAAGCTACCATGCTTCCTGGAGCTATTCTGTGGGTCTACTCTCACCTTATAGAGGCAGTGAAGAGTTCTGAAGTGAATCCATATTACAACATTTCTATTATGCCTTTGTAATTCCATTTTAATTTTGAAACACTGGCTTTTAGATGAATTTTTAAGAACTTTACTTGGGAAGAGCTATGAAGTTCTTCTGCCTCTCTGGTTACTTACCTCTAAACTAGCTTGTTCATCTGTGAATTTTAAAACTTTCTATCCTGCTCTTGCTGCCATCTTCAAAATATCCTTTATGTGTGTATCTAGTGCCTAGTTTACTCATCTAATAAGCCCTTAGAAGACACTCAGCAAATGTTTTTTGAGTGATTGACTGTTGCCCTGGAGCCTGTCTTGACCAATAGAGAGAGAGCTTTTCTTATCACTTACTAATTAGGAACTAGCTGTTGAGCACACTGGCTCCAACCATCTAAAGCAATAATTAAGGTAAACCAGGTGATCCGAAAAGTGCAGTAACTTACAAAATATCATGAACTGTATTTTATTATTCTTTTTAACTTGAGTTTTCTTTTTCATTTTTATCTGGTTAATGTGAAAAGGAGCTTATTTCCAGCAACACTAATGGAATTTTTCTTTTTAATCACTAGTAATTGGAAGGGGAAAGACCCTTCACCTGACATGTGGGGACTGAGTTATTGGTATAAATCTTGCTCTTTCTTGGGTGATTTCTCTTCTTCATTTAAATTAAAAGTTGTCCTTAATGGCCTCTTGGAGCTGACATGTTGGGCTCAAGACCCAGGAATCTCAAGAAATATGCTAGAGATTTCTGGTTTAATTAAACAAAAGACCTTATTAATAAAAGCCAGCCAGCTGGGCATGGTGGCTCACATTTGAAATCCCAGCACTTTGGGAGGCCAAGGAGGACAGACCACTTGAGCCCAGGAGTTCGAAACTAGCCTGGGCAACAAGGCAAAACTCCGTCTCTACAAAAAAATACAGAAATTAGCTGGACATAGTGGTGTACACCTGTAGTCCCAGCTACTCAGGAGGCTGAGGCAGGGGGAAAACAGCCTGGGAGGTTGAGGCTGCAGTGAGCCATGATCACGCCACTGCATCCAGCCTGGGTGACAGAGCGAGACCCTGTCTTTTTTATATATATATAAAATAAAAGCCAACCATAACTACATATGGAAGGAAATAATAAATTCATTCCCCTCACTTGGCTTTCTAAACTGACATAAGCAAAAGGAAAATGAAAAGTTTTAAAAATGTTTTTCATTAAAGTAAAGGATTTCTTAATAATAGATTTTCCTGTAGCCTGTGTTAGAGGAACACTCACCAGGTCATCACAGTTCTTTCCTTTTATAGGGTCCAGCTCCTCTTTTGACATGGGATTAGGTGACCACGTGATTGATTAGCCTCACAATCACAATCCTGTCCCTCCTGTTGCTTTCCATTCACAGTTGATCAAGACGCAGAGCCTGAGATAGAGGTCAGGCAGAGAGCACGAGGCCCAGTGCAGAATCATTTTCTGAACCAGCCAGGAAATACCGGAACCCACCAAACTTTAAACACCAGCCTAAATTATTCCTGTTCTTTTAAGCAGGCAGCAGAAATGACAGAAACCCGTTAACAGAAAAAAAAAAAATAATGCTTTTCATTTGAACTCCTGTGCATTTTCTTTTTAACTTATATGTGTTCCTAATTTTCCTTACTCTTTTTGTTTGTTTGTTTCTTAGTGTGGTTTATTGACAATCATTTACAATGCCGAAGAGTGCTGTAGTGAGCCAGCACAGTGGGTAACACAGCAACGGAGAACAGATGCAGGTTTGAGGAATTTAACTTGCTAAAACCTTGAACTGAAGTCTTAGAGATTGGAACATACGGGTTTGTATAAATAGGCTTTTAAGCCCTGTTTGCAATGGGTTACTGATAGGAGAAACTTGCTTGTGGAATGTCAGCTGCGTGAGCTCACTGTCAGACAAGATGGAAGAAGAAGGGCTGGAGTGTCCAAACTCTTCCTCTGAAAAACGCTATTTTCCTGAATCCCTGGATTCCAGCGATGGGGATGAGGAAGAGGTTTTGGCCTGTGAGGATTTGGAACTTAACCCCTTTGATGGATTGCCATATTCATCACGTTATTATAAACTTCTGAAAGAAAGAGAAGATCTTCCTATATGGAAAGAAAAATACTCCTTTATGGAGAACCTGCTTCAAAATCAAATCGTGATTGTTTCAGGAGATGCTAAATGTGGTAAGAGCGCTCAGGTGAGTAACCACTACAAAAAATAATTTGCTGTATGTGTTGATTTTTTAATTGTTATTTAATGACATGTCACAGCCTAGTGTTCTAATAATAGTGTCTAAAACAAAAAACAAAACATTATTCAGATAAAATAATTAAATCACGTACCTAATTTTATTAATTTTACTAATACTAGCTGAAAAGTTAATAATATCTATGTAGAAATTAATTGTGTTTAGGGTACCACTGAATTGTCTATAGAGCAGTATTAAAATTACTCAAATGATCCTAGTATTAAATTTACTCAAATGATCCATTGTGTATATGATATTTTAAAAGATGTGATGCGTGTTATTTCCTCAGCATGGGTATGGGGATTAACTGCTCTGTTTCAGTGCCCAGTGGTCTGAGAATCCAGATATGTGGATGTGCTTGCTGGTGAAGCTGGCTGAGCTACTGAAATCAAAAGCACAAGGAAATTCTGATTTTCCTGACTATAAGAAATAACTGAGCAACTAAATATGATCCAGGCCTGGGGCCACACACTTTGGGGTCTAAGATGGGGGAAAGAATTAGGATCATTAAGAGATAAACCTAGGGATATTAAAATATTAAAGAGTTGGAGCAGGCACAGTGGCTCACATCTGGAATCCCAGCACTTTGGGAGACCAAGGTGGACAGATCATTTGAGCCCAGGAGTTCAAGACCAGCCTGGGCAACATGGCAAAATGCCGTCTCTACAAAGAAGTAGCCGGGCATGGTGCTGCATGCCTGTCGTCCCAGCTACTTGGGAGGCTGAGGTGAGAGAATCACCTGAACCTGGGAAGTTGAGGCTGCAGTGAGCTGTGATGATGCCCCTGCATTCCAGCCTGGGCGATGTGAGTGAGAGACCTTGTCTCAGAAAAAAAACAAAAAAAACAAGGAGTTTGTTTGAGCAAAGAATGACTCATGAATTACGCAGCACTCAGAACCATTGGAGGTTAGTGAGCCCCATTCTAGCAGCAAGGGCAGTGAGCTTTTATAGGCTGAACATGAAAGTAAGACAAAAGACATTTAAATTGGTTAGAGTGGAAAGTTCCGAGTTAGGGAATAGTTGGCAGTTTCTGATTGATAAAGTCTAGTATGGTTTTACTGTTTACATTGGACTTTAGTTTGCTTATGTGGGACCTTCTAGAGCTCTGTCATTGCCTCAGCCTAATGGCCTCTCAATTAAAGTTTGTTTGTTTGTTTAACGGGATAGTGGGCCAGGTGCAGTGGTTCACACCTATAATCCCATCACTTTGGGAGGCTGAGGCAGGAGGATTGCTTGAGTCCAGCAGTTTGAGACCAGGCTGGGCAACATGGCAAGATCCCAACTTTATAAAAAATTAAAAAATTAGCTGGGCATGGTGGTGCGTGCCTGTGGTCCCAGCTACCCAAGAGGCTGAGGCAGAAGGATCACTTGAGCCCATGAGGTCAAGGCTGCAGTGAGCCATGTTCATGCCACTGTACTTCAGCCTGGGCAACAGAGCAAGACCCCGTCTCAAAAAAAAAAAAAAAAAAAAAAAAAACAAGAAAAGGCTGGGCGCTGTGGCTCATGCCTGTAATCTCAGCACTTTGGGAGGCCGAGACGGGCAGATCATGAAGTCAGGAGTTCGAGACCAGCCTGTCCAATATGGTGAAACCCTGACTCTACTAAAAAATACAAAAATTAGCTGGGCATGGTGATGCACACCTGTAGTCCCAGCTCCTTGGGAGGCTGAGGCAGGAGAATCACTTGAACCCAGGAGGTGGAGGTTGCAGTGAGCTGAGATTGTGTCACTGCACTCCAGCCTGGGTGACAGAGTAAGACTCCATCTCAAAAAAAAAAAGAAAACAAAACAAAACAAAAAAAAACACCAAGAAAAACAAGGTAGTGTAGAGAAGGAAAAAGTAATAATTTTCTCTGTCCTTCATAACTCTTATCTGAGGCTCCCTGTAACAAAAGACAAATTAACAGAAGAAAAACAGAAGTGTATTAATATGTATGCCTCATGTATACACGGGAAAACCCCAGAGAAATGAGCAAGTCTCTAGAGTAGATCTCAAAGAAAGCATTTAAATTTTGGGCTTAAATACCATCATTCTCTGAAACAAAGTAAAAAAGGTTGTGGGGAACAACCCTGTTAAGATGAGATGGCCAGGAAAAGCACCTTAAATGAAGGTGAAGTTTGTTATGAAGATGTAAGTCGATGTCTTCTTTACTTAGTCATCTCCTCCTGTTGCAGAGAGGGAGATGCCCTTATAAGCAGAGATTTCTTGTATAGGCACAAATTTATCTTTAAAAAGGTAACTTTTCAGAGCTACTCCTATGTCTACACTTTCTCAAAATGTGCAAAGGAGGCATATTTTGGGGTCACATATTCTGGTCTCCTTCAGTCATATTCTGGGGAGGTATGTCCTGAGCCCCAACATTAGATAGTTAATAAATACTTATTATTCAGTTTGTTGTTGTATTTGGACTTCAAGTTTTTGTTCAAGTGAGATCCATATTTTACTCTTAAGTTTTAAAGCAAGCAACCAGTATTTTTATCATGAAATTCATTTCTAGATTCTCGCGATGTAAGAATTAGAATAGACCATATAGTGTGAATAATAAGAAGTCCCATTTCTCATAGAGAAGTTACGAATAGATCTAGTAGAATAGACTATGCTCTAATAGAATAGAATTAGAAACTGATGGAACCCCTTCATTTTTCAGATGAATAAACTGTGGCCCAGAAGGATTTGATAATTTGTCTATCTAATGTCAGTAGCTTTCTGAATTGGAGTTAAAAGAATATTTTCTACTATAAATTGTTGCTTTCAAGTTGTTTATTATCTCTAGAGTTTACCTATTTTATTATCACTATTATTTTTTGAGACAGAGAGGCTCGTTCTGTCACCCAGGCTGGAATGCAGTGGGGCAGTCTTGGCTTACTATGACCTCCGTCTCCCGGTTCAAGCAATTCTTGTGCCTCAGCCTCTTGAGTAGCTGGGATTACAGGCATGCACCATCATGCTTGGCTTATTTTTGTATTTTTAGTAGAGTCAGGGTTTCACAATTTTGGCCAGGCTGGTCTCGAACTCCTGGGCTCAAGCGATCCTCCCACCTTCACCTCCCAAAGTGCTGGGATTACAAACATGAGCCACTGTACCTGCCCTAAAGTTAACTTACTTTAAAGGTAATTTGAAAAGAGGAGGGCTGGACAACAGATGTTTTTTATCTGATTTACAGCTGCCAGTATCAAAGGTTTATTATGATTTGTTCTTTGTTACGCTGTTATTGTTATAACAAACGATTTCAGTTCATTACGAGAAGCTAACGATGAGAACTGACTGAGTATAATTTTCCTAGTTTCTGTGGACAAATAACATTGAAAAAATGTGTTTTTATTTTACAATAATTTCAAACTTACAAAAAGTTGCAAAAATAGTACAAAGATTTTCCATATGTTGTTCACCCAGATTCCCCAAATGTAAGATTTTACCATATAAACTTTATCTTTCCCTCCCTGCCCCCTCCATACATTCATACACATTTTTATTCTGAACCATTTAGGGGTAGGTTGAGGACATGATGCCCTTTGCCTCCAAATACTTAACAGAGTATTTATTTACTGAAAAACAGTGTGTAGCCGTAACATAATTATCAAAATCTGGAATGTAATGTTGATATCTAATTATTATCTGATTTCTAGACATTCACATTTAATCAGTTTCCCATTGATAGCCTTTATAATCACTGAAAAAAATTGTTTTTCTGGTCCAAAATCCAATCTAAAATTGCATTGTATTTTATTGTCGTTTTTTAATCTGACACAACTCCCCAGTCTCTCCCTGTCCTTTATGACTTTGACATTTTTGAAGAGCACAGGTTATATATTCTGCAGAACCTCCCTCAGTTTGAACATGTCTGATGTTTCCTTAGGGTTAGGTTCCGGCTCTGCATTTGTGGCAAGAAGATCACACAAGTGCTGTGTATCCTTCTCAGTGCCTCATATCAGGAGGCACAAGATGTCAGTTTTGCCCATGCTGGTGATGTTAATTCTGATCCCTTGGTAAGGTGGTATCTGCCTGGTTCTTTATTGAAAAGTTAACAATTTCCCTCCAATCATTTAATAGATACATATTTTGAAAGTATGTAAATGTTTCTCATTATACATTTGTAACCACCCAATGGGTTCATCTTGTTTGTTGTCAAGATAGAGCCAATTTATCAAGACAAGGGAATTGAAATAGAGAATGAATTTAATACACATAAAGCTGGCTAAACAGCAGACAGGAGTTGTACTATTACTCCAATCAGCCTCTTTGTCAATTTGGAGGCTAGAGTTTTTCAAGGATAGTTTGGTGGGCAGGGGGCTAAGGAATGGGTACTGCTGATTGGCTGAGGATGCAATCACAGAGGTGTGGAAAACAGTCCTCATGTGCTGAGTCCACTTCTGGGTAGGGACAACAGAGGAGTTACTGGTCTATCCAGTTATAGGGCCTCCAGTTGTCAGAAATACAAAAACCTGAAAAGACATCTCAGAAGGCCAATCTTAGGTTCTATAATAGTGATGTTATTTACAGGGAGGTTACAAATCTTGTGACCTCTGGAATAATGACTGGTAATCATTTAACTACACCTACATCTTGGCAGAATTCAGGCCCCTCTCATCCTCCTAACCTGGTGTCCTTTCATTAGTTTTACAAAGGCAGTTTCATTTTGCTGTCATCATTTAAACTATAAACTATCTACAAAAGTTAGCTTGGCCCACTGCAGGAATGGCTAAGGGAGTTTGGGGGTGAAAGGCAAGATGGAGTTGTCAGGTCAGATCTCCTTCACCATCATAATTTTCTCACTGTTACAATTTCTGCAAAGGCAGTTTCACATTCATCCACTAGTGTTAGCATTTTTGGTGATTCTTACCTTTGAATTATTACATTAGTAGTAACCAAAGATGATTATTCTAATTCTGACATGCCTTCTACACATTATTTAGAATCTTTCTGTAAGTCTGAGCTTTCTCTCCTTCATCATTTATTTATGTCAATGTGGACTCATAAATTCTTATTTTATTCTATGGGTTATAATGTATTACTAAGCCTACTTACTTTGTTGTTCAAATTGCCCCCAATGTGGCTTCTCTGTCCTTTTGACATTTCCCCATTATTGAGCACTTCTTTGCTTTCTGGCTCAGTAAGATGTTCCAGGTTCATCTAGTACATTCCGCATGCCGGTGTAGAAACCATTTTTTTTTTCTCCAGGAGTCCTTGTTCCGTTTAGTGGTGAACTGTGTTTTGAAACCAAGATCTGGACACTAAGTACCTATTACCATTGGTTTATCATTGCAATTTTTTTTTTGAGACAGTGTTTCATTCTGTCACCCAGGCTGGAGTGCAGTGGCATGATCACGGCTCACTGCAACCTCAACATCCTGGGCTCAAGTGATCCTCCCACCTCAGCCTTTAGAGTAGCTGGGACTACAAGTGTGTGCCACTACACTCAACTAATTTTTGTATTTTTTATAGAGACGGGGTTTTGTCATGTTGCCCAGGTTGGTCTCGGACTCCTGGGCTCAAGCAACCTACCTGCCTTGGCCTCCCAAAGTGCTGGGATTATAGGCCCACTTCACCCGGCCTATCATTGCTTTTAGGCCATCTCAGTGGACACAACAAGGAAATAAATGTATGTGAGTGCAATATACACACGTCTCATTCTATCCATCTATTTGTGGCTCTGTTTCTCTCTGTCTTTCTCTATTTTTATGTATTTCTATTTTCTTACCTCTCATATTTTTTATCTCTCTTTCTATATCTTAAAAACCATGAGTTTGTACTGATGCCTCTGATTCCAGTTTAGCACTACAGGGTTTATTCTAGCCTTCCCAGTTTTCATATCCATAACTTCTCTATGAGAAACAGGGCTTCGTGTTATTCACACTATCTTTACCTGTTCTCAGATTGAACAAGTAAAGATACTCAAAAGAACAATTCATATTGTAGTTTCAGAATTGCTAATCCACACTGCAGTTTAAAAAATTTTTTTAATCTACTTCTTGAGTTTTAGAATTTATCATCTTCAAGAGCAAGAATTGTTATATGTTATATGTTATATTAATACCTAGCAATGGTTTCTCTTGTCATTTTTAATTTCTCAATTATTTCAATGAATTAGGCTTATTTTCTGTTAATTGGGACGACATGTATCTTCAAAGTGAGAAAAATCAAAATGGTACTCAAATAAGAAAATGGATCTATCCTAAACTAATTTAGATAGTGGGAGCATTGGTTGGTTTCTTTTGGAAACAACTTGGTTTTTGTTGTTGTTGTTTTAAGAGTTTGCGAGACTGTTTTCTTGTTCTTCAGAGTTTTAAACCTTTCAAGAAAAAAGTCTTTCTTCAGAGCCAAGCTTTACAAAGGTCCTAAAGATTTCACCTGTCTTTGGTGCAGAAACAGAGGACAATTTCCCATATGTTTATAGAATCTTTTCTTATTACATTTTTTGCAGACAGGTTATGAACGATCCTAAAAGAGAGAGAAAAACATCTCTAGAAGTGTATATTTTGCTTATTTCTCCTTCTCTAGTTTTTGTCCTGAAATTTCCCATGAATGGATGGGTCAGTGAGGTGAAAAAGATATGAAAAGATATGAAAAAGAATTAACTTAGATTCTAAAAGATGTATGACTTAGAACATCTGTACTTCTATTGACTGAGTAAACTTGTTCACCATTTTCTGCTGGTAGGTTCTACCTGTATTCACTCAAAACCAAGATGTATGTGAATTGTTATCCAGGGATGTGTGATATTTGATTCAGAAGGGACCTCACTCCTCAGTAATGGATTCTGATATATTGGCTCACTTTGGGTGGGATAGCTGCCTTAGGGGCATACTCAGGCTAGGCATTTTACAGGAATGTTGTTGAAACCATTAAGACTTGCAAACTTAAAAACCATGAGCTTGTGCTGATGAATTCAACACTGAATGTGTTGAATTCACCTTTGGGTGAATTGGTGGTTCTTTAGATTCCTTTAAACTTGTAGATTCTGTTTTTCTGGTACTGAAATTAAAGGGAGTGATTGGGACCTTGGCAGTAGCTTCAGGATTGGTGGTCCTAGAGACATTAAGAGAAGAAAGCAGAAGAGGACTCAGGCCCTGATGGACGTCCTGATGATCAAAAGTGAGGGATTAGAGGCCTTTGGGACTAGTATGTGTCTAACAGAACAGTAATAGCATTGTGTCTCATGGAGGTCCTTTTTTTCTCACTTCATTTATTCTCATTTAACTATATTAAATTATAGTTAACTAACTTTATTATCCATTAGATGAGGTGAAACAATCACTGGCAGTAGATGGAAAGGACAGAAAGTTCTACACCAGTGTAGCTCATGTGGAGGTCCTCTTGCCACAGTGGCAGTGATGAGACCATACACGGATACGTGATGCCGCTGCTGCTCCCTTGATTCTGATCTGGATCTGGTTGCAGATTCTTATAGGAGATCTCCCTGCAGCCCACCCTAAAGACCCCAGGCCCCAGCTCTCCCACTACCCAGCAGCCCAACCTCTGTGTGCTGCCCGGAGTTGGGAATGGAGCATCTTTGCCTCACTGTCTGAATTTGTACAAGTTGTAGAACTGCAGTTGCTAACTTAGGTTGATAAAGCCTTGATTTAGATTAGATTTTGATTACCCGGAGGACTCCTCTTACCTACTCTCATAGCAGCAGATTGGCCAGAGTGTTGGTGATTTCCTTTCAGGTAGGCGGTAAGAGGCCAGGGATGCACATTCTCATGCCTCGATTGCTTACCTTGCATGCCCCAGAGTCAGTTCCAGCTGGGCTTTGGGACAGAGCATAGGGCAGGCCCCACTGCTCTGGCTTTATGCAAATGGCACATCAGAAGTACAGAAAACTGAATTTAGAAAATGGATTGAGAAACATGAAAAAAGTATTTGGTGAGTTCAGAATAAAGAGATGTGAAGTATTGATTTCTAGTTAGGGAGCATTTCCAGACCAAATGCGTAAATCCAAGGGTTGCACATCACCAAACTCCCAGGATAAATCACATGAAAATAGCTTTTTTTATGTGTTAGAGGAGCAATTTTCTGTTTCTTCACCATATTGTGCAACTTTTGCTAAGTACTCAGTCACAAAGTGACCCAGAATTCAATGTTTCTCTGAAAAAAGTTAAAGCCAAATGATTCATAGAAAGGTACAACTATTTAAGCTTTTCTAATTCCCATAGTGCCAACTTGGCAACTAGTCCATCCAGAATAATGTTTTTTAATACTAGGGGGGAATATCTTCCAAAGAGGAACTATGGGGTAGAAACAAAACCTCTAACAGGCTTGTAAGTCATTGGTGAGAAGACAAAGATGCAACTGGGACAATGAAAAAGTTGCTAAGTAGTACCCAGAAAAGTTAGGCCAGGTGTTGTGGCTCACACCTGTAATCCCAGCACTTTGGGAGGCCGAGGCGGGCGGATCACCTGAGGTTGGGAATTGGAGACCAGCCTGACCAGCATGGAGAAACCTCGTCTCTACTAAAAATACAAAATTAGCCAGGTGTGCTGGTGCGTGCCTGTAATCCCAGCTACTTGGGACGCTGAGGCAGGAGAATTGCTTGAACCCGGGAGGCGGAGGTTGCAGTGAGCCAAGATCCTGCCATTGCACTCCAGCCTGGGCAACAAGAGTGAGACTCCATCTCAAAAAAAAAAAAAAAAAGAAAAGAAGCAGAACTAGGGGAAGAAAGGTCAATACCAACAAGAGATACAATATTTACTATAAATGCAGAGAAGGCAAGAGTTCTTTGTAAAGCTGCAATCTCAGTATCCCTTGAAATGTGAAATACTCAAATTATCGACATTTGCCAAATGATAACATTTTTTAGCCAGTAATTCAAGTTTGCTAAGGAATCAACCCTCAGTATGTTACTTAGCTTGCCCAGAGTGATTCAGAAGGCATGTAAAACTGGAGAACTCTAACAAATAAGGCAGATGGTTTCATGTTTCCCTCTTTTCTGGCTGGAGATAACCTTTTCAGTTTGTGTTTGCATTGCTTACTGTTAACTATCTCCAAGTAGCTGTTACTGGAAGGGGAGCTGCATCCTATGTGGTCAGAGCCACAGTTGAGTACGTGCAGTATAATTTGTTGTGACTTCTGCTCAACTATTAACTTGGGCACGTAAGCAAACATTCCTACATTAAGCACGATATGGATATGTTCAGTCTTCTACTGGTTATTGTAACTGATATTTAGATGGCCTTTTCCCATTTCTGAATTAATGTCTTTGCCTCATAGGTGAAATAGTTTGCTCTAATGTAGAGGAAGGCAGAAAAGGAAAATGAAGACTGTTGGATTGGTATATTTGTTGTACTTCCAGGAATGTATAATGTTTATACTATTATCAACACACTGTAATAAACTAATCTTGCAGAATGTGTTTCATGAGCAAAGAGAAATAAATTAAATGCAGTTTTTAAAAAAGGCCCAAATCAGAAGCTTGAGAACATGGCTCATGATCATTGGAATCTTGTCGAATTTTAGAGTTCGAAAGCAGCTGTCCTGGACCTTATATGAATAACCAGGCTGAACGTGTCCAAATGTTTTAATAAAACTGGATAGTATTATTTCAGCAACGATTCTAGCTATGTAAAGCAGTGCCCACTGTCATCATAGTACTGTCCCCCTGATGTTGCCATTAGGCTAGAAAGAGTAGTTTATTTATTTATTTTTATTTTTTATTTTTTTGAGACAGAGTCTCGCTCTGTTGCCCAGGCTGGAGTGCAGTGGTGTGATCTCAGCTCACTGCAACCTGCGCCTCCCGGGTTCAAGTGATTTTCCTGCCTCAGCCTCCCGAGTAGCTGGGATTACAGGCACCCACCACCACGCCTGGCTAATTTTTGTATTTTTAATAGAGATGGGGTTTCGTCACGTTGGCCAGGTTAGCCTCAAACTCCTGACCTCTCAAATAATCCACCCGCCTTGGCCTCCCAAAGTGCTGAGATTACAGATGTGAGCCACCGCACCCAGCCTAGAAAGAGTAATTTAAAATGCTGATTGCCTGAGAATTTCATGGCTTCAGTTGCCACCTTTCTATAAAGATGCTTAGAAGCAACTGTGATGTAGTGGCAATTATACTCGCCAAGAAACTAGAAGATATGGATTGGTTCTGGTCATGCTGTTTACTGGCAGTATGACCTTGGACAAGTCACGCCTCTAAGTTTCTTTCCTCATGCATCAAATGAGGGTGTTGGCCTTCATGTCTTCCAGAGATTTCTTTCAGTACTGAAATTCTGCAACTACCATGCCTATCTCTAGCTCTGACCTCTCCCTTAGCCTCCTGCCTTGCTTTTCCGTTGATCCCAGGATGGTTATGCCTGGATGTTCTTCTGATAACATTGACCATCTTCCTGACTATCCTGAAGGTCATCTTCCTACCCTCCTAACTCCTGATTCCCCCCAAAAGAACTTTATGCTGCTCTTTAGCTTCATTCATTTATTTTATTTTACTTTCCAATTTCCTGTTCTTGTCAATTATATAATTAGTATTTTAAGTTAGAAATCATAGAATATTTGTCTTCTTCCTATGCATAATTAGTCTGTTAGTGGGCACTGCTTATTCTTCCTTTGCAGTAATTTTCCCGTGGTTTTATTACCTCTCTCCCATGCTTAGCACTAAGCCCAAGCCTTTCTCTCTCTTCTTTTCAATTATTATGATGTCCTTATCCATCTTTCCACTCAACTCTTATCCCTACCATATGTCAGATCCTCTGTTCGGTATTGGGAACAAATGCAAACCACACGTGTAGCTTAAGGATCTTCCCACATAGTGGAGAGACAGAGAATCATATTCAAACAAGGGTTTTGGCTGGGCACAGGGGCTCACATCTGTAATCCCAACACTTTGGGAAGCTGAGGCAAAAGGATCACTTGAGCCCAGGCAATTGAGACCAGCCTGGGCAACAGAGCGAGACCCTGTCTCTACTAAAGAAATTTTTTTTTTTTTTTTGAGACAGAGTCTCACTCTGTCGCCCAGGCTGGAGTACAGTGGTGCCAGCTCAGCTCACTGCAACCTCTGCCTGCCAGGTTTAAGCGATTCTCCTGCCTCAGCCTCCTGAGTAGCTGGGACTATAGGCGTACGCCACCACACCCAGCTAATTTTTGTATTTTCAGTAGAGACAGGGTTTCCCCATGTTGACCAGGCTGGTTTTGAACTCCTGACCTCAGGTGATCCACCTGCCTTGGCCTCCCAAATTGCTAGGATTACAGGCATGAGCCACCATGCCTGGCCTAAAGAAAATTTTTTAAAAACAAGTAGTTTTAATATAGCTTTTCACATGAATGATGTTTGAGGTCTTGGCTAGGGACCCTAGATAGTGGACCCTGACATGAAGGCAATCCATTTAAAAGTAAGAATTTGGCAAGAATAAAAAATTACTTGCTAAGGAATAAAGGAGGCAAAATTTTATGTAAATTCTTAAACGATGTAGAATCTTAAACTATGTAGAATCACAGAATTTTAAATTATTTCTAGACAGTATAAGAAATTATTCATTCAATGAATAATTACTGAGTACTAGGATAATTTGGTGACCAACACGGATAGGTCTCTGCTTTTAGAGCTCATTTGAGGGGCCGTTAGGTAGTGGGGAACTAGGAACAAACAGCAACCTCAGGAAGGTGATGGCTGCCACGGTGGGAAGCACACCGTGGATCTAGATACCTAGGGGATCACAGCAAGCCTTGTGGAGAAAACGACACCAGAGTTCAAACTTGAAGGATAATTCTCATTCATTCAGTCTATTCATTTTACAGGTAAGAATTAACTAAAGCTTAGAAAATTTGTGGTTTACATGGAACAAATTAATGGCAAGCCAATCCCTTAGGTGGCTTGTTATTCCTGGATCTTGCCTTGATTCCACGTTTCCTGAGCGCAGTATCTTAAAATTTCATCTTTCATAGAACAAAGTAAGCGTTGAGTAAATAATTACTGATAACTTGCAACCTGTTGACAAGGCTGACACCTATCTGAAAGTGCAGGAAGTGCATTTGCCTTTCAGTCCTTAGGAATTTACAGTCTACAGCAGTCATTCATTTTGGAGTTACTTGTATTTCTGGTGAGTTATGTTTATTTTTCAAATTACAGTGAGAATTCAGATCTAAGAATTTCATAATGAATCTCATAAATAGCAGACCTCAAGATAATTAGAAATTTTACAACGTTTAAATTCCTTAGATCAATTAAAAACACTCTTGGAATAATTTATTTTTAAAATGCATGTAACAATGCATAATTTACTGACAATGCCTTAAGATTGTAGCATACAAATGAATTCAGTACATTCTACTATAATAATTCTTGTACAAATGAATGTGATAAACATCAGTTGGTCCATAATATATTTTAGAAAAAAAAGGATTTTTAAAATAAAATGGCTCTAGAGTAGCTTTGCTTAGAACTGACTCCAAATCCAGATGGGTTGGTTGATTATCTCACTGGGTTTATTTAGATGGGTTTATTTATTTAATTATATTTAGATTGTAAATTACCAGGATATTTTAGCTTTTATTATCAGAGAAATGTTAAGTAGGCTTATCTGGATATTTGTTATCATCATTTGGATTTAAATATAAATGCTTTAATTTTGAGTCACTAGTTTTTATCTAAATGCTATCTATAATTTACATTGCTTAAAACACAATAGCTGATAACAGAAGCCATATTTTTGATGGGCCTTCTAATCAAAAAGAAAATAATCTCTAAATACATTAGTCTTTTCAGAAACACAGTTGAGGTTGAAAGTATTTTTTTTTTCATTTTTGTCCTTGATTTTTTTTTTTTTTTTTTTGAGACGGAGTCTTGCTCTGTCGCCCAGGCTGGCGTGCAGTGGCACAATCTCTGCTCACTGCAAGCTCCGCCTCCCGGGTTCACGCCATTCTCCTGCCTCAGCCTCCCAAGTAGCTGAGACTACAGGCGCCCGCCACCACGCCTAGCTAATTTTTTGTATTTTAAGTAGAGACGGGGTTTCACCATGTTAGCCAGGATGGTCTCGATCTCCTGACTTCGTGATCCGCCCACCTCGGCCTCCCAAAGTGCTGGGATTACAGGCGTGAGCCACCACACCCGGCCTGTCCTTGATTTTTATCTGCCTTTTTTTGTCTGGCAGTCAAACTTTCACAGTCCCTGTTAACTCCTGTTTCTTCTTAACTTTATTTCCTAGCAGTAACTCTGTGCATAATCCATATTGTTCAGAGTTTCACTAAGTAAGATGTAATACAGCCCACTGCTGATTTACTGATGAAAGAAAATCACTTATAAGATGAACCCTGCTGTAAGACAGAGATGTCTCTTGTTTTGTTTTCAGCAGAAGCTGATCCTGTCTCATTTTTTCCTGCTACAGGTTCCTCAGTGGTGTGCTGAATATTGTCTTTCCATCCACTACCAGCACGGGGGCGTGATATGCACACAGGTCCACAAGCAGACTGTGGTCCAGCTCGCCCTGCGGGTGGCGGATGAAATGGATGTTAACATTGGTCATGAGGTTGGCTACGTGATCCCTTTCGAGAACTGCTGTACCAACGAAACAATCCTGAGGTTGGTTTGTGGGGTTCAGTCCGCTCCCTGCTGATGATTCTTGGCTTAGGTTCTACAATTCTGAAGGAGCATTATTCTGGCATTCTACCTGTTAAGCATCTATGCTGTGCAGTAGCAACTGGTCTCTGTCATCAGCCAGCCAGCAACAGTTGCTTTCCCACACTGGCATCATCTGGGATTCCTTGTCTAAATGTATCCCATGACTCCCATTATCCCCTGGAAAAAGTTAACAACTTGCTTGGCCCCTCAGAACCTTCAAGCGTGTGCTTCTGGAGCTATGCCTCATGCAGGGTCCACATCATTGCCTGTGTGCAAGCCACATGGACACCTGGAGCACACTGTGTGCCCTGTGCTTTCCACACCCTGTGCCTGTACACCTGCCCCTCCCTGTGCTCAGCATGTCCGGGCCCGGCTAGTTCCTCCTAGTCACTCAGTATGCAGTGTAGCAGCCACCTACTCCAGGAAGGCTTCCCTGCCCCTCCAGTAATACACATTAGAAAACCCTCTGTGGGGCTTCTGGAAAACTTGGTGTCAGCCTGCATCATAGCAGCTTCGACAGTGTTTCTCAAACTGTGCTTTGCAGAGTCTTCTATGTTCCAAGGAGACTTCTCTGTGGCTACCGCAAGTTGTGGTATCTCTTCTGTGCTTAGCTTCATTATGAGATTTCCTTTGAAGAAGGATTTCCAAGAGCTTGAAAGAAGAAAAAAAAGGAAAAAGAAACTGGAAAAATCACTGCTCTGGGCTAGTGCTTCTCAAGCACCTTTATATTACAGCCATCATAGAAAGTGATAGTATCCATACAGTACCGCAAGGAAATGGTCACAGCTGCCTGGAGCCAGAGTTGACCATCCCACGGGCTTCAGCTGCCCCGGGCACTGCCCGACCACTCCAAGAGCCAAGTAGCTAAGTATCTCGGGGTCAGTATTTCTGCACCTCTCTAACCCATTTGTGTGGCATACAGTGTGCCACGCACAGCATTGGGGAAGCTCTGCTTTTCTGTAACAGGGCAGGGATGGTTTTTCACGTGCTCATATCCCTAGTGTCTCATGTGCTCATCCCCAGGAGGATGTTCGGTAAACTGGATAGTGGAAGGGATTTTGCCCTGTCCCAGCTAGCACTGCACTCTGGTGCGGTTCTTATCTCCATTCAGAAAACCCATGGGGCTGGGCACAGTGGCTAATGCCCATAATCCCAGCACTTTGGGAGGGCGAGGCAGGAGGATTGCTTGAGCTCTGGAGTTTGAGACCAGACTAGGCAACACAGTGAGATCTCATCTCTACAAAAAATACAAAAATTAGTGAGCGTGATGGTGCATGCCTATAGTCCCAGCTACTCAGGAGGCTGAAGCGGAAAGATCACTTGAGTCCAGGAAATCGAGGCTGCAGTGAGCTGTGATCGCGCCACTGCACTCCTGCCTGGGTGACAGAGTGAGACCCTGTCCCAGAAAAAAAGAAAGCCCATGGGGCTCATTCGGTTTGTACTAAGCTACTTTCCCTCAAACGTTTATCTTCAAAAGTAGAAGACAGTCTTCAGGCTAGTGTCAAATCATAGGGGAAAGTCTTTAGACCATCAGCACTCTGACTTGAACTTCTTGAAGATATATTACCTTCTGTTATTATAACAATTATGTCCCTGAGTCATTAAATTACTATGTATTTATAAATTGCTGATTGTGTAAATTGTACGTGAGTGGTACAAAAGAAACATAAAAACCTCTCTGGTTCTTAGGAGCTCACAAACTAGTTAAAGAGCTGGACAGGACAAGACATAGGACCCTGAAAGGGTGAAGGATCCCTAAGCAGATTTGTGGTTGGTTGGTTGGTTTGACATTTTAAAGTAGCCCTTTGAATTATGTTTTTAATTAAATGATGGCTCTGACTAGGTTCTGAAGTTAATATTATATCTTTAATACCATCTAGACTTTGAAAACCCTTTAAAAGGATTCTTTAATGTAGTCATTTTTAAAATGAGATATTATAAGAGCTTTGTCATGATATGGAATCAGATATTTCTTTTTCTTTCTTTTTTTTTTTTTTTTTTTTTTTTTTTTTTTTTTTTTTGAGACAGAGTCCCACTCTGTCTCCCAGGCTGGAGTGAAGTGGCACGATCTCAGCTCACTTCAACCTCCATCTTCCGGGTTCAAGCGATTATCGTGCCTCAGCCTCCTAAGTAGCTGGGACTACAGGCATGCACCATCACACTTGGCTAACTTTTTGTATTTTTAGTAGAGACGGGGTTTCGCCATGTTGCCTGGGCTGGTCTCAAACTCCTTAGCTGAGGCAGTTTGCTGGCCTCGGCCTTTGAAAGTGCTGGTATTACAGGCGTGAGCTACCGCACCCAGCCTAAGATACTTCTTAATATGGAAAGCCACAAAGACAAATAATGGTGGGGAAATCTAATAATACTGTTAGACACGCCTCACCTTTTAAACATCTATCACATGTTAGGCTTAGGATTGTTTTATGGTAAAAACCCAAGCATTCAATTCTGACACCCAAAGGAAATACTATATATTAAAGTATGTATTAGTTTCAATCTGTGTATGGCATTCCTTTCTTAACAGGGACAGTTGCTTCAGGTGTGGTGGGCTGAGGTACAAAGGCACCCATGGAGACAGGTGGAGAGTAGCTTCCTGCTTTGACAGGTTTTGCAGGTTGTTTCTTTCTGCCCTTGCTGGGCTGCCTTATTCTTCATTGCTTTCATATCTTCACTTCACAGTTACTCTTGCTTCTGAACATTGTACTTTCTTTTCCACTGTGACATGCCCCCAGAACCAGCGCAGAGTCAGAAGATACTCTGATGCATTGTGGTAAACAGTGTTTGAGTCACAGGAAAGAGGCCAGAGCTATTGAAAAGACCCCTATGATAAAATAAAGCAACACCTGTTTTCTTCCTGGTATTCCATGCTCTGGAGAGGAGGCAACATGGCTGTCAAAGGGTGTCTCCACCACTTACTCACTTGTAACCTTATAGAAGTCACCTAACCTCTTTGACCTTTAAGTTGCCTCATCTGAAAAATGTGGACGATTAATATACTTGCTCTGAGGGTTGTTGTGAGGACTATTAAATTTATGTAACTGATGCATGGTGTATGTATGTGGTAGCTATGTTTATAATTATATTTTTATAATTATGATTAGAACAAGATTGATTTTCCTGAAGAGGTATGCTAGCCATAATTTTGAATAAGCTCAGATTGAATAGCTATTTAAATCAGAGGATTTAACATTGATCATTGATTGGCCGGGCACGGTGGCTCACGCCTGTAATCCCAGCACTTTGGGAAGCCAAGGCGGGCAGATCCCAAGGTCAGGAGATCGGGACCATCCTGGCTAACATGGTGAAACCCCGTCTCTACTAAAAATACAAAAAAAATTAGCTGGGAGTGGTGGCAGGTGCCTATAGTCCCAGCTGCTCAGGAGGCTGAGGCAGGAGAATGGCGTGAACCCAGGAGGCAGAGCTTGCAGTGAGCCGAGATCATGCCACTGCACTCCAGACTGGGCAACAGAGTGAGACTCCATCTCAAAAAAAAAAAAAAATTGATCATTGATTATAGAAGGCAGTAGTCTATATTTGATACTGTCTTTTTCATTTTTTTGGTAGCCCCTTAGTATCTATCAAACACATCATAGGCAATTAGTAAACTGTCTTTAAGCCTACTACTATTTTTTGGATGCTATATGTAACAACTTTGTTCTTCTTTAAGCTTTTCTCTGGCCTTTTTTGAAACAGTGAATACCTGAATATTATATACCTAAAATAGTCTTTAGGAACTACATATCAAGATATCTCATAGAAGTGACTCATAGTGTCAAATGGTGGTCTTTTCTGTTTTTAGAACTGGAAAATTCTCAAATTTTCATTAAGGTTAAACTCAATTATATAATTTTATAAAATATAAATATTAATAAAACTTTATTTTATTATAGTCTTAGCTTTTAGAAATTTAGCCTTAATTTAAAGATATAAACTGCATTTCCTGAAACCTTGGTAGTGTATCTATTTTTTTTACGTACTTATTAGTTAACAGCACTTTTTAAAGTATCATACACACAATATCTCATTACCATAAAGTTCAGAAACATATCTTTGTGTTATATAGAAAAAAAGTAGTTTTTTTTTTTGCTTTGTTTTGAGTTGGAGCCTTGCTCACATTGCACAGACTGGGATGCAGTTGTGGGATCATAGCTCACTGTAATGTGGGACTCCTCCTGGGCTGGAGTGATCTCCCACCTCAGCCTCCCAAGTAGGTGGGACTGCAGAAAAATGTGGGTTTGTATAGTAAGTTTTAGGATTGAGCCTTCACAATTCCCTTATATAATCATCTGTAAGGCTAGGCCTTGCTGGATGAGTCTGCTGGAGTTTTTAATAAGTTAGCATCTTCTCTTTTTTTTAATTAAGCCTAGATGTATTTACATAACACATAAACCTCCTCAATCTTATGGGGCAGCATTACTTCCTATAAGATCAGTGCTTAGGTGAGTTTTGCTGAAAAGGAAACAGAGATAACATTAGAAATTAAATCTCTAATTAGCCTCAGCAAAAAAAAAAAAATTGAAAACTAGATTTCAATGCATCTGTTGGCATCTTGCACAAAGTATAATACTATAGTATTCAAGATGCTTTATTTTCTAAGTTTGAGGAAAGGAATCATCAATTTATCACTGCTCATTTGAAAGACACAGGATGAGAACCTGTATGAAAAGAAAGGCAGAGGGCATACACTTTGATCTCATAAAGATCCAGAGAGGAAGAACATGGACTTTTATCACCAAAACTACAAGGCCAAGGAAGCAATCGTTATAATTTGACAGTGACAACAGATAGAACAACTATCTGGGTTTAAATCTTGACTCTCTACCTGGCTTTGTGACCTTGGGCAGGGTACTGAATTTTTCTGACCTTCAGTTTTCTCATTTATAAATGAGTCATAGTAATGGGATAGCAATATCTACTTTGAAGATTTATTCTGAAGATTAAATGAGAAACATATACACCAGCTTAGTGACTGGCTCACACTAGGTGCTTAATAGATGTTTGTTTACTTCCTTTTTTTTTTTTTCCTTGAAAGAGGTTAATTGAGGACTGTGTCAAGATCCC
Organism: Homo sapiens; assembly: GCF_000001405.40. Taxonomy (NCBI): domain Eukaryota; kingdom Metazoa; phylum Chordata; class Mammalia; order Primates; family Hominidae; genus Homo; species Homo sapiens. Next base: position 125,861,889 of record NC_000010.11, on the reverse strand, counting down.
CAAGACTACCCCCGGGTTCAGTGATTTGCTAGAAAGGTTCATGGGATTCAGCATATTATTTACATATAACTAAGGTTTATTGCATTGAAAAGATACAAAGCAACATCAGCAAAGGGAAATAGTGGATGGGACGAAGTTTACAGGAACCCAGGCGCAAGCTCACGAGCTCTCGCCCAGTGAAGTCACAAACCGTGCACTTCATTCACAGCTCGTGAAATGGTGCCCTACCAGGGAAACTCAGGCTCAGTGCCCAGGGTTTTTATTGAGGGCTGGCCGTAGAGGCACCCTCTGCCTAGTATGTTTCAAAATTCCAGACTCCCAGAAGGAAAGCACATGTGCAGCGTAAAACATATTGCCTGTACAAATGGTTCAGGCACAGCAAACTACTCTTTTCTGGGGGAGTCTCGCTCTGTCGCCCAGGCTGGAGTGCCCTGGCGCAATCTCGGCTCACTGCAAGCTCCGCCTCTCCAGTTCACGCCATTCTCCTGCCTCAGCCTCCCGGGTAGCTGGTACTACAGGCGCCCGCCACTACTCCCGGCTAATTTTTTGTATTTTTAGTAGAGACGGGGTTTCACCGCGTTAGCCAGGATGGTCTCGATATCCTGACCTTGTGATCCGCCTGCCTCGGCCTCCCAAAGTGCTGGGATTACAGGCGGGGCAAACTACTCTTTATCAGTTCTGGGAATGGTGAGGACCCTCCCCAAATCTAAGTTCCCAAATGCTAGCCAAGGGCTAACCTTGCAGGCAGGCCTGTCGAAGGATAGCAATCTCAGAATTGCCATGTACAAGAATAAATAAAAGTAAATACCTTAAATGGGTAAAAAACATATGGGATTGGGGCCGGGCGCGGTGGCTCACGCCTGTAATCCCAGCACTTTGGGAGGCCAAGGTGGCTGGATCACAAGGTCAGGAGATCGAGACCATCCTGGCTAACACGGTGAAATCTTGTCTCTACTAAAAATACAAAAAATTAGCCAGGCGTGGTGGCGGGCGCCTGTAGTCCCAGCTACTCTGGAGGCTGAGGCAGAATGGCGTGAACCCGGGAGGCGGAGCTTGCAGTGAGCCGAGATTGCGCCACTGCACTCCAGCCTGGGCGACAGAGCGAGACTCTATCTCAAAAAAAAAAAAAAAAAAAAATGGGATTGGTTTCTTCAAGCAGTAATACAGGTAAATATGTAAATAGTGTCAGAAAGTTATTTTCATTAAGCTTAGTGACTAATAGGTGGTTATTTTAATTTTAAAAAATCATCCCAAGAAGTATGGGAAAAGCCCATTAAAATCACTAATGACCTCTCCCCACTCCAGGAATTCTAGCCAGTTTTCATGCTGCCCTTAAATAGGTGGTTACTTTTTAGATCCTTCTGTTTGCTTATTATTTGGATGACATCTTAATGATATCATCTCTCACAGTGAATCACCAATAATAGTGTCTGTCCTAACAGTGGGCTAGCAGGACCATGAGCCTGAGCCAGGATGGTTATTCTTGTATCCTTTCCTTGAAAAGTGTATAATTTTACTCAAAATTCTTTCATTGATGAATTCGAGAGGAAAAATTGACCAGGGTGTTTTATGATACTACTTTTTATGTATAAAGCTCAGAACAAAAGTTAGATGCAGGCTTTTATTAATATTTGTAATAAACATTTAGGCAGAGGTCTTTAACTTAGGGTTCAGAATGGTCTTTGTAGGGGGCAGTCCATGAACATATACAAACTGGGTATAAATCTTGTTTATCTGTGTTTTTTTGTGCTATAATTCTGTAGATTGTATCAACTTAAAGGAATTTTGGCCCCAGTAAAAATTTAGAGTTACTGATTTAGAGAAATGAATATAGGAAAGGCATTTTTCTTGTTAGGAAGTTTTTTGCATGAGTTAGCATAAGAATATTCTAACTTTAATGTTTCTTCTTTATAGGTATTGTACTGATGATATGCTGCAAAGAGAAATGATGTCCAATCCTTTTTTGGGTAGCTATGGGGTCATCATCTTAGATGATATTCATGAAAGAAGCATTGCAACTGATGTGTTACTTGGACTTCTTAAAGATGTTTTACTAGCAAGACCAGAACTGAAGCTCATAATTAACTCCTCACCTCACCTGATCAGCAAACTCAATTCTTATTATGGAAACGTGCCTGTCATAGAAGTGAAAAATAAACACCCTGTGGAGGTTGTGTACCTTAGTGAGGCTCAAAAGGATTCTTTTGAGTCTATTTTACGCCTTATCTTTGAAATTCACCACTCGGGTGAGAAAGGTGACATTGTAGTCTTTCTGGCCTGTGAACAAGTAAGTAAGTGATACTCTAACCTTACAGTAATAAGGTATTTCATTTGGGAAGCTTTTAATAACTAACATACAGGTTTCAGTTTGCTAATTAACTGTTTAAATATTTGGTTTCATCACACCTCATTAAATAAAACCTGTGCTGAAAGGAGAACAGGAAGTGTTTCTAAAATCACATGCAGTTCTGAAAACAAAATATGGGTGAGGAGTCTCTAGACATGATCTCCAGAGCCAACTTCCCTCCAGCAGGCTCAGGCCAGAGAGTGGCTGCCCCAAAGGCACAGCTGGCTCTATTTATGCTTGCTGTGAATTGTCTCTTGGTACAGTAGGTGCATGCCGACTCCCCTGACATTCTCCACTGCCTCCCTGTGAGCAGGTGTGTTTGTTGGAGATCAGGACTATTACCTAAGCACTCACCATAGAGTTAAGTAACACAACATTTCCCACAAGCAGTCCTGTGATAGTCAGTGGAGTATGGGCAGAAAATATAGCCCACCCGAAAAGGTCATCTCCCTGGACTGGGGCTCCATTCTTAAAAGATTAAAAAAAAAAAAAAAAAACAAACAAACAAACAAAAAAAAAAACCTTTAACTCAGATTTCTTTAAAACATCTCTTTAAAAGAATGACTGGAAATGTGCAATCAAGCATCATTTCCATTCTGTTACTGCTTTTAGACAGCCAAGGTACCATTTGGGGTTGCATTTTTTTTTTAAATTGCAGCTACACTGGCCCTATTTCTTTCCCCACTACTCTGTTGGCTGAATCTAAAAGCCTCCAGGATCTCCAGAATTAGACCTCTCTTCATGGAGACTAATTGCCTGGCCTTTTTTCCCTGTCTTCTCCCACAGAGAGGAGAAGCATGAGTTTTTAGACCATGACCCATATATGTAGTGGTTCTACTCATTAAACAGAAACCAAAAAGGAAATTATTTGATGTAGGCTGAGCCACAGCTGAACAGATAAGTGGCTCAGCTGTCTGTCAGAGCCTTTTCTTGAACATCCACATATTTCAGAAACACTTTCAGAAGTATTTATTCTATTTTATACTCAAAGCATAAAGGATGACAGCTCCTTCTGGCTTTGGGAACTTTAGTTTTCTTAAATGTATCTGTTTCTAGAACCTCAATATGACTGCATATTTATCATTTTTTGTATGTATATGATATACATTCTCTTGAATAGCAAATCTGCCTATTACAGTGATTTATTCTGTTATCATCTCATCCTGCATGATTCAAGATATTCAAGAAAGTCCTGAGGAAAATAATAAAATGATTACGGAGACATAGGATTTATGAAAACAGTTGGAGGTTCTCAGTGTAAACAGATGAAGCCTAAGGAAGGGAAGAATGGCAAATCTAATATATTTGAGAGTCAGAATTGCCAGGTGAAAAACAGGACGTAGGCCGGGCACTGTGGCTCACACCTGTAATGACAGCACTTTGGGAGGCTGAGGCGGGAGGATCACGTGAGGCCAGGAGGTTGAGACCAGCCTTGACAACATAGCAGGACCCTATCTCAACAAAAAAATTAAAAAATTAGCCAGGCATGGTGGCTCAGGCCTGTAGTCCCACCTACTCAGGAAGCTGAGGTGGGAGGATTGCTTGAACTAAGGAGTTTGAGGCTGCAGTGAGCTATGATTGCACCACTGCACTCCAGCCTGGGTGACAGAGCAAGACCCTGTCTCTAGAAAAAAAAAAAAAATGAAAAATTAAAAAAAAAAAACCAGGATATACATTTCTGCAAGAAAAAAATGCAATTAAGACTGATAGGATGGGTGTAATCCTTCAAGTCAGGGTAAGCAAAAATTCCTAAATGGATTTGGAAATGGATTTTGGATCTTGGAAAATAAAGCTCATAACAGAACTGAGGTGCAGATGGTCTTAGAGTACATGATTCTTATAAGTTTAATATAAACTATAATTAATTGTAGAGTGACTTTTGAACTGTCAACTTTAGAACATGCATCATTATCCAGGCTGGTAGTAGAAACTGTAAATGCCACAGGACTTGGAGAGGTATGTAATTTCCCCTGAAGGCAGGCTGGAAAGGCATTCCTATTAAGAAACCATCAGTCTTGCAGTCTTAAAGTGAGAGTGCCATGAAAGCTACCAGAGGATTTTGTAATTCTGAGCCTCTGTGACCCAGGCGGAGCACTGGACCCTCTAAAGGTGAGCTCCTCATTGTTCAGGGGCTCAACAGCCGACCTGCCCTGTGGGTGGGGCAGCAAGCCAGCCACTGACATTGGGCTGGCTTCAGCAGACTTTACCTGGGCACCAGGTTTCTTTCTCCTGCTTCAGCCTTGGATTCCACAGGTGTTATCTGGTTTTCCTTACCCCATCTACTGCCTAACAAGCAGAACACCATTCAGTATACTGATGGACTTTTCTTTTTTACTATTTTTGTCAGGATCCCTCATTAAGATTCTCATCTCTTATGGATTGGGATTTGTGTCTTGGAAAGATTTGTCTTGCACCGAAATCAGTGCTAACAGCTATTGATCATTTCCCCCCATGCTATTTGATGCTTTCTTGATTTCTATATAAAGCTTTAAAACCTACCGTAGCACTTAAATATCATGTGAAAACAAACTCAACCAGTCTAATACAAATGTATTAATTGTCATTTAAAATTTGTATTTATTTACTTAGAGACAGGACCTCACTATGTTGCCTAGGCTGGAGTGCAGTGGTGTGATCTTGGCTCAGTGTGACCTCGAACTCCTGGGCTCAAGCCATCTACCTCTTCAGCCTTCAAAGTAGCTGGGATTACAGGTGTGCACCAGTATGCCCAGCTAGTTTTTGTTTTTTGTTTTTTTTTTGGTAGAGACGGGGTCTAACTATGTTGCCCAGGCTGGTCTTGAACTCCTGGCCTCAAGCAGTTCTCCTGTCTTGGCCTCCCAAAGTGCTGGGATTATAGGCATGAGCCACTGCACCCAGCCCTGCCATTTTTTATATTAAGAAGTATGTTTTAAATTACAGAAATATTCTCAAACATTTTGGTGAAACGGCAGTGCATTTGCCTTAGGTGTGTCACATTTTCTCCAGCCACTTGCCTAGCACCACACCTGCTGTGAATTAATCTCTGTGATTCACAGGCTGCCCTGTGTCTTGGCACTTAATTGAGACTTAGAGCCCTGAATGTTTAGCGTGTTGTTTCCTATCACCTAGCTGTCTTTTAACCGGAAGACAAAATATGAAATAAGCAGAAAACATACATTGAGATTTACGATAATATGTAGCCAGATTACTGTACAGTAATAAACTATCACAAAGGTGTTTTTAGGTTGGAGGTTTTCCTGGGAAATGTTTTATGCAGTTGTGGATCTTCTTTCATTTTTGGTGAGCTAGATGTCTGCTAGATATCGTCCTTCAGTGGGTGTTGCTGTTTTCCGTAACTGTGCAGGTAGTTATAGGAAAGTTATGCGTATGTAAATAAACCACATACATTGAATAAGAATCAAGGAAATGAATAAACAAAATGTCTGAAGTACCAGATGCACATTTTTTAAAGCTTTTCTGCCCCAAATTCTGCAGATTATGGCCTTAAAGCCCTGTATCAGCTGTGCTTGAGGAGCCTAAACTATTTATCTATTTCTGTTTTGCTCTGCTTTTTCCCTTCTGAAGATTTTAAAAATTCTTTTTTATTGCCATTTGGAACAAAATTCAACATTAGAACCAACTTACAAGACAGCCAAAATAGCTCAGTGAGAGAGCATTAGACCGAAGAATTCACCTATGACTAAAAAGTTTTAGCAGCTAGAACCAAATAAAGAATTAGTGGCCATAATTATTTTTCCCACATCTTCTAGGAGAATAAAAGTAAATATTTCAGTGCAATAAAAAGTTTATCTTGGGCCAGGTGCGGTGGCTTACGCCTGTAATCCCAGCACTTTGGGAGGCCAAGGCAGGCAGATCATGAGGTCAGGAGATCGAGACCATCCTGGCTAACACGGTGAAGCCCCGTCTCTACTAAAAATACAAAAAAAATTAGCCGGCCATGGTGGTGGGCACCTGTAGTCCCAGCTACTCGGGAGGCTGAGGCAGGAGAATGGCATGAACCTGAGAGGCAGAGCTTGCAGTGAGCTGAGATCGGGCCACTGCACTCCAGCCTGGGCAACAGAGCGAGACTCCATCTCAAAAAAAAAAAAAAAAAACAGTTTATCTTGATAGGAAATTGCTCATGAATGGGCTGCTGGAATCAAATACCCCTTTCCAAATCCAGGTTAGCTGTTAAGTTGCACCAGTGAGAAGCTTGCTTGATGGACTCATCTGGGAGGAATGAATGCGTGTCCTCCTAAGGCCAAGCAGCAGCCAGGTTCAGGGGATGCAGCTCAGCTCAAGTACTCATTCTTTTCCTTTTAATTTCTTTTTTTTTTTTTTTTGAGACGGAGTCTCACTCTGTTGCCAGGCTGGAGTGCAGTGGCACGATCTCGGCTCGCTGCAACCTCTGTCTCCCGGGTTCAAGTGATTCTCCTGCCTCAGCCTTGTGAGTAGCTGGGACTACAGACGCATGCCATCATGCCCAGCTAATTTTTGTATTTTTAGTAGACAGGGTTTCACCATGTTGGCCAGGATGGTCCCAATCTCTTGACTTCATGATCCGCCCGCCTCAGCCTCCCAAAGTGCTGGGATTACAGGCGTGAGCCACCACTCCTGGCCTTCCTTTTAATTTCTAAACAATCCTTCCTTAATATGTGGAGTAAAATGAAGTAATCAGAATTATAAGAATGGAGAAAACGTTTTGTTCTCATTATTCCAATTGGCAAGTTTTCACTCATTAGGATCAACAGCCATGCTGTTTGCTTGGTAAAAAATCTGCCCCAAGTAATTCAATTATATGTGGAAAAAGGAAGTGCAAGCAAGGGACCGTACCTGTGTACCAGCTGATGTGGGACCCCCTGGAGCGGCCTCTGCCCAGCTTCCTGGGAGCCACTTAGCAGACCAGGAAACGAGCACAGCTCACCTAGTTCTCAGTGACCTGTGATACCTTGCTATTTTTCTAGATGGATCTGTCTTCCTACAAAACCCTTGAGTTAATTCAATCCCATTCTACAAATGGTATGGAAAGGAAAGAGACATAAGCTAGAGACCTAGAGAATGGAATTGAGCTGTAAAAACTATGGCAGTTGTGGGAAGTCATCTTTTTTACTTAGATTTTTAGTGAAATCTAACAAAATTAAATGGGAAAACAATATAAATTATATTTAACTTCCCCAAAGACGTTTTCTCATTTAGGTGCATCTTTACTTATTTAAAGATACATGTAGGCAGCAACACAGGGATTTCTTTCCCTGTATCTGTTACGTAGTATTGCCTAAAATTTTTTGTAATTCAGACATTTTTTTAATAGTGATGTTGTTTGCATTGTATTTTATTTTCATGGGTTTTTTTTTCTTTAGGATATTGAGAAAGTCTGTGAAACTGTCTATCAAGGATCTAACCTAAACCCAGATCTTGGAGAACTGGTGGTTGTTCCTTTGTATCCAAAAGAGAAATGTTCATTGTTCAAGCCACTCGATGAAACAGAAAAAAGATGCCAAGTTTATCAAAGAAGAGTGGTGTTAACTACTAGCTCTGGAGAGTTTTTGATCTGGAGCAACTCAGTCAGATTTGTTATCGATGTGGGTGTGGAAAGAAGAAAGGTAATTATTATTGAGTAGGCTAAACAGACTGCTGATCGTTGTCAAGCACTAGTTTCTCAGTTTCCTACCATTTTACTGATCAGGAAGTGAGGATGAACTATGTGACCTGGGGATTCGTTGAATTTGGTCATGAGTGCAAAGAAGAATTATTGCAGCCAGTAACAAAAGTCTTGATTCCATTAGCATGTTGGAGGTTTGGAAATGAATTAAATTGATTGAGCTGCCAAAGGAGAAAGTTTTGAGGGAAGACTCAACTACTAGAGCATAAAGGTGATAGTCATCTTTAATAGTATTTTTTCTTTAGCTAAGGTACTAGCAAAGCAAATTGTTTGACTCTTAAACTGATCTCTTCTTATGAACAATTTACTGGATTTTTTTGATAGCCCCTTTATCAGAGTAATTAGTATCTTACCCCAGAGAACTTACTAGAAACTTGTTTCAAGTATACTGACTTTAATTTTAGCAAATTTTGGCTTATAATTGACGATAAAATTTTCATCCTAATCATTACAAAATATTCTTTATTACTTTTAAATTAAAAATTAGAAAAAATGAAAACAAGGTATCTCAAACTCTGAAAGACACTGAGACTTCAGAAAATCCTAACATTTGAGATCTCAAACGAAACTAACAAATATTGACTAATTTACCATTACTAGGTGCCGAGATGTTTTATCCCTCCAGGAGACTATGAGCCTCCTAAATATCCCTGACTTATTATGACAGAGCAATTCCAACAGTCATGAAGGTTCCCTGGAAATCACTTAGAGTTGATCTTGATTGAATTAGTCCAGCCTTCAGAGAAACCAGGGCTGTCACTTGCCCCCGTGAACCACCTGTAAGGAAAATCATTGTTAGTGCCATACGCAGTTTCTGTATTAGCTGTTATGATTGGAACTCTCAGTATGTGTTGTAAAGGTGAGACCACCAAGATCCTGGTTGATTTGAACAAAACTATAAAGAAACATGGCACTATCAGGTGAGAACCCTTTCTCTGTGTGACATATGAGCATATGTTATCATTCACCAGTACAGTGCTTTGAGAAGTGACAGTGCTAGTATTTCAGCAGATGACACAAAGGTCTCATAGTTATTGAAGCCACAATGAAAGCAGACAACCTTTAAATCCATTTATCAAAGCACTTGCAGTTTCCATCTCAAGGCAAGTGAAACAATAATAAATATCGTGCAAAGAAAATGAGTCTGTGGCAGTGCATTTCATGGAGTAAAGTACTGCGCAGCATATTCTCTTCAGGATCAGTGAGCCTACTGAATCATGACTTATCTGACGCTAATGATGCTGTCTTTCCATTTAAAGGTGTACAACCCGAGAATAAGAGCAAACTCGCTCGTCATGCAGCCCATCAGCCAGAGCCAGGCAGAGATACGCAAGCAGATTCTTGGCTCATCTTCTTCAGGTAGTGCTGTGGACACAAATACTAAATGTTGTCAATTCTTGTATGCAGGCAACCCAGAAATATTAAAGCCATTTTTCTTGGTGTCTTTTAGGAAAATTTTTCTGCCTGTACACTGAAGAATTTGCCTCCAAAGACATGACGCCACTGAAGCCAGCAGAAATGCAGGAAGCCAACCTAACAAGCATGGTGCTTTTTATGAAGAGGATAGACATTGCGGGCCTAGGCCACTGTGACTTCATGAACAGACCAGGTAGCCTTATGCTCCCATGTCAGCCAGGCATTAGGCTGAGATTCACCTTCTCCTGCCCATTCTCTGTCCTGAGTTCACATGATGCGCAGCAATGCACACAAGCATGGAGGGGGCGTTGGTTTGGACTGAAGCATTTTCCTGCTAGAGGTAAACATTCTCTGAAGGTAATTTTTAAAACCCCACAAACCTCTAGGAAATAACTGTTCTGACACGAGAAATGTGTCTGCTGTTGGACACTGCAGCACAGGGGAACTGGGCTTAAGGAGCTGGGTAATGTGGAGTATGGAAGCGTAAGGGTGAATCAGCAGAAAGAAGAATTCTCAGCAGCTTGAATTGTCCTTTTTTCTTTTCTTTTTTTTTTTTTTTTTTTTTGAGACAGGGTCTTGCTCTGTTGCTCAAACTGGAGTACAGTGGCGTGATCATAGCTCACTGCAACCTCCACCTCACAGGCTCAAGTGATCCTCCCACCACAGCTTCCCAAATAGCTGGGACCACAGGTGCAAGCCACCACACTTATTAATGTAGATTTCCTTTGTAGATGTAGATTTCTTTTACAAAGTGACAGCTTTTCAGAGCTAGTCCTATGTCTGCAGTTTCTCAGAATAACCAGCTCAAAATATGCCAGAGAAGTATATTTTGGGGTGGCATATTCTAGTCTCCTCCAGTCATATTTTGGGGTGGTGTGTCCTGAGCCCCAACAAGATAGGTTTCATTTTTGAAAATTGCTCTTCCAGTCCCACTGTTCATCTCATAAGCCCAGGAATCACCACCTGTTGATTTCCTAGGCATCTTCTTGCTCAGGGTAGTAGATGTTTGGTGGACTAGAAATGCAGGGAGAAGAAAAGGAAGGCTTGGTGATGTCAAGGATTTTTAAAAGCAAACTATCTCACTGTGTTCTCTCAATAGTCACCCTCTGTGCTGCTCATTCCATGAGGCTTAAAGCTGATAACTGGGGGACAAAAGGGTTAGGGTAACAATTTATTTTTGTCTCCTGACAATACACACATAACTTTTCTGCTGTGCTTGGGGAAAATATAACTGTGGATTAATTCTGACTCATTGTTTTGGAAGCAAAAAAAGAAAAAGATGCTCGCAGCTGCTGCATTTAATTCAACTTATAATTGAAATATGCAAATCCAGCAAACTAGTTACCCTTTTCAGGATGCATGAACCATGTGAAAATGAATTTGGCATAACTAGGCTACAGGCTGTTAATTGAATTCCCCTGATCTGGACCTCTTTTTAAAAAATCAGTTGTATTTTTCTTCCTTGGCTGCCTGACAATTGACCTCCATCCTGAATGACACAGTCACTGTCCATTGGGGTAGGAGGCCTCAGGACCAGCTGACCACTTCAGTGGAAACAGATGGCCTGAGACTGCCGCTACCCTGGGAAGGCAGTGGTACCTAGATAGAAATTTGGAGAAAAACTAGCCAAAAGGTACCAGACTACACCAGAGGTCATCTTTGTATTCAGAGGCAGAACTCATTTTGGTAGTAGCCAGATGACTGGCTTTGGTATGATCTATGATTCTTTGGATTATGAAAAGAAAAGTGAACCCAAACACAAACAGGCATGGCACGTTAGATAAGGCAACGCCTCATGAAAACAGGGGAAAATGCAGGAAGAAAATAAAGTTGCTGGGCACAGTGGCTCACGCCTCTAATCCCAGCATTTTGGGAGGCCGAGGTGGGTGGATCACCTCAGGTCAGGAGTTCAAGACCAGCCTGACCAACGTGGTGAAATCTCGTCTCTACTAAAAACAAAATTAGCCGGGCATGGTAGTGCATGCCTGTAATCCCAGCTACTTGGGAGGCTGAGGCAGGAGAATCACTTGAACTCAGGAGGTGGAGGTTGCGGTGAACCAAGATTGCGCCATTGCACTGCAGCCTGGGCAACAAGAGCAAAACTCTGTCTCAAAAAAAAAAAAAAAAAAAAGAAAGAAAGAAAAGAAAGTCAAAGGCTGCAGAGGCCAGGGATGGCTCTGGTGAAAAGAGGAATTAAAGATTCTGCAGGGCTGGGCATGGTGGCTCACACCTGTAATCCTGGCACCTTGGGAGGCTGAGGTGGGAGAACTGCTTGAGGGCCAGGAATTCAAGACCAGCCTGGGCAATATAACAAGACCCCATCTCTACAAATTTTTTTTTTTTTTTTTTTTAATGAGCCAGGTGTGGTGGCATACGCCTGTAGTACTAGCTGTTTGGGAAGCTGAGTCAGGAGGATCACTTGAGTCCAGGGTTCAAGGTTGCAGTGAGCTATGATCGTGCTACTGTACTTCAGACAGGGTGACAGAGCAAGACCCTGGTTCAAAAGAGAAACAAAAGATTCTACAGTGGTGTCATCTGTTGTGATGGTGCAGATCTTTCACCAGAGGATTCCTAAACCAATTCATCAAGACCTTCTGGAATAGTATTTACCACACTAAAAGCCCAGTTTGTAAGAATACTAGAGAAGTATATGCGCTTGTTTGTAAATCACTTGGAAACTCAAGATTTGGCTTTGGAATTTACAAAATGATCTTTAAATGTTAACGTAACATTTACTATACTATATATAACATTTACATGTACTAAGAGGAGAATGGGAGGAAGCAGGCTGCCAACGGCCCTCACATGTGGCCCTCCCCATAGCTCTGCCGCAGTGCCTGACACCTACCGGCAGGACTGGCACTGCCCAAACAGCCCAGAGAGTCGAGCAAATATTCTAGCATGACTGTCAGGAGGCCACAGCCTAGGTTTTTAAGTTAATGAAGGTTACACTATTATCTGTTTAAAGGCTACACAAAAGTTACTACTATACTCAGATGAGGGGGTGTGAAAAAGAGACGCAAACATGCCAAAACAACTTTCCAGGGCCAGTGTGTGAGGATCTTGGAAACAATAAAGTAAATAATGTTACAGAAAGTGAAAACAAAATCCAGGAGAGGTTTTAAAGGGCCCAGAATGGAAGTACTTTTGGCTCCTGAAGCCCTTTAGGCTCTTGTGGGCCTGGGAACTATATGGCTTATCATTTAAGTTGATATGTTTTTGCGTGCAACAGTGCAGGCGGAAAGATGGCTGTGGCTCAGCAGGAGTGACCCCTCCCTGCTAACAAAACAAAACAAAACAGCAATTTAACTTAATGGAACCTGTTTATTTTGCGATGAATTCAGACAAACTGACCATGTCCCTGTGAACTTCATGGGACAGGGGCATGAATGCTATTAATGATTAAGCTGGGATGAAAGGTGGAAACAGATACTGCCCTGGGTAAACTGGGGTAGATGGTCCCCATATTGAGGGGACTATGCCAAAAGGCACAGGCTCTTGGGCCAGGCTGCCAGGGCTCCAAGCCTGGCCCCATCATTTGCTAGTGGGGTATTATTCAGTAAATTAGGACTCTCATTGCTTCACTTCATTTATCTGAATATGAGGATAATCAAAGCAATTGGTTCATAGAGTTATTAAGATAAATTAGTTAACATATGCATGCCCCTTAGAAAAGTGACTGGTGTATAGTAAATGCTATAGCACAGTCATCGTCTGAGTGACTCCTACCTGAGCTCTGCACCACAGGGGCCCTGAGCTGCAGAGGGTCCTAGAAAGAGCAGTTTTAATGGGTGTGAGAAGCAGATAATGACCCTCAGTTATTAGGAGACATCACCAGATTGCCTCTGAGATGGGCCGGAGCCAGGAAGAGCCATGGCAGATAACAGCAACAGCACTGGACTTGGGAGTCCAGCATCAGCTGTGCTGGCAGAGCATGCCAGGTGCCAGGTTCAACACTGCCGGTGGAAGGCCCAAGTTCAAAACCTCACTTTACATATGACAAAACAGCTGGGTGGCCATGTGGCTTTGGCAAGCCACTTGTCTTTTTCTCATCTGTAAAATTAGGGTAGAGTGTCTGCCCTCTTGTATCCTGGGGTTATTTAGAGGTACAAATGAGATGTTTATGCAAAATTGCCATGTACAGTGTAAAGGAGTAGGAGTTAGGCAAATGCCAGGTTTTGGGAACATGTCCCTGTGAAATTAAGTGAAGCAGAAGCCTTTCCTCCCTGTCCTCTTCAGAGCCAACTCTTAATGCTATTCCCCAGAGGCCCTAGACATTGTAGAGTCTTAGGGTCTACACCATCTCTTCATTCTTCAGTTTCTCCCCCTGTGGACTCTTTTACACAATGCCCAAGTCCCAACCCTAAAATAAATCAGAAACAGAAGCTTCATTTGCTCCTTCAGCCCTCCTAAGTGATAACTGCATTTTTCTCTGTCCATTTATGTAAATGTGTATATACATTAATGCAGGGGTCCCCAACCCCTAGGCAGTGATGGGTACCAGTTCGTGGCCTGTTAGGAACTGGGCCGGACAGCAGGAGGTGAGTGGGGGGCAAGCGAGCATTACTGCCTGAGCTCCACCTCCTGTCAGATCAGTGGCAGCACTGGATTCTCGTAGGAGCTCGAACCCTATTATGAACTGCACATGCCAGGGATCTAGGCTGCCCGCTCCTTATGAGAATCTAATGCCTGATGATCTGTCACTGTCTCCCATCACCCCCAGATGGGACCGTCTAGTTACAGGAAAACAAGCTCAGGGCTCCCACTGATTCTACACTATGATGAGTTGTATAATTATTTCATTATATATTACAATGTAATAATAATAAAAATAAAGTGCACATGTAACGAGCTTGAATCATCTCACAACCATCCTCTCCACCCTCTGGTCTGTGGAAAAATTGTCTTCCATGAAGTCGGTCCCTGGTGCCAAAAAGTTTGGGGACCTCTGCATTAATGCATGTACCTGGCACACAGTAGGTACTATGTGAGTATAGCTCTTTTTGTTCTTCCCTATGCTACGTCCCTACCATTTGGAAGTTCCAGTGGCACTCTGGAAGCACTCTGTTATAGAATGCATTATGTTGCAGTGGATATATTAAATTCTTCTGAATGCAAGCACTAGTAATCCAGCTCAAACTAGCATAAGGAAAAAGTGAATTATGATAAGGGAACTGAGGTATCTTAAGAAATCCAAAACAAGTTTTTTAGTTTCTCATCCCTGTATCTCTAGGTTCCCCTCCCTCCCTCCCTTCCATGGTATGGAACTGGCAGTCCCAGAACAACCTAGAAAAATCAGGAAGAAAAATGCATGGGTTTTAAAATGACCATACAATGGGTGTTTTCTATATGAGTAGTTAGCTGGCATTATGCAAATGTGTAGAGTCTCCCCCTGTGGACTCTTTTACACAATGCCCAAGTCCCAACCCTAAAATAAATCAGAAACAGAAACTTCATTTGCTCCTTCAGCCCTCCTAAGTGATAACTGCATTTCTCTCTGTCCATTGATATAAATGTGTATATACATTAATGCAGGGGTCTCCAACCCCCAGGCCGCGATGGGTACTAGTTAATGACCCGTTAGGAACTGGGCAGAGTCTTAGCTGCTCTCTGCCCTAAGCTTTATGATTTACTATGTCAGCTCCTGGAAACTCCCTTGGTCTAAAGTCGAAAACGCCCAAGAAAGGGAGCCATTGATTCTATTTGAGAAGCTGCCCACCCTGAACCAGTCCCCTGTGACTGGGGTTAGTAGTGATAATGTGGTGTTGTCACGTGGCACAAAATCCTGTCCTATAAGTATGGAAGTGAAGGTACAGTTCCTATAAAAGGGGACAATTTGGAGGTAAAAGTGCATTTCCAGTAGAGCAGGATTCTTGATTTACGTGTGCATCTCCATATATAAATGAGACCATCCATGCTAGAAGGGCCAAGAGTGAGGCTGTCCCAGATGTGTGCCTGCCCCAGAGCCTTGCCAGTGCCAATAGCACAAGATACTCAAAACAGACTGAGAGCAAATAATAATTTGAGCCTCACCCTTATGAGGAAATCATGAACCAACACCAAACATAAAGTCCTTTAACTACTCATATAGAAAACACCCACTGTATGGTCATTTTAAAACCCATGCATTTTTTTTCCTGATTTTTCTAGGTTGTTCTGGGGCTGCCAGTTCCATACTATCTAACTACAGTGCCAACTCTTGTTTAAAGATAGTTCTCTATAATGGTATGAGGGTGGGGAGAGTCTTCAGCTAGTCACCACTACAAAAACCTGGGGCCAGCTTCCTGGCTGTAAGAACAGTTACTGGGAGTGGAGACCGTTGGTAATTTGTGAAGTGGCAGAACTTTCCCAATGCCCTTACGCTTGAGGAATACTGACTAGACAGGTGCCCTCTAGAAGGCCGATAGTCTTCCCCAGAACATGAGCAAAGGCAGTCACGTGTGGGAGACAAATTCAGCTTCCTTCCCCACTTAGTCCTTTCTGAGGCCTGGGCGGTGGGAGTGATGTGACATGCAGGGAGAGTCGAGAGGATCAGGAGGTGCCTGTGGCTGTCAAAGGTCTGCGTGTGTTTCCTTCCATGTCACGGGCAGGAGCAGAGCTGGCGTGTGAGAGGTCTTCAGGCACAGCTAAGCTCGGAGGAGCTGGCCTCCGCCTGCCTCACGGTGCGGGTGGCACTGGGAGGGCAGTGGGGATACTGCCATTACCCGAGAGCCCTGCCCAGGGCAAGGCTGGACAGAAGGATCTTGGCTCCCGCCAGTGGGCAGGGAGTTGAAAATGCTTTTCTTCAGTTTACCATGGAGGCCACTCTATCTCTAACATCCTTTCCAACTCTAATGACTCAAATCCAGCCTTACTTCTCTGCTCTTATTGGGAAGAAAGGGGGTTAAGGAGTGTGGTGGAAGGAGAGGGAATGGCCCTGGCTTTGGGGACTGGTTACCAGGAGACCCCCTGCCCTATCCTCGTGAAAATACATGTCCACTTTAGACAAGAGAAGGCATGATGTTCTCTCTCCTATGCATATTCCCAGGAATAATTGCAGACTAAAACTTTTACCTGTAGGAAAGTACATATAAATATGTTGGCATACATTTGCATAATGTCAGCTACCTTGAGAGGAAATTCAGTGTTTCTGAGCCATTTTTGCCAGATTAGGCAGAAAGTAGGCCAAAGATTGTTATAACAAAAGAGACCTGGCTGGAGGAAGCCTCCTGAGCACCTGAGTAGACAGACTTCCTGTGAGGGTTTGGGAGCCAACCGAGGCTTCCTACCATCTGACATCTATAAGAACACTATAAGAACATGGGAAACATGCCGCGTGGGGCTGTCAGCTCTGGAACTGCCGTGGCCTTGGACTCCACTTGGCCTGTGCTCAGCTTGGAGTTAGCGCTGCATCGGCTCCTCCTCTGCTGGTTGCAGTTTAATGACCTCTTTGTAACTAGGTTTTCTACTGATGCCAAGGAAGGAAAATGCAGGCACATATTGGAGCTTGGCATTTGGGGTTCCACAGAAAACAGGCACACAGAACAGTGAAGAAATACTGTAATGATAGCCCTTCACATTACTTTGAGTGATGGTAGTGGAGGAGGAGTGTGACCTTGCAGTGAGCTATTCCACAGGGAGTACAGCTGCCGCTGGCAAGCGAGCTTAATAAAGATGATGTTTGGTTCATCTCAAAATTGCCTTCAGAATAAAGCAGTCTGATTTTGCACTGCCAGAACAAAGAGGCCTGACACTAAAACACTTCCATTCCATTTGTTAGCGTTACTTACTATGGATTATACTTAAGCAGCACTGCCCTAAAGAACCCCCATATAAACTCTTCTGCTTTTTAGCTAAGCAAGTTTATGGGCCACACTGGGGAGATAAAATGCAGAATATAATATTAGCAAATCCTATTTAGTTATTTATTAATGTTCTTCACCTGTGTAATCTGCATTCATTAACTCATTCTTTCTAATATAATAAAACCCCAAGAACATCCTCTCCTTTTCTGTTGTAGGACCAGGAGCAGAATCATGAAGTCATTTATGTTACTAACCCTGTGTGCGGCCAACTCAACTCCAGGGTGTAAAAATGAATAGTAGGTGCCCTTTGGGGACAGAGCCTGGCTGTCAAGCCAGATGCTTAAAGGGACCATTGCCAAAGATCCTGTAACTTATAATGCAGCAGCTTTGCTGATTTATAGAAACTGGTTTCTGAAAAGCTTTCAGTAGTTAAGTTTGTACTCCAGCCCCTTCCTGCTCTGTTTAAGATGCTTATTTCTGATGCTGCTTCTTGTACCTTCTCCAGCAGATCGGCTGTTACTTTTCATGTCATGCCTCACTGATAGAACTCTTGAACTTTTTTTCTGAATAGCCCATCTGTTTATTTCCCATGATTGTGATTTCTCAAGGTCATGGTTAGTCCAAAGGTCCCCAAGAATGAACAAGTAAGACGGTAATGCTGTATGTCAGGACCCAGGCAGGACAGGAATATCTCTGAGAAGCCATAAGCTTCTGCTCAGTTTTAAATCTTGATGGGAAAACATTCAGAATAGGGAAATTCAACATATTTGCCCCAAGGTAAGGATGAAAGCCTTGCTTCAGTACTCCAGCGGATGTCTGGGTTCCCTGCAGATTTCCCTTGGGTGGTTTGGCACTGCCCCCTCACTCCTAGTAGCAGATCTTTTGCCTGTGGTGGGCGCGTCAGGCTGAAGTTATATCTGGTGCTGGCTCCGCTGTCCTCCAGCAGGACTGGAGGTGTGGTAGGCTGCATCGCAGCTTCCCTGAGTCATTTCCCAGCCTACAGTAGTGGCTTCTAATGCCTTCCAGTTGTCCTGACAGGAATGGAGGAATTTTATCAAATCGAAGTTTGTGAGTAGGTTTTTTTTTTTTTGAGACGGAGTCTCGCTCTGTCGCCCAGGCTGGAGTGCAGTGGTGCCATCTCGGCTCACTACAAGCTCCACTTCCTGGGTTCACGCCATTCTCCTGCCTCAACCTCCCGAGTAGCTGGGACCACAGGCGCCTGCCACCACGCCCGGCTAATTTTTTGTATTTTTTTAGTTGAGACGGGGTTTCACCGTGTTAGCCAGGATGGTCTCAATCTCCTGACCTGGTGATCCTCCCGCCTCGGCCTCCCAAAGTGAGGTTTTTGAGCTACTCAGTTTGCCTGAAATTTAGACATAGAGCTTAATGATCAAAGTTTAGACAGCACATAAGAAAATTTTTACCATATGTTACTTTGAACTCCCAGGAGCAGACAGGTTCAAGCGCTTCTTAGGGCCCCAGAGTCTTCAGCCCCTGCCCACCTTGCACTTACTGGAACTAAAACAAAACCAACCTAGTGGCTCATAAATCCTGCAGTTTTGGGGTATAACAATACAGCAGCTTTCTATTATGGGATTTGCTTCATTGTGTGACCTGTATTGCTATACCAGGAACCAGAAGGGTGGACAAAACACATGTATTTATTTAATAAATATTAGGTTGGTGCAAAAATAATTGTGGTTTTTGCCATTGAAAGTAATGGCAAAAACCGCAATTACTTTTGCACCAATCTATATATAGCCTTATTCCACAAAGAGAATATATTTCTTTAAATAAATGGATTTTTAAAAACTTTGGTAAAGACTGAGCATATATAATACCACATCATTATCGATGTTACATAAACTTAAAAGAAATAAAGAGATGGAGAGAATCAGCTTGCTATCTTTATTTCTTTATTTGCACTGGGAAATAACATCTTTGTCTACTATTTCTAGCATCTGAGATCCAGGTCAGTTGTGATTAATTTTTCTCTGTATTATGCAATGTATTTTCCTGCTTTTCATGCCTCTCTACTGGATGCTAGACATTGTACATTTTACCTTCTTGGGCACTGAATATTTTTGTAGTCCCAGAGGTACTTTTGAGCTTTGTCCTAGGATGCAGTGTGATCCTTTCAGGTCCTGCTGTATAGCTGTGTCAGGTGGCAGTGCCCATCTAGGGTTTCTCACTTGTGTTTTCTACCCAGTGCCCCATAAATCATGAGGTTTTCCAGCTAGGGTGGTGGGAACAGGC
This sequence comes from Homo sapiens, assembly GCF_000001405.40. Lineage (NCBI taxonomy): Eukaryota > Metazoa > Chordata > Mammalia > Primates > Hominidae > Homo > Homo sapiens. Next base: position 125,842,445 of record NC_000010.11, on the reverse strand, counting down.
CCTACCCTAGGTCCTGTGTCAGCACCACTGTTCCTTCTAATCTTCTCACATGGCTCTTTCTCTGGCCTGAGGTGGTTCCTTACACACATGCGCTGATCAGTAGGGCTGTGCTGCCTAGTTGAGGGAGCTCCCTCTGGCCCCCGACTTAGATCTGTGTGTCTCTCTCCAGTACTGTGACCGCGAGTTCCGGCCACCTTAGTCTCCCTGGATCCCTGGCATTGTTTTCCTACTGCAGGGAGGCTGGCAGGCTCCACCTGGGTTCCCCCCGCATGCACACTGCAGCTGGGACCCTCCTCGGAGCATGAGCTGGACAATCACAGGGCTCCCCTCCTGAGTTTGCCCTCTCAAGAATCACTATCCTTCACTCCCTGGTATTTGGTGGCTTGCAAACCGTTGTTTCACATATTTTGTCCATTGTTTGCTTGTTTCATGCAGGAGGGAAAAGTCCAGTACCTGTTTCTCCATCTTAGCCATATGAGACTCTTAAATTATTATTTTTTTCCTTTCCTAGCACCAGAAAGTTTGATGCAGGCATTGGAAGACTTAGATTATCTGGCAGCACTGGATAATGATGGAAATCTTTCTGAATTTGGAATCATCATGTCAGAGTTTCCTCTTGATCCACAACTCTCGAAGTCTATCTTAGCGTCCTGTGAATTTGACTGTGTAGATGAAGTGCTAACAATCGCAGCCATGGTAACAGGTATCCTTAATGACTATTCCTTTTCTTTTTTTGCAAATCTGCACTAGGTATAGATTTAGATCGGATCCATTTGAAATTATATTTTGAGGAGCACAGAGCAGAGATAGTGATCAACTCATTTAACCTTTTGAAATGATAGTGAGGTATTTTAATAGGTTAGAAAAGGAAAATTTTCTTAATATGAAAAATTATCTTAAGAAAACTAACTCAAAGTTCAGCAAATTTATACATCAGATGTATGAAAACATACTAGATTTCTTTTGCTGAAATAATCAGTGCAGATGAAGAAAATGTGTCACTAGAGGTGTTTTTCCCCAAATAATGTTGTGTGCCTGTTTTTTATTTCCTATTGGCTTCATTCATCCTGGCTTGTATGTTTTAATTTATTCTAATACTGGGGGAACAGACCAACCATTGTGCTGTATCGGAACTGGTTCCAATCCTCTTCTTGTGTCTGGACCTCCAAGCACCTCAGGTTTTCCCTGCTCCTGCCGGAATAGAAGCAGGATATTAACCATATTCAGTTGACCTTAGAAAAGCAAACACACACACACAAAAGGAGAGGGAGAATTAGGATGACTCACTCTAAATTTCTGGGATTTCTAAGTAAACAAGAATAACATATTTATTCAGAGTACCAAGACAGGAGCCATGCCACTAACAGTCGTGACCCCTCCCCTCTGCATGTTAGGCTAAGATAAAATGTCTTCATTATTGCTAACCATGTGACCTTTTTCATTTTGAAGCTCCAAATTGCTTTTCACATGTGCCACATGGAGCTGAAGAGGCTGCCTTGACTTGTTGGAAGACATTTTTACATCCCGAAGGAGATCACTTTACCCTCATCAGCATTTACAAGGCTTACCAAGACACAACTCTGAATTCTAGCAGTGAGTGTAAGTGAATGCTCAGAAACTACCTATTAATTCCACCTTCCTTTCCCTAGATAAGTCTGAGTCCTTATTAGTTATTCATCAAACATTCTTCGCCAGCCCTACTGGCCACTTGAATGCAATGGCACTTGAGGCCCTAAACGCACCCACAGGCATCTGCAGAGTGGGAGATGCTCAGTCCCCCTGCTCCCACGGAGCTCTGGTGTGCCACCATGGCGGGCCTGTACTTCCAGAGCTCCAGGACTCCACTCAGCCAGCCTTCAGAGCAAGCTTGCTTGGGGCATGGTGACGGGGGACACAGACTCGTACATGGGTCTTTGGAGGAAGACAAGAACAGCCACCTCTACGTGCCCACTGTCAGAGTTGTGCTGTGCACCTTCCGTATCCTGGCACATTCACCACGTGCATGCAGAGAGGCTGCAGAGCTCCAGATACTAGTGCAGAATAGGTAGGCTGGGGTGCTGAGGGGAGGCTGCAGAGTTGCTGACGGAGCTTGATAGAGGAGAGCAGAGGGTGTCCAGAGAAGAGAATGGCGCATGTCAAAGCAAAGCCACAAAGTCCTTTGTATGCCTGAAGGGCAGTGGGTAGCTTACCTGTCACAGGAAGGTACTCAGAAGTCAACTGGAAGCTGCTATGCAGACAGAAACAAGAGGAGGGGGCAAACAGGGCAAAGCAGCATAGCAGAGGCTAGAGCCACCCATAAAGGGCAGCCAGTAAGGTCCCTCCCTGACATTTTCCATGAAGCATCTTTTACCTCCTTTGTTCTGAAAGATGGTGTGAAAATATGTGAAGTAGTGTGAAAAATATGACAGCAATTTGAAAGACAGAATTGTATAAAGAACAGGGAGTTAGTGTTTCAAAGCTGAGAAGAAAAAGTTGTCAGTGGAGCCAGCAGGTACACAGGAATCTGGTGGCACCTTTTGAGGGCATGCTGAATGGGTGACACTAAGTACATGCTGTGGTTGCTCCGAGCAGCATGAGTGGACAGGACAGGGTAAATGAGGGTCTTCTGTCCATGGTGCCATGGCCATGTACATTCCCAGGTCCATCTTAAGTAATTACAGGTGGCCAGAAAGACTAACTTCAAACTCACCCACATGCCTGAATTTTAAGATAAAAGTTACAGCTAGGGTAGATAGATGAGCTTAACTATAACATAATTAATTCCCAAATCAACCTGGTAGTAATCCTGTTCTTATCATTAAATAAAATATGAGATATTTTCATAGATCAGAGGAATTTATACTGTGGGCTTTTTCCTGCCTAGTTTGATTAAATGGGACCACATACATACATGCTGTATGCATAGAGACACAACATAGATCTTACAAAATCCTCTCTGGCCTTTATGAGCCACGGGTTAGTGAAATACATCTTCAGTCACCACTAGGAACAGTTTCCACAGTTGGCTGGGATCACAGAACCCCAGCAGGTGGCATGGGTGCTGTCGGTGGCACCGTCTCCCTTCCTGGTAGTGCCCTGACAGCTGACCTTGCAGCCACCAGAAATCCTTGTCCTTGCTGCCTTCCTGCCACTCACCTACGTGGCCTCCTTTGTAGGAGAGGAGAGCACAGGGCTTAAAGATGGCAACTGCCTGGCCTGGGCTCTTCAGAGCTTCTGACAAATCATTTCTAAATAGCCTTGTGTTCTTTCCCTCCTAGACTGTGTGGAAAAGTGGTGTCGTGATTACTTCCTCAACTGTTCAGCACTCAGAATGGCAGATGTTATTCGAGCTGAACTCTTAGAAATTATCAAGCGAATCGAGCTTCCCTATGCAGAACCTGCTTTTGGCTCCAAGGAAAACACTCTAAACATAAAGAAAGCTCTTCTGTCCGGTTACTTTATGCAGGTGAGAAGGGGTGGGGTCACCTCAGCATAGGCTCTGCTGAATTGCACATACTCAGGATATGCTGCCAACAATGGCTTAGGATGATGATTTTGACATTAAGTAAAACTAAAAATCCATGTTATTATTAAAGATTTGGTACTTAAGTATCCTTCCCCTCAAGGGAATAAAGGGCCAAGGCAGAATATGTAGTCTTAATGGAGAAAAATGACATATCATTATGGATTTCCTCATCTGTAAAGTAAGGTTCCTACATCACAGGGTCATTGCGTGCTACACACCAAGTGTAAAGCACTTGGCATTGGAGTGTATGTCGCCCATAGTATGGTGGGTAGCGTGCTAAGTTTCATCTCATGGCCAAAACATTAACCTCACAGCTGCACTGTTTTAGCAGTGCCCTGCTGTTGCTGAAGTTAGTTAACATCACTGTCTCAAAGTTTTAGGCAAAACATGCTTATGGCTTATTTTCTACATGTGAAAGTAGGAAACATGAGTGGCAAACGTTAGTTTTAACTATCCCGTATAAAATACTTTGGTATTTTTTTCAACAAACATCTTTGTATAATGATCTCCATATTAATACAAAATCTTTTTTCTTTAAAATTCTGCCTTTCAGATTGCTCGGGATGTTGATGGATCAGGTAACTACTTAATGCTGACACATAAGCAGGTTGCTCAGCTGCATCCCCTGTCTGGTTACTCAATCACCAAGAAGATGCCAGAGTGGGTCCTCTTCCATAAATTCAGCATTTCTGAGAACAACTACATCAGGATTACCTCAGAAATCTCTCCTGAACTGTAAGTTTAATGGAGAAGAAAGGGTTGTATTTTTTTTTTAATTCATACCTGTAGGAGTAAATGACAAATTTGGCTTTTATTCTTAGTTCTAAAGTTTATACTGATGCAATCTTAATTTACGTTGACAGTACCTACTAAGGGCAGGCCTCTGTGGATGATACCTAAGAAATGTCCCTGCCTGTTAGATTACAGCATAGAAAAGACAGTGTAGAAATAAAAACAAAGACCATGTGTCTTTAAGAAGGACAGAATGCTAGAGAAATGCACTGTATACAGGTGCATTGACCTTGAGAGGAATGAGCTTAGCCATCTTTCAAGAGCCACTGCAGTTGGAGCTGTCGGGGAAGAGGAAGGAGGGAAGGCTGAAGAGAGAGGCAGGCACCAGAAGGTGTAAGGCTTTATGGGCCACATAGTTTATATTTTATCTAAGTGCAGTACACAGCAATTGGAGCATTTTAAGCAAGAGTAGCATCTTCTCGATATAGTTTTAAGGATCACTGTAGCTGGCCAGGCACCTTGGGAGGCCAAGGCAGGAGGAAGATGGCTTGAGCCCAAGAGTTCAAGACCAGCCCTGGCAACATAGCAAGACCCCGTCTCTACAAAATAAAAAAATTAGCCGGGTGTGGTGGCATGCGCCTATAGTCCCAGCTACTTGAGATTCTGCGACAGAGGATCGCTTGAGCCCAGGAGGTCAAGGCTGCAGTGAGGTACTGTCACACCACCGCACACCAGCCTGGGAGACAGACCAAGACGCTGTCTAAAAAGAAAAAAGGAAAAATAACTGTGGCTGCTACATGAATGGAAAGGAGGGGCAATGGCAAGAGTGAGACTACTCCACTAGTCTTTGAGAGGCCAGTACAGAGTCTGGATCCATTTTGAAGGTTCCACTACTATTCCAGCAAGTAGTGTTCAAGGCAGCAACCAAGAGTGACTCATAGATGTCTGGCTTACGCAGCTGGATGTGGAGTGGTACTAGTTAAAATAAGAAGCAAAGATACCCCCTCTCTCCCCTACCCAAAGCTCTCTTAAGCATACGATTGGTGCCTCTTATATGGTGATGGGCCTTAGGGGAAATACTAGTTTCCACTAAAGGTTAGTGGTAGACAGCACTTCCACTGTGTGGCATAACACTAGAGAGGCCAACTTATTCTAGAAATGCAACAGGATTGGCTGCATAAAAAACAGAAAGTATTTATTTTACAAAGTCGGACTGAGATACTATCTGAGTTCAAATTAAATACCGGTTCTACAGGTAGATTCTCCAGGGATGGGAAGTGCCCAGACATAATGTTTGGTGTCTCTCACCACCTTCCCCACTCATAATCTCATCTTTTTGTCTTAAATAAACAGATTTATGCAGCTGGTACCACAATACTATTTCAGTAATCTGCCTCCTAGTGAAAGTAAGGACATTCTACAGCAAGTAGTGGATCACCTATCCCCTGTGTCAACAATGAATAAGGAACAGCAAATGTGTGAGACGTGCCCTGAAACTGAACAGAGATGCACTCTCCAGTGACTCCCCAGCAAACACAAGGTGCAGCAGGGTCCCAAAGGTAGCTGGATGGCTGAACTGCTGGATATGGGAGATACATGACGCGAAGACGGATTTCACATCCACAGGACGGTCTTGAAGAAAATAACACTGTGTATATTATTTTAAAATAAAAAATAGAAGTTTTTATTGAGTTCTTTAAATTACTACTCCATGCTTTTCTTCTTCTTGGAAAAGTTTTTAAATCAACCACTCATAATTTGACCAAAATTTTAAAAAACTGGTATTTTGTAAATGTGTCAGAGACACATGGGACAGAACCCTACTTTTTGTAGAGGAACTTAATCTGAATAAAGTCTGAGTTTTTCAGTAAATCTCCACTGAGTTTTCTGGTAATTTTACAAAAACAAGCCCATCACTGTCCATTGGAAATGGGTTAGACAGATAGATATTCTTTCAGTTTATCCATGATTTCGTTCATCTTGTCGCCTGGAATTAACATCACAGTTCGCAAGGGCGTCATTGGTACGTCATCAAAAGACCATTTGCCTCCCAGACAAGTGTCGCTCTCCTCCTGCACTGAGTAGTTGAACTTGAGAATTGCCTTCTAAACCAAATAAGTAACCATGAATTAAAAATCGGGACAACCCAAAGACAAAACCCATTTGATCTACGGCAAAGAATATTACGTTTGGCATATGCTTAAATAAGAATGAGAGCTAAAAAAAAGCAAAACTCAGAATTGAAAAAGTTCAAATGGGACATTCAGGCAGAAGTTATAAAACACAAACCAAGTAGATTTTAAACCCACATGAGGAACAGGGATAGAGGTGTGCAATTTCTAAGAGGTGAACAAGCAGCTAAGTGGTATTTTCATTTAATTGTCAAAATAATCTTGTGAAACATAATGAAATTAAGACTTGTAAAATTTGATATTTAACAAGAACTTGTCTTCAAACACTCTTTTCTCACTTTCTCAGCTGCTTCCTTAGCATCAGGCTTTTGTGTGAAGACAGAGTAAATCTGCATACCCCGCCATCTTAAAACACCCATACACACTCCCCCCAAATGGTCAACCTGAGGTGTTGAAGCATATGGTTTTGTTTTTTTTGTTTGTTTGTTTTTTTTTTTTGAGACAGAGTCTCACTCTGTCACCCAGGCTGGAGTGCAGTGGCGTGATCTCGGCTCACCGCAAGCTCTGCCTCCCGGGTTCACACCATTCTCCTGCCTCAGCCTCCCAAGTAGCTGGGACTACCGGTGCCCACCATTGTGCCTGGCTAATTTTTTGTATTTTTAGTAAAGACAGCGTTTCATCGTGTTAGCCAGGATGGTCTGATCTCCTGACCTCGTGATCCGCCCGCCTTGGCCTCCCAAAGTGCTGGGATTACAGGCATGAGCCACCGCACCCGGCCTATGTTTTTTAAAAATTATGTTTACTATTTACTTCCTGGAAAAGAAGGGCACAGCTAAATTTGTAGCGCTTTAGTCTTCTGCAGAAGTCTTCAAAGTGATGTGATATCATCCAATTCAGGAAAATATGTTCCCCTCAGAGATACACTTCAAGATTTTTTTTTTTCTGAGACAGAGTCTCGCTCTGTCGCCCAGGCTGGAGTGCAGTGGCGCAATCTCGGCTCACTGCAAGCTCCGCCTCCCGGGTTTATGCCATTCTCCTGCCTCAGCCTCCCGAGTAGCTGGGACTACAGGCACGTGCCACCACGCCCGGCTAATTTTTTGTATTTTTTAGTAGAGACGGGGTTTCACCATGTTAGCCAGGATGGTCTCGATCTCCTGACCTCGTGATCCACCCGCCTTGACCTCCCAAAGTGCTGGGATTACAGGCGTGAGCCACCGTGCCTGGCTCAAGATGTTTTTGTGTTTTTTGTTTGTTTGTTTGTTTTTGAGACGGAGTTTCTTCCTTGTTGCTCAGGCTGGAGTGCAGTGGCGCGATCTCGGCTCACTGCAGCCTCTGCCTCCCAGGTTCAAGCAATTTTCCTGCCTTAGCCTTCCGAGTAGCTGGGATTACAGGCATCTGCCACCATGCCCGGCTAATTTTTTTTTTTTTGTATTTTTAGTAGAGATGGGGTTTCTCCCTGTTGGCCAGGCTGGTCTTGAATTTCTGGCCTCAGGTGATCTGCCCGCCTCAGCTTCCCAAGGTGCTGGGATTACAGGTGTGCACCACCGCACCTGGCCCACTTCAAGATTTTTCAGAGGAAGAGAGGGTAAGAATATTCTCTGGTATATGGCTGTCCATCACAGTACAAGCTACCTTTATAGGAAAAAAATGCTGGAGATATCCCACCAGCAGGATGACATCCACGACTAAGGACACAGAGCAGCAGGGGTGCCCCAGCTTCCACACTGACCAGCTGTGTGATCGCAGGTAATTTCCCTCATTTCCCTATGCCTTAAAGTCCACATCTGTAAACCCCAGGCTAATGTCTACCTCTCCGCATGGTTTTAGAATGAAAGATTTCACAGGAAGCATATTATAAATGCCTAATCATTCTTAACAGGTTAATCACTTTTCTCCTCCTCCTCCTCATGCTCATAACCACAGTGCAGGCAAGGAGGCTGGTGCCTAGCCTCCTGAGTACCTACTATGCACCTGGCACTATGTTAGCTGCTAGGTCCTGTGGGGAAACAGAAAAACAGAGTAGCCACACTTGAAAGACTTGGACCTAAAGTGGGAGAACAATAAATCTTGATAAATCATTTTCAAGAAAATCCTTATTTACATCTAAACAAATAAGCAGGATAGTCTTACCTCATAGAAAAATTCTTCCTCTGCATTTGCAAACATTAACGCAGCTTTCTTTTTGTTGCTAGGTTTCTTTTTGGAATTGTTTTTTCCTGCTTCCACAAATGTCTTACTAATCAGAAGGTAAAAGTAGCACTTCCCACATGGCTTATTGGTTCTGTGTGCCCCCGCCAGTTCTTTCCTGCAAGGCACACACACAACATTTGTTTACCTGCTGGGTCAAGTGAAATCCATCAACAAACCAGAGCACAGAAAACCCGGTGAGGCATCTTCAGTGGGTTCTGCTGTGACGCAGGCATTCAATCTGAACACTTAGTCTACAGGAATGATTTTTATTTACATAATCAGTTGCATTTTAGATTATGTATTACTTTTTATAATACTATGATATATCTCTCAGATTATGCTGATTTGTGGATATATAGCAACTAACAGATCAGATGAGTCTCAAATTCACTCAATGTATCACTGCTCTGCCTGTGCATAAGTTAAAAATATATACGAATCTGAATTTTTGAATTTTTTAAAGCAATGAACATTTAACTGAAACACACAAAGGTATACAGCCACAACCAATGTCACTACAGCCTGTGACTACTACCACAGTCTCTAATTGCTAGAGTCTGGAACTAATTTCTGACATACTGCAGAAACTGCATAAACACACAACCTAAATTCTAGCAATGGAATCGCAACAAAGCCTTAATGTTTCTTCTTTCTGAAAATTAAACATAGCCTTGTGCATCTGGATGCCCTTGAACAAAAGAAGAAACTCAGAACAACCGTCCTCTTCAGCTTTCCTTTTTTTTTTTTTTCTTTTTTTCGTTTGGAGACAAAATCTCACTCTGTTGCCCAGGCTGTAGAGTACAATGGCACAATCTCGGCTCACTGCAACCTCTGCCTGCCAGGTTCACACGATTTTCGTGCCTAAGCCTCCTGAGTAGCTGGGATTACAGGTCTGCACCACCATACCCGGCTAATTTTTTGTGGGTGTATTTTTAGTAGAATTGGGGTTTCGCCATGTTGGCCAGGCTGGTCTCAAACTCCTAGCCTCAAGTGATCTGCCAGCTTCGGCCTCCCAAAGTGTTGGAATTACAAGTGTCAGCCACCACACCTGGCCTTTTCAAAAAAAAAAAAAGAAAAAAAAAAAGATAGGGTCTTGTAATTTTGCCCAGGCTGGCGTGCAGTGGCTATTCACAGGCACAATCATAGTATATTGCAGCCTGGAACTCCTGGCCTCAAGCATTCCCCCTGCCTCAGCCTCCTGAGTAGCTGCGACTACAGGCGTGCACCACTGCGCTTGGCTCACTTCAGCTTTAACAGGACTAGGAGAAAGCAAATCACCCTCCTATAAAACCAAATAAATGTGAGCTCCAGCTGATCAGAAAAAAAGAAAACCAAAAAAAAACAAAAACCACTTAAGGCACCAGAAGCACAATCTGAGCTACAGCTGAGAGAGCAGGGAGCAGGAGATAAGAAGCATCGAATCCCTAGGAAAAAACAGCAAACGTAAAGGTTTCCAGAGTAGAGTTGCATTCCTACAGCTATTTAAAGGAAAACCACAACGCAAGGGCTATGACCTCTGAGAAAGAATATTCTATAAAGAACCTGTCTAGGTCAAGTGCTGTGACTGACACCTGTAATCCCAACACTGGGAGGCCGAGGCAGGAAGATCACTTTAGCCTAGGAGTTCAAGACCAGCCTGGGCAATGTAGCAAGACCCTGTCTCTACCAAAAAAAAAAAAAAATTTAAATTAGATAGAAATAAATAAGAGAATCTGCCTATATTTTGTCCTCTGTTGCAAAGCACAGACAATACAATTCTTAGTACACTCAGTTTGCTAGATTTCACAGCTACATTTGAAATATTTTTGTAAACTTAAAACTTCTGGATTAAAAAATAGAATAACAAAAACCCTGAAAAGCTAGCCACAGTATCAGGACTATGGTTTCATTTGTTATGAAACATACCAATAGAATTTGGGAACTTTACCAGTTTTGTTATTGTTGTAATTGTTCATTATTTTATTCATGTTGCAGAAAGCTATCTGTGAAGGTGAAAAACTTCAATCAAATGGGGATGCAAAGTCTATATGAAATTATCTACTTATATATCACTTAAATCTTAAGTTAAAATTTCATGATTATTGTCACAAACTCTTCAAAAAGCCAGTTGTTAATAATGTATGTACTTCACAGGATGTTTCTTCCACTCCCCTCACACTAAACCCACTTAAACCAAGGACAGAACTCTTTCTATATCTACATATTCTACTTAAATGACATTTAGGAATCTATTTGAAAAAAAAATTACTGTTCAAAGATATTTTCCCAGAATCTCTTACTGAAGCTGCTGGTACATGGGCAGAGCGATCTGTGGAGGGACATTAATGAATCTTTCACTTAGGAGAAGGCCCACAGGCTTGGTGGTGTCATTTAAAAACTTGTCCAGCTGTTCAACCATGCTCTTTTCACAGTTCTTCTCACAGAAGCGTAGAACCAACTCTTGAATTTGTTCAACACACTGGGTACCCTAGAAAGCAAAGAGAAAGCTTGTTTCCTATTACAAGCCATCACATAGAGGACAAAACCTGAGAGTAAAAGCTATCACTTTTCATCTTACAGCTAAGGGCAGTTTCCTGCCATAGCCTTAACGTCTTGTATGTCTTCAGTGTTGACTGCTTAAGCATTTCTCAAAAGTAAATACACTGGTTATTTACCATCCCATGATGAGTGGTAAGAGAGTCATAATTAACATTCAGACACACTGGAATGGCAACTCTAGTCCATCTCATAAAGATAGATGGAAGTAACTGGACAGTTTATTTCAAAATTAAAGACTAAGTGTAGCCTGCATCTTATTCTGAGGTGGGTAAGCAGCTGGTTTACTTTTTATTACAACTCATCAGAGAATCAATAAAAAGAGATGAATCGAAACAAAATAAAATGTCAGTAAATGCCCTCAACATTGAGGCAGCAAAGCCTGAGAATATCCCCACTACACAAGTAGCAAAGATAACAGCTGCAGAGAGACAGCACAAACAGCTCCTGCATCAGTACCAACATCAGGACTGCAAAGCCAGATGATTCCCTAAACCACAGGGAGTAAACAACTTTAACTGGGTACAGACCCAACACCACCACCTTCATATTGAAAAAGGATTACAATAAGATTTCACAAGAGCACTTATCCCTATAGTTAATATCACTGTTTAACATAAAAGACATTTTCACCATGCATTAAATAAAAGTGGTTTTGGCCTAAGAAATAACCATTCAGATGCCATCCAGTGAAACCAACCTTTCTTTCAGTTAAATTTAAAAGGCTTATGAAACCAAAAACCTCATCTTCATCCATATCATCATTGCTGTCTTCTGAAACATCCGTTTGCTATTTTAAAAGAAAAAATATTTAAATGTTATATTTAGTATAATACCAAGAGTATAAAACCAAGTCTTGGGATGTAGGCCTCATTTATCTTTTCACTTTTCAAAAGCAAAACTTTGTTTTACCACCGCCATCTTAGAAAGCATTGTATTTTAAATACTGTCACAGTTTTACCACCATCATCTTGGAAAGCATTGTATCTTAAATACTGTGTGACCTTGTTCATTTCGCTTTACCTCGACTCTGTTCCTCTTTTCAGATTCTGAACAGATTGAAATTTCTTTGTACCAGATTAAGTCATTTTCTTTTATCAGATTCTCAATATAATACAAATCCAGAAGAGATAAACCTCATGAAATAAAGCATTTTCATTTGTTTTCTACACAATTAGGCTGGAGCCAAGCCTTGCTTCTCTGCTGGCCCACAGCATTGTTTCATCTAAAACTCATGAGTTTCCAGAACACTTGTCAGTCTTGACCATTAGTGAAGCTAGGCAATGCTTGAGGGCCACTTACACCTATCACATTAGCAAGAGAGAAGGGGAAAAAAGAGAACCCCCTGCCCTTTGTTCTATGATCCTAGGGACTGGCTCCACCGAACACTATGGGTAGTCCCTTTACTAAGAACAAGAAGTCTCTATCCTCAGGACACCTCAAGTGTCTCTGGAGAATCCCAAGAAGCCACAGTTACAACTGCAGAGCTATTGATGTGATTATCCATTTAAAGAGTGAATCCTGCCATTAGATAATAACCTCTTTCAAGGATAAAAATAACTGCTTCTCCTCCATATCCATTAGGTCTTCTAAGACACGAATCAGCTAGAGATCACATTTATTTGATGAAAGGGCAGGTGGTCTGCTTTTTCCCATTGCCCTAATAAAAGGAATGCCCCATAGGTTTAATTTCTCATTTTCTTTACATTGAGTGCCATAAAGTTACTAATATTGTCAGAAGCCTTGAAAAGTGTACACTGTATTTAGTAACAAGTATGTTGGTGACCCTATCACTCAGTGTCCGAATTTTAGTGGTGTAAAAGTCAGATAAGAGTGTCTGAAGAATGAATAGGAGGACAGGAAGTAGAAACCATGACTTAAGATTACTTTTCAAGAATTTTGGCTCTGAAGGTGATGTACTTAAGAGTGGAACATTAGACTGAATGGAGCTTTTGTTTGTTGTGTTTTTCACAACAGGCTAGGGAACAGGTGCTAGGAACAGGAAAAAGACATCAACAGTGACAGCTACACATATGTAGCACATGTCAGCTGCCAGACACTGTTTTAAGCAGTCAGCAATTCATTTTGTTTACCCATGCACTCTACAAGATCGGTGCTAGTACCATCCTCATTTTCAGAGACAGAAATGGAAACAGATTAAGGTACTGTGGCAGACTGTATCTTTCACAGATGGCCCCAATGGATCTCTCCTTGGACATGCTCTTCTGACAAAGTGACCTAGGTACTTTTCTCATGGAGTGGTGGGATCAATGTGCCCTCCCCCTAGATAGAAATTTCTATCTGTAAAGACTAAGCAAATGGTGGAAATGGCACTATATCACTTCTGCCTGCTTCTTTTGGGCAGCTTGCTCTTGGAAGCAAACCAATGTGTGACGAGGCCCACATGGAGAAGAACTAAGGCCCCTGGTCCAGAGTCCCAGCTAAGCTCCCGACAGACAGCTAGGGCTAACTTGCCAGTCATGTGAGTGAGCCATCTTGAAAGGGAATCCTCCAGCCCCTAGTCAAGCCACCCCAGCTAACATGATGGAGCAGGAGCACAGATGAGTTGTGCCCACTGAGCTCTGTCCAAACTGTAGATCCATTAGCCAAATAAATGACTACTGCTATTTTACGACACTAAGCTATGGGGTGGTTTGTTATACAAACAACAGATAACCCAAAGAACCACCAGATGATAAGCAGCAGACCCAGGGTCTAAACCAGTCCTTATTTTGTTGAGCTCTCTACAACATCTATCTGATAAAGATGACCATCCCCTCCTCCTTCAAATGTTATCTTTCTTGCTGTGTATGACATCACTGCACTATTGTTTCTTCTACTTCTCCTGTCATCCCTTTTAATCTCCTTTGCTGGCTCTGCCACTTATATTACTCATCGAAGTATTCTTGGTATTACTAAGGTGTCTGTCCCTTCCCTCCCTGCGCAATCTCAATCACTTCTACGACCTCAGTAACATTTACGACCAACTCCCAAGTCTCCAGGGCTCCACCTGCTACCCGGTATCTCACAGGTAACTCAAACTCAAAATGTACAAATCCAAATTCACATTCCCCCTCCTAATTTGACCTTCCTCCATGTTTGTTATCCTGTTTGCTCAAGCTAGAAACCTGGAAGTCATCCTTGACTCCTTTTCCTCTCACTTTCAGACCCAATCAGGGACTAAACCTCATCATATTTCATCTCCCAAATATTTTCTAAATGAGCCCACTTCTCTCCCTCTCCATTGCCCCCACCTGGACTACTGCATTTAATAAGCTTGGATTTCTGCAATGACTTCTGATCAGTCTCCATTCCTCCAGTAATACTGCTTCCAATTTGAGCTAAACAGAATAAAGAACTTTTTTTTTTTTTTTTTTTTTTTTTCAGATATAGGGTCTTGCTGTGTTGCCCGGCTAGAGTGCAGCGGCACAAAGCTCACCATGGCCTTCAACTTCTTGGCTCAAGAGATCCTCCTACCTCAGCCACCTGGGTAAAAAGACTACAGGCATGTGCTACTATGCCCGGCTAATTTTTTGTTATTTTTTGTAGAGACAGAGTATTGCTATATTGCCCAGGATGGTCTTGAACTCCTGGCCTCAAGCAATCCTCCCACCTTTGCTTCCCAAAGTGCTGGGATTACAAGCATGGTGAGGCCCAGCATGAACAGAATAAAGAACTCATTTAATCAGAATAAACACAATTATCCTACTTACCTTAATCACACTCCCAATATGGTTCTGTTGAATTAAGAGATCTGTTAGTTCTGCAGTGTTCACAGGAGCCTTTAGAAAAAGCTAAAAGGAGGAAAAAATTATTTTAAATTAAGATCAAAGCATGATTTCTAATAACTTCAAATCCTATATTCAAATACAAACAATGAAATTTCTGTGACTTAAGATGATGATCTAGAAAAGCAACCCCAAGAGGGAAAGAAAAGCCCAGGAGAGTCAAAGAAGCTAAAGATTAGGAAATTTCAGAAAAGAAGAAGTCAGTAGTAATATAGAAGTAATGGGGGAGGGGGAGAAAAAAGGGAGAAACGAGAGAGGATAAACTTAAGGCCAAAGAATTTGGTGAAAAAGACGGTAGAGCTATAAAGGCTAAAGAACCAAAGTCATATTATATGAGTAAAAGAATAAGGAGAAGCAGCAAGCATCAATTTTATAGCACCAAACAGCACAGTTATATGACTGTTACATAAGAATTGTGAATTAAAAAAAAAAACAAAATAACTCTAATTAGCAGATGAAAGGAAATAATTCTTCCTTCCAGGCAAGGTGGAGAGGATAGAAATGGAAATTCTAAAAAGATGAACTTGGGAGAGCCTGTATTGAATGACCTGAATTTTCTTTTTTTTTAGAGACAGAGGCTCACTCTGTTGCCCAGACTGGAGCTCAATGGCACATTCATAGCTGCAGCCTTGAGCTCTTAGACTCAAGTAATCCTCCAGCCTCAGCCTCCTGAGGAGTTAGGACTAACGGTGTGTGCTACCACAGTTGGCTAATTTTTAATTTTTTTGTAGAGACAGGTTCTCATTATGTTGCCCAGGCTGGTCTCAAACTCCTGGGCTCAAGCAATCCTCTCACCTCGGCCTTCCAAAATGCTGAGATTATAGGCATGAACCACTGCACCCGGCCCCTGATTTTTCTTAGAAGAGGAAATTTATGCATAATAAATAAAAGACAATACCTGCTGCAGTAATTTCTTAATTCCGTCATAATCATTATCTGATAGGGAATAAGCTTCAAATTCAATATTCACTTCCTGTAAATAACACACAAAATAGTTGTTACCAGAAAAACTACAAACATCTAGACTTTAAAACAGGCAAACATTGCCAAGATTGCCATCTGTGAAGAATACAAAGCACCTTCACACTATTTCTTCAGGTGACACAAAAGCCTGAGAAAACAAAACACTCAGAGTAACCTAGTTTAAATGTTGAGAAAGTCCAGTTCAAATAAACCAGACACGGCAGCCACAAAGGATAAATTATTTTCCTGATTACAAGGGTGGGCAAAAATCAAAATCACTTCAAAAGTCCCTGGAATTGCCTAGAGCTTGACTTAGCCCATGGATTTGAGGTTACACTACATTTGCTTAGCAAATATTTATTAAGTATCAATCCAGGTACCAAGCACTGTGCCAGGCACTCAAGATGAAAAGGTTAGTAAGGCAGACACAAATGATCCTGCTCTCGTGCAGCTTACGATTTAGGAAGGAATATAGGCATTAAGGAAATATTCATAGAAATAAATGTAAGTGCTATAAAACAAAGGTACACAATGTTGTAACAACTTAAAAAATAAGAAGTCAGTCAGGAAAGCCTTCCTTGAAGTGACATTTGAGCAAGAAACCGAGAAACAGCAAAGAGAGTTCCTGGTACAGGGAACAGCACAAACTAAGGCCCTAAGGCAGAAGGAAATACAATGAGTACAAGGGACTAGAAGAATGAATGTGTAGCTGGGCTCCCTGATCTCTATCTGCAAGACAACAGAATCTAGAAGATGGAACTAAAATGCCAAAAACAAAACCTAGTTGCTTTTAAACACTAACAAGATTAGTCCTTGAGGACCCTAAATCAGACCTTGATAAGTGACACAATGAACCTGGGGCTCTGATGAAATAATATATTTAAAGGCACTTCAGGTTTTAACGGTTTCAGAATTTAGGTCTTAGCTGAAGAACATCGCAGAGGAAATCAGACCTCCTTTTACCTTGCCACCCTGACTATGTATATATTTAAGTCTTCCTTAATTGTAAAATTGCAAGGCCCTGGAATTGCTTAGAGCAATTCCAGCTCCAATTTGAACTCTTTAAGTCCAGCTTTGCAGACTTCAAATGCTAACTTAGCCAGATTATGTGAGCAGCAAAACACAAGGGGTCGGGTGGGAGTGTTCCAAACAGGATCAAACTAAACCAAATAACAAACTGTCATTATTCAGGACTTAAACTTATTCCTTAGATATAAATACATTCTGTAAATAATGCTCATCTAGTGTTTTTTTCTTTGTCTAGACAGACATCTCGGACCTCTGTCCCAGACTATTATGGCACCACCAGGGAAATGGGCGGCAAATGGATTATCTGTCCAGCACCCTTTTCCTGGGTATGGGCTCATCTCCACATGGCTTCAGCAGGAACAGTCACGTTTGTAGAAAAGAGCCCTGTCCCTCATTCCCAGGTGATTTAGAATTAAGACTGTGGTGGTGTGATAGATTTCCCATGTTAACACAAGCAGCATTGATTTCTATAACCCAAAAGTAATAAAAGAGCCAGTCAAAGTTCTAAGTGAAAAATGGTGAGATGGCATTCAAGGCATAGAGCCAAAGTAAAATTTGTAAGGGAAGGAAGATTGATCACATACCCACACCATGGTGTCACCTCTAATCCTGCATCCATGCTTCTCTCCATGCTCCCCTCCATGCTCATCATGACTCATGATTACCTCTCTGATTTTATTTCCTATCACTCTCTCTTCCTTATTCTGATCCAGCCATCTAGGCTGCCTTTCCGTCCCTCAATTGTGAAGACTCTTGATTTTCTTGTAAATGAACTAGAAAGCCAATGCAGCAATCTAAGCAGAGGCCTGAGATCAGACCTATAAGATCTCTCTGACTGTAAGTGGAGTATAGACTGATTGTAGGGGAACAAAAATGGAGAAAAGAACGCCGGTTAAAAGCTGTTACATTAAATAGTAGTCCAGGCAAGAGATGATAGAGGTGTGGACTACGATGGTCTCAGAATTAGTGCTGAGAAATGTCTGGATAACAGGATTTACTGATGGGCTGGATATAGGATGAGGAAAGGGAGGAATTAAAGTTAAGCCCCAGGTTTTGGGTTAGAGCAGCTGGTGACTTTAGGGGCCATTTATAGAAATGGTGACGATTAAGAGAGGGGCATGAATTATTATACAAATTCTGCTTTGGACAAGTTAAGGCTGAGGTATCTATTTAAACATTCAGTAGGCTGAAGGATCATTCAGTCCTAATTGTTTACTAAACAAATAATAAGTACCTATATTGCCAGGCACTACGGTAGGACCTAGTCTGAAGAAAGGAACACAGTTCTATGAGACTATGAAACCAAAGATTTACCCACGACTTGGTCAGCTGCCCCAGGAGCCAGAAAATACAGCCTAGCTGAGATCTGAAGAAGGAAGGGAAAACTGCAGGATAAAGAAGAGCATTTGAAAAGGCTTCTACGGTAGAACGCGGCAAGAGCCTTCAAGAAACTGAGGGCCCAAGTGAGTGCCGCCCGCAGAGTGAAGAGGAGGACAGCTGCTGCCCCGAGGGGAGAGGGCCCCCTCTGCGAGCCCGGGGTGGCCGATTCAGGATCTGAGGCTTCAGCCTGAGAACTAAAGAGGACGAGAAGAACACACCTGTTGTGGCGGGCTTTTTCGGGGAGGACGCGGGTTGGGAGATTAACTGGACCGGACTAGACCTTTAAAAAATAACTACTATGGCTGCAGTGTGTTAAAGACCGAGGAGAAACCTGAGAAAGAACTTATCTCCAGTTTCTCCTCACAGACCCTCAGGGTCAGGGAAGACCCTACACTATTTTTACACAGCCTGGGCTTGCCAAAAAGTTTTTCTCAGGTATAAACCAACTAGGGGAGCGTGTCCTTCTCACCTCGTCAATGACCTCGTCCTCTTCATCCTTTTCCTTGTCACTGTCATCATCGTCTTCATCCTCATTTTCGACTTCTTTTTCCTCTTCCTCGTCGCGCTGGACTGGGGGATCCGGCGGCTGCGGAACCCCACTTTCCACGGCACGCCGCTTAGACCTGGACGCCATGTTGCCGCTCACACTGCGCCTGCGCAGCTTCCCCTTGCCTGACCTTCCGGACCAGCCCATAGTAGCCAAGGGGGTGAGGAACTACGAAGAAGCTCGGCGCTGAGTGCACGTCAACCCCAATGCCCCTGCTGGATTCCGCAGCCATGACCCCTTACAGTCACGTCCAGCTTGCGGTCCCATCTTGCTTTTTTCTTCCGCTTTCCACCCTCCATCACTCCTCCCAAAGCTTCCCCTCCCCTTCCCGTAGTGGTTCAACCCATCTAACCTCTGGCCTCATTCCGTGGCCTGGATGGCGGTGCGCATGCGCGAGCGCCTAGCTGCGCGCAGCCACCCACGCGACCCCAGTCTGAGGTGCGGGGTCCTGGGGCCCGGCGCGGGTGGCCGCCGCGGCCCCTCGGGCTGCGTGGGGAGGGGGCTTCCGCCCCTGTTGTCATTGCTCCTGCAGCCTTTTCGCTGGGACTGCGCGACACCGCCCCCCGACCGGGTGCCCGCTGTGTGCCAGGCCGGGTGCTGGGCACGGTCCCGCGAGGTAGGTGTCGCCGCCCGCTGTACCGGTACGGACGCCGAAGCCCGCGGGCGTGCAGGGGCCCGGCCCCGGGCGGTGTGTGACACAGTGGGGCCAGGGCCCCGAGGCTTCCGCGGACCTGGGCCTGCCCAGGCGGGGATGTCCGCTGCCGCTACCGCTGCGCCGGTGACGGAAGGCGCCTGCCCAGCCTACCCTCGCCGAGCTTCTGGAGCGCATTTCTTGACCTAAAAGTTTTTTTAAAGCCGGCACCGCAGTTAAAAATGCTTCGGCGGGGGGCCGGGCCCGGTGTCTCGCGCCTGTAATCCCAGCACTTAGGGAGGTCAAAGCGGGTGGATCACCAGAGGTCAGGAGTTCGAGACCAGCCTGGCCAACATGGCAAAACCTCATCTCTGCTAAAAGTACAAAAATTAGCCGGGCGTGGTGGCGGACACCTGTAATCCCAGCACTTTGGGAGGCCGAGATGGGTGGATCACTTGAGGTCAGGAGTTCGAGACCAGCCTGCCCAACATGGCGAAATCCCATCTCTACTAAAAATACAAAAACTAGCCAGGTGTGGTGGTGCGCGCCTGTAGTCCCAGCTACTCAGGAGGCTAAGGCAGGAGAATCGCATGCCCCCAGGAGACGGAGGTTGCAGTGAGCCGAGATCGCGCCACCGCACTCCACACTCCAGCCTGGGCGACAGAGGTAGACCCTATCTAAAAAAAAAAAAAAATGCTTCGGGGCCAGTGGGGTAGTCTAGGTTAAAGACCCGAGCCTATTTGGAGAGAAGAGTGGAGGGGACTGCGGCCAACTGCAGAGCGAGCGCCAGCCCCTGTGGCAGGTGGGGATGCAGCCTGGGGCAGCCAGGTCTTCCCATTGCGAGAGAAACAGGGTTCATCAGCTTTCTAGGAATAAGATCTGCGGTTCTCAATTGATTTTTCTCTGTAAAATGAGGGGGGTGGGTTGGATATGTTTGATTCTAGGAATGGTGTGAGCTGCGCTAATAGGCTGCTTCTGTTTAAGCAGGGTAACATCTGATAAATCAGTGATCCTTCATCAGTACGAGATGGCGTGCCCTAAAGGTCCCCAGGAGCCCAGATTGCCCATAATCGTGTTCTGTGATTTCGGTCTTTCCTGGGAGTCTCTTGTCTACCCAGCCATGTCATGGATATTAAAGTAATACTTACACATCAGCGCTCCACATCTGATGGGGCAGCTTGAAATGGCCTCTTTGGGTCGCACAACTGCAAAAACATGTTCCTGTAATGGAGAAGAGAGGAAGCTGTCAAAAAAGACCCATCAAAAGGCTAAGATTAGAAAAAAGACTCAGAAAGACCATGTGAACATATCAACAGAGTTGCACTGAGATACCATAGCCAATTTTTTTTCCTGTTTCTTTATACTTTTTTTATGGTGGTAAAAGATACATAACATACATTTTACCATCTTAACTATTTTTAAAGATACAGTTCAGTGGCATGAAGTGCATTCACATTGTGCAACCATCACCACCACTATCCATTGGCAGAACT
The DNA here is from genome assembly GCF_000001405.40 of Homo sapiens. NCBI lineage: Eukaryota > Metazoa > Chordata > Mammalia > Primates > Hominidae > Homo > Homo sapiens. The sequence goes on along the minus strand of NC_000010.11, from coordinate 125,821,520 downwards.
CTTTTCATCTAGCAAAATTGAAACTGTAGTTAAACAACTCCCTTATTTTCCCTCCATGACCTTTCTACTTTCCATCTTTATTAATTTGACTATTCTAGAAACCTCATGTAAGTGGAGTAACACAATATTCTTCCTTTTGTGACTATTTCATTCAGCATGATGTCTTCAAAGTTTATCCCATGCTGTAGCATGCATTAGGATTTCCTTCCTTGTTAAGGCTGAATAATACTCCATTGCATGTATAGACCACATTTTGTTTATCTACTTATCTGTCGGTAAACATTTTGGTTACTTCTACATTTTAGCTGTTGTAAATAATGTTGCTATGAACATGAGTATCAAATATCTGTTCGAGTCCCTGCTTTCAATTCTTTGGGGTATATATGTAGCAGGGGAATTGCTAGATCATATGGTAATTCTATGTTTATTTTTTTGAGGAACTATACTTTTTTGTAGTTTGCAAATCTTTCACAGTAAACAGGATCACTTTTGTAAGACAAGTAGGGGAAAAAGCCTTACTTTATGCCCTCAGATTAGTTCCCAGTGTTGAGCTCATGGTCAAAGTGTGAATTAGAATAGTGAATGTGAAAGTAAATACAGTACTGACCCTAGGGAACTGAACTCAGCAGGTAGTAGATTGCTTACCACTCGTTCAGTGTTCATCTTTAGCTCAGAATTTATCTTAATGAGGCAGAGGGATGGTAGCAAGTGGTTAGGAGACTGAGCATGGGCTTCAGACCAGGATCCAAATTCCATCTCTCCCACTTACTGTGCTGTGTGACCTGGGACAAGTTACTCAAACCTCCCAGGGACTTGGTTTCACCTCCTGCAAATAAGGCTAACACCACCTACCTTGCAGGTTTAAGTGAGGATTGCAGTCTTGCATGTAAAATGCTTAGCCCAGTGTGATAGTTACTTTTACATGTCATCTTGACTGGATCACGGATGCCCAGATATCTGGTTAAACATTATTTCTTGGTGTGTCTGTGAAGTTGTTTTCAGAAAAGATGAGCATTTGAATGGATAGACTGAGTAAAGTGGATTGCCCTCCCCAAAGTAGGTGGGCAGCATCCAGTCTGTTGAGGGCCTAAATAGAACAAAAAGCCAAAGAAGGAAGAATGTGTCCTGTCTCCTCCTGCATGCTTGATCTGGGATATCTTCTGCCCTTGGTGCTCCTGGTGCTGAGGCCTTCACACTCAGGCTGGAACCTACACCCTTGGCTCTCAGGCCTTCAGGCTACAACACCAGCCTTCCTGCTAACAAGTCTCCAGCTTGCAGACAGCAGATCATGGGACTTCTCAGCCTCCATAACTGCATGAGCTAATACCTTATAACAAATCCCTTTCTAGATGTAAATATATGCCATTGGTTCTGTTTCTCTGAAGAACTCTAATACACCCAGTAATTAACATGAGTAAATGCTCAGTAAAAGGGTGACTGTTGTTATTGCTGATACCCAGAACACCATGACATAGAAGGTACGGGTTTGAGGTTTGGTTCTTTCTTACCAGTAAGGTGCCCTTATTCCAGTCATTTTTTTTTTCTTTTCTTTTTCATCAATGATTGATGAACATAAGTATGAGGGTAAAATGGCAGAGCAAGCATTAGACTGTAAATCTAGAGACAGGTTGAGCCCTCTTTTTACCAGTGCCGAGGTGAGTTTCATGTTGGAAGCTTCAGGAGCAGCTTCATTTCTGCTGGGGCTTCTCCCGCCTTTTTCCCCCTCAATGGGAAATAACAGGTTTCGTTATTTTCATTGGAAAAAAAGGCAGAGGAAACCCCAGACACTGCACGGTTTTTAGGCCCTAGCCTCACCAGTCTCAAGCCTCCTATCAAGGAGGGCCATATAGTGCCTCTGATCTGCTTGATGCAGACCCTAGGGTCCTTCCCACTCCCATGAGCCACCCACCAGAGTGAGCTAAGAAATCAACTGGCAGAGAGCAGAGTCACGTATGGCCAAGAGGAATTGTTCTGGGGGTTGTTTAGTAAGCAGGAGAGAGGGAGGAGAAGAAAAACTGCACAGGGATCAGATGCCTCCAGCAGAAGAAAGCGAGGCATAGAGATCCCTTACCATCTGAGTCACGTGGCACCAAATATGTTACCAGTGGCAAATCAGTAGACACCTGCAGCAACCTCAATCTTGTCTCCTCAGAAGAAAATTCAACTGGGGGCATAAGGCAGAAAAAGTGACCGAGGCAAGCTTCAGAGCAGGAGTGGAAGTTTATTTTAAAAAACTTTAGGCCGGGTGCAGTGGCTCACACCTGTAATCTCAACACTTTGGGAAGCCAAGGCAGCCGGATCACGAGGTTAAGAGATGGAGACCATCCTGGCCAACATGCTGAAACCCCATCTCTACTAAAATACAAAAATTAGCTGGGCATGGTGGCGCATGCCTGTAGTCCCAGCTACTCAGGAGGCTGAGGCAGGAGAATCGCTTGAACCCGGGAGGCGGAGGTTGCAGTGAGTTGAGATTGCACCACTGCACTCCAGCCTGGGCGACAGAGCAGGACTGCATCTCAAAAAACAACAACAAAAAACTTTAGAACAGGAAAGAAAGTAGAGTATGCTTGGGAGAGACCTAAGCAGGCAACTTGAAGGACAAGTGCTCCATTTTACTTTAAGGAAAATTAATCATTCTTTCTGTTTCAAAGATGCTGGGTAAAATTGAAATTGTTGTTTTCCCACAAGGTGAGCAAATAATGAGCATCTACTACAGGAAAGAAAGTCCATCAAAAAAGCCAACAATGGAGAGGCTCACAGCCCCTTTCCAATGTACAGGAATCTGAAACTGAGACTGAGGCAAGAGCAGCCTAGACCAGAACCCAGACACTGGCCCTCCTGTGCAAACACCCTCTACTCCACCAAGCCTCTTCCTAAAGCCCAAGGTGGCGACATGTTAACCTATCTGTGCACGCTTCTCAATTGATTTCTTTCCCAATCAGCCTGATAATATGTGACTCTAGCACAGCAAAGAATCATCAACAACAGAACCTTTTAATTTTATATTATTATTATTATTATTATTATTTAGACAAGATCCTTCTCTGTCACCCAGGCTGGAGTGCAGTGGCACGATTATAGCCCACAGCAACCTTGAACTCCTGGGCTCAAGTGATTCTCCCACCTCAGCCTCCTGCGTAGTTAGGACTACAGGGATGCGCCACTATGCCCGGCTCCTTGTTAACAACTTTTAAAATTTTTGTAGAAATGGGGTCTCGCTATGTTGTCCAGGCTGATCTTGGACTCCTGCTCTCAAGCAATCCTCCTGCCTCAGCCTGCCAAAGTGCTGAGATTACCAGGCATGAACCACTGTCCTGGCCTAATTTTATATTAGAAATGCTTTCAGTGTTTGGGAATGATTGTATACAGGATTAAAAAAGAAGACAAATGCTTTCAGTGACGTCAGATAAAGGATAAGGGTAGTAGTTGGATTTTTATTTGCAACACATCTCAGGGAGCTCTTTATTATCCAGAAGCCTAAACTTCATGCCAGCATCGGTTTTATTACCTAAGAGAACCACAGATTAGAACCCAGGAGAAATATTTTCTCTGTTTACAATGGGTAGATTGATTTTTCTTTGGGGTGTTTGCATAACTAAACTAAGCACTTTGTACTACAGTGATACTTTATATTTTTATACCTCTATTTTTCCCAAACATTTTCGTATTCAAAGTGTATGTGAGGCATAATATAGCGTAGGGGGTTAAAAGCACAGACTTTGGAGCCAGACTGGTTGGGTGTGAATCCCAGCTCTGCCACGTAGCAATTCTGAGACTTTGGATGAGTGTCATCCTCTGTACACCTCAGCTTCTTCCTAAGCCTCGTAGGTGGACTTAATGCATGTGAAGCTCTTAGAATAGTGCCTGGGAGGCAGTAAGTTCAATAGATCTGTTCGCTGTTTTTATCTTCTTTGAGTCACTCAGCAACCCTAAGGCTTGGTAGGGCAGAGGTTATTCCCATTTAACATGGGAAAAAACAAGATCACACCATGGTTAAGTCATAAAGCTGAGACCAGAGCTCAGGTCCGTTGGCCCTTAGTCCTGTGCTTATTCTGTGACACCATACTTCCTTCCTTATATTATCACCTTAGAGAAGGGAGAAGGTAAAAGGGCAAGCAGAAATGAGGAAAAGAGAGGAGAAATACATCTATAAGGCTGGGTGCAGTGGCTCACTCCTGTAATCCCAGCATTTTGGGAGGCCGAGGCAGGTAGATCACCTGAGCTCAGGAGTTCGAGACTAGCCTGGGCAACATGGTGAAACCCTGCCTCTAAAAAAAAAAAAAAAAAAAAAAAAAATACATCTATAAACAAGAAGCTTCCCGTTGCTATTAAGATAAGAGCCACATTCCCTAATATGACCCAACGAGACCCAAAAGAATTCTAGTGTGAGCATCTTTATGTTAATCTTTGGACACATTTATCAGTATTGCTTTAGTATTCTTAGAAGTGAAATTACAGGAAGAAAGAAGATGAAGTATATAAAGCTTTTGATGTCAACAAATCGTTTTCCATGTTGTTAGACTCTCTTATGATACTTGACGTTTAGAAAACATCATTTAATAAGTAGAAGAGTCAATATAATTATTTCCCAAAGTGCTTATGAGCTACTTAGCATATTTATCTTGAAATGGAAAAGCTATTTATCTCCTTAAAACATAAGATACCAATTTCTCTGTTTGTTGTTGATACAACCCTAAATTTACATCAGTTCTCTTTCCGGAACCATAAACGTTTGGCATAGGACACTTGGCTTTCACTAATGGTTTCATCTGTCTTTCCAAGTGATATCAACTGCTAACATGCTCTTTCTTGGCCTTATCAGTGACAGGGGTCTTCAGAAAGAACAAGCCCATTAGTGCTAAGTCATGGTGTAGGAGGGATAGGTCTCTTCCACAAGCATTTGATTGCCTTCTTCTTGTGTACCGTCCCCATCGGAAATTGCTTAGGAAGAGTCTTTGAGATCTAATTAAGATCTGTTTCCTTGCTCTGTCGCAGTGCCCTATAAGGACTGCCAGGCAATAATGAAGGTTCTTTTACTGAAGGATGCGAAGGAAGATGACTGTGGCCAGGATCCGTATATCAGGGTAAGTGGCCTGAGACTCCTTATCCCACAGTGTCCTTTCTACTGAGTCAAGGGGCCTGGAGCAGGCAGGGATGGGTTTTGCAAAACCTCAGAGGAACTGACGCAGAATAAATTGTTAATGTTCCCTTATTTTAAAAACAGCCCTAGCCAATCCAGAACTATATTCTTTCATTTCAGGAATTAGGATTATATGGACTTGAAGCCACTTTGATCCCTGTTTTATCGTTTGAGTTTTTGTCTCTTCCCAGTTTCTCTGAGAAGGTAAGGCCTGTTGTGACTGAGCACCATGTTAGTGTTTGATTTCTCCCTTGCCAGCTGAAGCCAGAGAGGGACTATTTTACTGTCTTCTTATTTTATTCCCAAACTTTAAAACATGGCAGCATAACTTCACCTGGCTCCAGGAGGCTGCTGCTGTTGGGAGGTTCTGACTGAGCCTCTATCAGCCCCTCCAGAAAGCCACCCAGACTCAGAGATTGGGGCCCAGGAGAGCAGGTCATGGTGAGAGCAGCAAACCTGCATTGCTCTCAGCAGTCCTAGAACCCTTTCACTCATCCTCTCATTTAATCTACCCCTCACCCCCAACTTCTGCAAAGCAGGCCAGGGAGGTATTATTTTCCCGTTTTAGAGATTGGGGTCTCAAATTAGGCAACTCAGCTAAGACCTCTAGCAAGTAAGAGACAGGGCTGGGACTCAAACCCAGGGCTTCTGCCCACAACTTCAGTTCTTCTTCCAGTGAGGAGTGATAAAAATTGCAGGAGACAAGTCCAGTAAAGCCTTCCAAATGCTTCAGAGTGAAAATTCAGTGCCCACAGCTTCAGTGAAGTCAGATATGTACAGCAGCCTAGTGCCTGGCTCAGAGTAAATGTTCGGTAGATGATATCACCATTATCCTCTTTGAAAATCAGGACTTCAGCATTGATATCACCCCCTGAATATTCCCATTTTTATTACAGATTCGGGTCAAGTCTTCCCCCACTACCTGCACCCCACTCTAATCCCAGGCTGCGTCAGGCTTCCCCTCTGTGCTGCAGTGCACTTATCACCCTGTGTTTCACTGTCTCTGCCCTAGACTCTGAGCTTCCTGAGGGAAATACTGGGAATAAGGAATTCACCTGTGTACCCTAAAAGTCCTAGAATAAATAGTTCCAGGCACATAGTAAGCACTCAGTAAGTGTTGGGGGGATGGGTGGAAGGAATTAGTTTGCCTACTACTATTGTGAAGCATTTGGAATTCTGAGTCTTAGCTCCTTGGAAGATGTTGAACATAGCCATCGTATAAAATGTCTTTATTGCTTTTTGGTGTGCAGCTTTCTCATCCTGAAGATTACGGGGGACTCATTTTTACCAGCCCCAGAGCAGTGGAAGCAGCAGAGTTATGTTTGGAGCAAAACAATAAAACTGAAGGTGAGGGTGGGTCTGCTGTGGATTCCACTGGACATTTATTTACTCTTATTTCTCCTGCTGGGAGACTAAATTCCAGAAGCAGCTGCACTTCTAAGAGAAGTGAGTGCTTAGTGGTATCAGGTCACAGACTCTGCCTTGGGAAACAGGAGAACAGGGCTATCTCCTAAACTCCCAGACAGATGACCCTGAGGAGGACTTTCCCCTGTCTATTCGTTGTTCACCTCCTAGGGACTGATATATCCCCTTAGAAGGTATCATCTGAAAATAGGATAAATACTACTTTCCTGAAAGAGAGATGATGAAAAAATCTAACTATGAGAAAATGGTCAGTGCCACCATGTCAGGCACTTAGTGACCCAGTCACCTCTTTGACTTGTCTTCCCACCTCCGTCCCTCACTATTAGAACAGTATGAAAATGGCAGTGCCCATTAACAGAACCCTGGGTTTCAGCCTGAGCAAACACCTTAATAAATGCAATTGAACAGCTTCCTAGCTAACAATTATGGAGTGCCTGTTGTATGTCAGACCCTGTGTAATGAATACTTCACGTTCATTACCCCACTTAACCCTAGATAACAATCCAGAGGCACACATTGCTATGATCTTATGTCTTATGTTACCATTGAGAAAACTGAGGCCAGGATAGTAAGCACAGAACAAGTCAGTGCAGAGCCAGGCCTCACACTCGGGCCACCCACCTCCACAGTTACACTGATGAGCGGAGGCAGCGGGCAGAGTGGTTATGCAAGGGCTTTGGAGTGAGTTAGTCCTGGGTTTATGCAGCCATTTGGACATTAATGAGTTCCTTGACCTCTCATCATGGGATTACTACTAATAGTAATGGGATTATCTACTAACAGTAGACTATTAGTTAGGTAGAACTTACTGAATGCTCACTCTGTGCGAGACTCTGTCCTGAATACTTTTTCCTGTGAGATAGATGTGCTTAGTATTTTCACTTGGCAGATGAGGACCCTGGAGAACAAAGGGTATGGAACTTTCCAGGCCCCCACAATGTGTAAAGCACAAGTGCAGGATTCAAGCTGCAGAGTCTGAGTCCCAAAGGAAAGCATCCAGGACATTACCTGGAGCAGAGTGGGCATGGAGTAAGTGACAGTGGTGAGTTTTGGTTATTCTGTCTCCACATTTAACCAGGCTTCGCTGTAGCCTAAACATCCCACCTTCTTGGTGATTTCATACACACATTCACCTCTTGTTGAAAAGAAAGCGTGAGAACCTAAGAAACTCAGAGCCAGCCAGGCGCAGTGGCTCATGCCTGTAATCCCAGCACTTTGGGAGGCCAAGGTGGGCAGATCACTTGAGGTCAGGAGTTCCAGACCAGCCTGGCCAACATGGTGAAACCCCATCTCTACCAAAAAATACGAAAGTTAGCTGGGCGTGGTGGCACATGCCTGGAGTCCCAGCTACTCAGGAGGCTGAGGCACGAGAACCACTTGAACTCAGGAGGCAGAGGTTGTATGAGCCGCGATTGTGCCATTATACGCTAGATGGGGAAGCATGTGTACTCTTTCCCAGTGGTGCTCTGGGTGCTTTTTCTTGCAGTTGTATTTTTTCTTTTTGTGTATGTTTTGAGGATGAAGATAATGAAAAAGAGGAAAACCCTAGAAAGGTCACTATAACTCTTTCTGGTGCTTTATAATAAAGTTTAAAATGCATTTTCCCATGTATTTTCTTATTTTGATTCTCACAACAACCATAGGGAATAAGCAGTAGGAGTGTAGTTAATCCCAGTTACCTTGATGAAGAAACAGACGAGGTGCGTTAACTGACTTACCTGGGACACACACGTTAAGGGGCAGAGCTGGCTCTGTGGAAGGCTTTCTGACTCCACCCAGTGCTCACTCCAGTTGTTCTGCTGTGAGGCTTGGAAAGTAGTTTGTTTACATGCTATGGATAACTTTTGAATAAATACTATTGATATTTATGGGGTAGGAAGCAAAGTGGAACTCAATCTTTGGTTACCATTTCAAAGGGAATTTCCCTTAATGTAAAGGGTAGAGGAATGCTCTTGAATTTAAGGGAAAGTTATGTTCATAACCAGATTTTGGAAAGGAAGAACCATTATTTCCCTGTTTTCTAAAAATGTAATGAATGCCCAGTAGCTTTATGATATATTTATACAATCCATTTTCTCTTTGTGTTTCTTTAATCTATATTTAAAGATTTTGTTTGATCATAAAATGATAATATTCTGTATCAAATTGTGTTTGTTAATTGACCTGAAATTTATTATTTTTACTTTGGTGTAATGGATAAATGAACCCTCTCCTCTGAGATTACAGTTTGTTGACTGCTTTCAGATTTATGTCCCAAATAAACCAATTGGATTTCCTTGTTAGACATTTAAGTTGCTTTTTTTAAATGACCAGTGTCTTTTTCTTTAAAAGTCTAGATTTAAATTTTTGATTTCACTATGCAGATTAATTCTTCAAGTTATGTTGATTTCGTGGTTCCCATTAAAATTCTTCTAGTACCAACTGTGGAGATAGGCTAATATTTCAAGCAAGGAGTACTAAAACATTTATGAAAGCAATTTTTTAAAAATTGCCTATAAAACATGAACAAAGTGAAAATGGAATTTTAGTTTGAGATGCTGTTTTTTACATTTGGTTGCTAATAGTTTGCTTTGCTCACAGTTTCTTAGGGTGAACAAGCAGCCTTGGGCAACAGTCCAAATGGCCACTTTGGTATTTGCAATTCACATATCATTTCATGTTTTACAGTCTGGGAAAGGTCTCTGAAAGAAAAATGGAATGCCAAGTCAGTGTATGTGGTTGGAAATGCTACTGCTTCTCTAGGTAAGGAGTCAAGGTAAAAATAAAACAACAAAAAATGGCTTAGCCTTTTCAGTTTTAAAAAACAGTTTAACTCAGTTTAAAAATATTATTTTTTGCTTATTAAATTTGCAAAAATTAATTAAGTATACGATACTACTGATAAGAATGCAGTGAAACAAATATAATCAAACATTTCCAAATGGCATTAAAAATTGGTTTACATCTTTTGAGAACCACTTGGTCAGTATGTATGCAAAAGCTTTATTAAAATGTTTGTACCCTTTGGCTGACTAATTCCATTGTGAATGTACATAATGCCACTGAATTATGCACTTAGTGATTAAAATGACAAATTTTATGTTATATTTTTACTATAATTTTTTTAAAAGCCTAAATCTCCAGATAGTGATATCATAGTTGTTTTTTTTTGGTTTTCTTAATATTTTGTGCATTTTTCCAGTCTTGAGTCTATTTATTCTTCTTAAAGCATAAAATGTAAATAGTAATCATTAAAAATTAACATTGAGCATTTTAAATACTTAAAACAATGCTTAGCAATTGTCATAAATTAGCCTGTAACTTTGTTTCAGAACAGTTCAATTTGTCCAGTGAATTTGAAAATATTAGAGGAATGTATAATATGAGTGAAAATAGTTTAAGAATTAAAAGCACATTTTCCAGAGAACAAAATGAGGCTGGGGAAGAAACCAGTTGGGAGTTGCTAAGCTAATTAAAAGATGATTCCTAGATCTTCTGAGCAGCATGACTTTTACCACAAGCTCAGCAGATCAGCCAGGGAAAGGGAATTAGTGGCTTGGTTGCCAAGGAAACCATCTTCCCTCCCGCACATCTCTCTCCAAAAATAAGTTAAGAATTTGCTTGTTACTTTCTTTTATCATTTTTTCCTGAATGAGAAGAGGAAAGAAAATAGCCAGTTTCTTTCATTCTCTATATTTCCTACCAAAAACTCAACTATCAAATATACAGTATATTTATACATTTTCCAAACTTTCACACATTCACTGATAAGCAAACATTTTGAGCATCACATCCCCTTCAGTTTGATTTCGGTAGCATCACTATGCATTTTGCTGTCACTGTCCTGTCATATGAGAAGAAAATGAGAAAAAAGACTATGGTGATACAATGAATGATGAGCATCTATGTCTTGAGACTTAGAGTGGCTGAGAGTGGACCATATCAAGTGCAGCACAAGCAGCAGGGCCTTGGTCTCAGTTAGGCACTCACTGGACTCAGTCTGGTCCCTGTTTATTCAGTTGTGAAGGAAAAGGACATGTTCTAAATGCAGGGAACATATTATCAAAGGAGAGAGGAAATTAGAAGTGTTGTAACTTTTAAAAATGTCTTTGAAAGGAAACCACATTTTTCCTTGACATGAAAGTCAATCACCCAACTTTGAACATTCTATTTTAGCTCACCTTTTCAGATATAATAATGTACAAAGGAGCTCTTTTGAGTAGGTACAGGGACAAGGCATTGCTTGAACTCTCTGAGGTTTCTGTTCAACTAGAATCTCAGCAGGAGCCTGGAGAGTTATCAGAAGTTGAGCACCAACAGCTGGGAGGAGACCAGGCCCAATGTATTATCTTTGCTGCGTAACAAATTACCCCCAAATTACCCCAAAACTTACTAGCTAGAAACAGGCATTTATCATCTCAATGTTTCTGTGGGCCAGAATCTGGGCATGATTTAGTGGGCTTCTCTGTAACCAGGCCATGGTCAAGCTGGTGGTCAGGGCTACAGACATTTTGAGGCTTGACTTAGGGGAGGGTCTGCTTCCAAAATCACTCACATAGCTGTCAGTGGCCTCAGAAGATCTGCTTCCCAGCTCACTCACATGGGCCTCCCGAGAGGGCTACCTAAGACATGGCAGCTGGCGTCCCCTGTCGCAAGGCAATCCAAGAGAGAGCAAAAGAGAGCACCTACCACTGAAGCCACAGTCTTTTTATAACCTAATCTTGGAAGTGGCATCCATTTCTTCTGCCATTTCTTTTGGCTTGAATCAAGTAAGTCCAGCCCACACTCAAGCGGAGGGATGACACAGGGGCATGGATCACAGGGATCATTAGGAGCCACTTTCCACTGCCCACAAGCCCTCTAGTCAAGAGCCACCCCTGGCTCCCTAGAGCCTGGGAATCAGGTTAGGAAAGTTGGACATTTGAAGCAAAGAGAAGACAAGGTAGACATTTTTCTTGAAGTAGAAATGAAAACAAGGGTCCAGTGAATAGCAAGGGATTTCGGTGTGGAAGTCCAGTGAGAGAAGATGCCAGTATTTCTTTATAAATGTTGCACGCTGACATAATTTTACAGGTATTATTGATTAATAATAGATGGCAAAAAGTACATGCTGGCTGGGTGCAGTGGCTCACACCTGTAATCCTAACACTTTGGGAGGCAGAAGCAGGCAGATCACTTGAACTTAAGAGTTCAAGATCAGCCTGGGCAACATGGTGAAACCCTGTCTCTATTTATTTGAAAATAAATTTTTTTCAAAAGTACATGCTATGTAACATTATACAGAAAGTCCTCACTTAACATTGTTGATAGGTTCTTGGAAACTGCCACTTCAAGTGAAATGATATATAATGAAACAAATTTTTTTTTCCTTATCAATGTTGTAATGAAAACATGTTGAATGAAACGATGTTATTCAAGGACCTGCTGTATGTCGTTTCACTTACAGTGGCAATTTCCAAGAATCTATTGTTGACATTAAGTGAGGACTTACTGTACTTGGTCTACATAAAATCTCCTGAGAACATTATTTGGTTCAATAATATATGCATATTTTAATAACATTTTAATTTTTATTGAAAAAGCAAAGATGGTTGGCTTGTGGTTTGATACCTTGCAACTCAGCCAGCCATATCCTAGGAAAGCCTTCCATTTGGCTGCCCAAAGGTCAGGTGCCCCAACTTTCCCATCTGATTGCAAAGTTGGACCTGGGCGCCATTTAGTAGGCACTGTTGCTTGGCCTTGTAAACCCAGACCAGTGATGTCACAGAAGATAGCTTAGCAATTAACAACTTGGAATTCATAACACAGAAAGACTGTACCAGCCTGGGCAACATGGTGAAATCTCTTCTCTACCAGAAATAACAAAAATTAGCCAAACTTGGTAGTACATTCTTATAGTCCCTTTAACTGTGGCAGTCAGTGTCTTAACCTCTCAAATATAAAAAATACTCTCTGGCAGGTTTATTTAACACAGTTGGAGACAATTTGAAGTTTCACTGTCAGCTTTTACTTGGGCAGGGCCCTTAAGATGGGCTTACCCAGCCAGAGTGTTGGTTGAAATGTTGTACTGACTTGAAGCAGAGTCAGTCTTGCCACATGCAGGGACTGAGACCTTAGACCAAATATGCATTCCCCAAACATTTCTTGAGAGCCATCTGTGGACTGTGGGGTGGACCGGGTAGCCCCAGTCTCTGCCCTCACAAATAGAGCTGGCCACTGCTTAATAGCTTCCTTCCCTCTCAAGTACAGTAGTAATTGTTCTGTTCACAGGGTTGTGGTGTGAGGATCAAATGAGCAAGTGCTTACTTTGTGATCAGCAAAGCTATATATGAGAGTTAATGTTCTGGTTATGGTTATTATTGTTTCATTACTTGGGAAAAATGCATATTTATGTCAATATTGATTACCAGCGTCACTGCTAAGTTCTTATGTCTCAGTTCAGTTCCTGTGGGATTTTTACAGGTTTTTTTGTTTACTTTTGTTTTTGATGCGTTTAGCTCTTCTAAGCTCAGACAGGAGGTCCAGCCTCGGTTGCCACTGTAGCATAAGCAAGGGCTTAGTTCCTGAACTGAGTTACAGCTTTATTTTTCTTTTGATTCAGCATGTTTTTAATGATCCATAAGTTAAAAGCTGCTGGTGTTTTTATTAAAGCTGCCATTTGTTACTAACCAGGCTCTGTGTGACTCCTAAGTGGAAAGCCCACAGCACTTCCTTCCTCAGAGGCATTCCACATTCCTGTGAGCAGGTAGCAGTGTTGACTGAGCCAGTCCCTTAGGCCTCCCTTCATCAGCACGCTTTGTGGAGTGGCCAAGTGTTTGCTGTCTGGAAAAGTGCAGGGGGAGCCTGAGTCTGTTAGCTTCTTACTTGGTTCATGAATAGGGATCTCACAAAAGTGCTGGTATAGCCCCTCATCCTAAATGACTTGTATTTGTAGCGCTGTGGGTCCCTGTTAGCAGATTATTATGAAACCTTTCCTCCCCTTCCTTCCATTTTAGTCTGGCCATGTCAAGCCATAACACCTTTCTGGATGTGGTCTGGCCACATCCTCCCAAAAAAATGAAGGCTCTGTAATGCCGATTCCTGCAAAAAGTACCAAATGCCCATCATCTCCTTCCTGACTGAAGAGAAAACAGCCTTTGTTGAGCACCTTCTAGATGGCAAGCACTTTGCTCTTATTATCTGACACGATCCTTAAAACAGTTCCATGTGGTTGGTTTTTCCCCCTCTTGTAGATGAGCTATGTGGGGCTCAGGGAAGCTAGTTAAGGCCTTACTTACCCAGCCTACACAACTGGGGTGCAGGTACCAGGACCTGATGCTTTCTCTTCTGAACAGACACTTGTGATCTTCCCTCAGTAGCTTTCAAGAAAAGACATCCTCTATGTGATTTGTAAACTGCATACCTGTGTATTTGCACGTTAAAAAATAACGCTGGAACAAAAGGACTTCAATAACCGTGTTAAGAAATACATTTCTTTGTGGTTTTCCAGTGAGTAAAATTGGCCTGGATACAGAAGGAGAAACCTGTGGAAATGCAGAAAAGCTTGCAGAATATATTTGTTCCAGTAAGTAGAAAAACATCACTCCAAATGAAGCCATTTATTTTTTGTTGACCTCACAACCACTACCTAGGGAAAAGAATATTTCCTCAGTGCATTCTTGGTGGTGAGATTGATTGGTGAGCATCGTATAACCCACTCTGGGAGCATAGCCTATTTGTATTTGTGTATGTCTATACTTTGTGAGGTTTAGCCCACTTCCTTCTACCCCCTGTACCAAAGAACTTGACTTGAACATAACACAAAATAAAACATTTGGGAGATAAAAACAGTGGAGAGATCACTTGAGGGATTCCAAAGAGAGCAGAGGCAGGAGGTGTGAGTGGGTACTCTCCCCTTACTGAGGACTGTCCTTTCCCTTCTCAGGAGCTACTTCTGTCTCTGAATTCCCTCTCCCAGCTTGCTCCCAGGTAAAGAACTGACTCATGATTGGGCTGCCTGTGGACTTGGATTTAAAGTGGCACTTGTTCTAGGGGTGTTAGCATTTAAATGGGGACTTAGTCTTAAACTAATTATGGAATTGTAGGCTTCAGAAGATACATAGGCAAAAATTCTTGGAGCAAGAGGGATGGGAAGGCTGACCGTCTACTTGTAGGGCAGCCCCACCTCTAAGGTGCATCTCCCTTCCTCTCTGTTCCCTGAATGTCCAGTACAACCGCAAGCTCTTACACCCTTGTCATTTGACTCCTCTGCTGTAGGTGTAAGATCATACACCCCCATGAGAGCATGAAGTAGAACTATCTTATCTTAGATTGCTGAAGAGGAGGAAATCCAGGCTTTCCTAGAGATCATGAGCTGGCAAACTTCATCTGTTAAGGATATTTTGGGCTTTGCAGGCAAATGGTCTGTCAGAACTACTAATCTCTGCAACAGAAGCATGAGAGCAGCCATAGGAAATAAACAAACAATGGGCTTGGCTTTGACCCCAGGCTAGAGTTTTCTGACCCCTTTCTAAAATTGCTTGAGTGTCTGCTGAGCTGGGAGGCCAGGGTCAGATGAACTGCTGACAGCTGAGAGTTTCCTCTAAGGTGGTCCCAGGAGAGGGGTATATGCCTTGGCCCTTGGGTGGTGAGATCAGGATGAGTGGTATAGGGAGAGAGTATACCTTAAATAGGTCTCTTTATGGCTTCTGAAACAGTGATAGATGGTTTTGTTTCTGGTAAAACAAAGTATTTATGTTATTTAAAAAAAATACTCCTAAAGGTGATGTTGGCCTTTCTTGACGTGCAAACTTGTACACTAACGTCTTATAAGGCATTACTTACAAGTCTTCCTGCCGTAAGTCATTGCTGTTGCCTGAAGGTTCTCTAGCTTATATTTTTCTTTGTGTTACTGGGAGCTTGTTCTAGAGAAAGTCCTGCGTCTTTTTCTACACTGTGGTCTGAGGATCCCTGGAGCTTAATTAGGCCCCTGACAGAGTCGTCTGGGTTGGGGGCGGCAGTGAGCAGTCAGGGAACAGCAGAGATACTGCTGGGCTCAGTGGATCCTTTCCAAGTTCTCCAATTCTCCTTTTTTCTCTTTTCTAATTTCTTTTAAAAATAACTTCGTTGTACCTTTCCTGAGTCACTACATGCTCGGTGTTAACGTTGAAGACTAGCATTTACTGAGTGCCCAGCGTGTCTCGGGTACATAGACACGTGGCCTGTATGATGTCATTTAATCTTCACCATCACCCCATGAAGTCAGAATCGTGTCCACTGCAAGCTGTGCTGGCCAGTACAGTAGCCACTAGCCACATACGGCTATTTAAATGTAAATGTAAATTAATTGAAATTAAATACAATTGAAAATTTAGTTCTTCAGTCACACTGGGCACATTTCACAAGCTCACTTGTCACTGTGGCCAGTGGCACCAAATTGGACCACACAGAACATTCCCATCATCACCAAAAGTTCTTTCTGACTGTGCTGCTATAGAGACTCTTGGGGGTCCAAGGCCCAGATCTTGTCCAAGGTCACAAGCTATGAAGTGGCAGGCTGGAATTCACACTCAGCACAGCAAGGCCACTGCTCATCCCATGGCCTGTCACATTCAGAGGCCTGACTGGCATCTGCTCCATGCCGACCTGCTCTCAAGGAGATGCTGGCCAAGCACCTCCATCCACTCTGATTTACAGTGACTGGGGCTCCTGCAGGGATGAAGACGTAAGTGTGCTTGACTCTGTGTTTGAATCTGGTGGGCAGAGGCTTAAGGAGCCTCCGGTTTAGAGGAACTACACGGGCCTTTTCTGGCCACTCAGATGAATAAGCTGTAGTCCCAGAGTGTTTCGGCCACTTGGCAATCCTGAGCCTGTGCACTCCTTAGTTCAGTGGATGTGCGTTCATCGGCTCGGACATGGCTTTCAGGTATTAATGCATTGACTGACGCCTCTCTTGCCCCACCCCCCATATTGCTTCCCACATCACAGGAGAACAAGTCAGTTCAATATGGTTCGGCAGATGTTTACCCAGGAGCACCTGTGTGCCAGGCCCTTTGCAGGGCGTTGGGACTGAAGAGGAGTTTAACTCCATTCCTGTCTTCTGGAAGTTCCCAGCCTAGCTGGGGCTGGAGGTGGGGTAGGGTGGGGAACATATACATCAGTAACCGTGATAAGGCAGGGTGGATTAAGTGACCAGAAGAGGTATGAACAGTTTTTGTATGGTGGGCCTGCTATTAAGATACCTGTTTCTACCTGTAAAACACTCAGGATACCAAATAGGTGGGGTTTTTCCTCATATCAATGACCAATTCTCCAATGCTCCAGATAACAGCTGGGTGTCCTACAACTTAATTTTGACATTACCCAGAATTAACCCAGACCCCACAGCTTTAAGGGCTCAGTCTTAGCAAACTGTCCCCCACTTTAGATACAAGTATTGGATGCTGAGGGACCTCTGTCCAAGTTGGCTACAAGTCAGGAGTTCTCACGACTCCCTACTCAGGTTCAGTAATTTGCTAGAATGGCTCACAGAACTCAGGGAAACACTTATGTGTACTGATTTTTATAAAGGAGATAACAAGGACACAGATAAACAGCCAGATGAAGAGGTCTGGAAGGGTCCTGAGTACACAGGAGCTTCTTCCCCCATGGAGTTGGGGTGCGCCACCCTCCTGGCACATGGATGTGTTCACCAACCCAGAAGCTCTATAAACTCATAGTTGAGGGGTTTTATGGAGGTTCCATTATGTAGGCACCATTGATTAAATCATTGACCCCTGGTGACTAGCTCCATCTCCAACCCTTTGATCACATGGTTGTGATCCTCTGTGTGGCCTTCAGCCCCCATCCTGAAGCTTTCTAGGGGCCACCACCAGTCACCTCATTAGCATAAACTCCAGTATGGTTAAAAGGGGTTTATCATGAATAACAAAAGATGCTCCTCTCACCTCTAATGGGAAGTTCCAAGAGTTTCAGAAGCTCTGTGCCTGGAACAGGGAGGAAAACGAAATATTTCCTCTTGTATCACAGTGTCATGTCAGGGTGTCCAAAAGAAGGCAGAGGTCTTCAGGAAAGTCTGTACAAAAGGCATGGCCTCCTCTCCACAGAGAAGGGCAGGCCCTCCCTCAGGCAGTAGCCATGGCCAAGCCCTCCCACTCAGAGGGAGCCACTGAGCAGAGACGTGGAAGGAGAGGGTTTTCCTGGAGAGTACAGCATGGCAGGGGCAGTGGGTGGCAAGCTGGGGAGCACTGAGTAGCCTCTGAGAGTTGACCGGAGCCCTGAGGCACGGGGCCTTACATCAGCCCCTGCGGGTCAGACTCAGGCTGGATTGGTCCTCCCCAGGCCTAGACGGGAACACAACACTGCCTGCTCCCTCTTAGCGGGCATCACTAGGTACAGCCAGGATTGGGCCCAAAAGGCAGTCACTGGATTAGGACCCAGTTCTCTTGTTCCTGGGACTTTTTAGGAGTGTCTCTGAAATTTATCCCTTAAGTAAAAAGAGCATTCTTTAAAACCTACAGAGCCATCGCAGTCTAAGAGCAGGGCCTGGGGTGCTGTGGCAGGTCTTGCCTTGAAGGAGCCGTCTTCCCACAGCTCAGTGTGCTCCAGGGCTTGCTGGCAGGCAGCTTCCACGGGGTCCTGGAGGCTCTGGGGGCATAACAGAAATGCTATCAGGGAGTTTGAGGGCCCGTTATGAGTCTGACATACATTGGCATTTTGTGCATGCCTTTAATTGTCTGACATATTGTGGTACTGAGCTGTGACATGGGAACGATTACTAGACCTGCTTTTGCTCATGAAGAAACTGAGCTCAGAGAGGGAAAACTTGTCCATAAGGAACAGAGCTAATAGTGGTAGGCTGGGGCTCAAGCCTAGGACTGGCTGACTCCAAAGCTCTTCCTGTCTCCCTTGCTCTGTGTGCTTCTAAAAGATACTTAGTCCAAGTCCAAAATATGCTCATTTCTCTTCCCTCAGGTGAAGAAGTCAAAGGAATCTTTTGAAGTGAAGAAAGTGGGTTTGGACGTGCCCTTATGCTGATGAATCATTGGAGTAATATCTGGGGTTTAGCCGCATCCTTGGTGGCAAGGCGGTGGGGAAAGCCCCTGAGGGTGAGGCCAGCCTGAGCCCCAAGGGAAAGGGGCTGCTGGGACCTCCTGACCTCAACTCATCTCCAGGAGCGCACAGGGCCTCGCACAGATGCCTCAGTCTGTACCGCTGGGAGTTCGTGCCATCTCAGACCTACCCTCCCTACCTGGGCTGTACCTAAAGAGATACTGCTAGGCTTTCTCTAGAATGTTTCATGAGCCAGCACTGTGAGACATTTTCAAGCTAAAAACATACAGTTCAGGAGACTGTAATCTGTGGTAGAAAGTGTTCACCATTTGCTGCTAGTAAAGACGGTTGGCCCTGTGCTTCTCTGGCCACTTGTGCCACATGGTGTTCTCGGAAGAGGCCTCTCCATGCACCAGTGTGGAGAAGCCCTCTGGAGGCCAATTCAAAGAGCATCTGAGGCTAAGCAACTGAAAGGAAAAGGCCTGATGGCCAACGTGTTGCTTTCTGTGGAATGTTCCAGACTGGATTGCTGGGGGTCATTTTCTTTAACAGCAGCCTAGACAGGCAGTGACTCTCTTTTATTCAGCCAGGTGTTGAAATAGCTGCAGGGAAGCCACAGACAGTTGTTCCAGCTTTCCGGATCAGAGAGCACTGGTTGGGCCCCGTGCCATGTGGCCCCAGCCCCATGGGATCGCTCCTCAGGTCATGGAGCCACACATCAGTGTGGAGGGTTCGCTCCAGGGGTTCCTGGTACAGGATGCAGATGGGTCTTGTCTGGCTCCAGGCTTTTTGTTTCTAATGTTGTTTCTAGAGAGTCATCATCACCGCATAAATGGTATCAAAGCCCTTCTTTTAAAAATGTAGAAATAAATGTAAATGGTAGATCTTGACATTGCTTGTGGGATTAAGTTCTACAAAGAATAGTAATTATTTCTATGGGTGGCTGACAATTAGCTCTTTAATAGAATAGGTGGCTCCTGCCTGTTTTCAGTGAAGACATTGAGCTGTACCCACAGTTTGTTTGTAAGGAGACAGAAGTGAACCTCTGAGTCGTTGTTCATTAGAAGACCCAGAACCATCAGGCTGGTGTCCCTGCTTTGCAAACACAAGACAGAAGAGATCAATGTCACTTCTGAGTGATCACATTGGTGTTTCAGTTAACTGACTCAAGGCTTGGTTGGATAGATATTAACATATTCTGACCTTATCTGGGAGAATACTGGTCTGCATTCTTTGCAAACTTCTGCCATTTCCTCTAATTTATTACCAGCATATCTATGGGTCCTAATAAATCTTCCATTTGCAATTAGAATATCCAAATAAAAATCCATGTTGACTGCTAATAAGGACCTTCACCTTGGCTTTACCAAGGCATTAATGATTTTTCTTTCTCAGTAAACTTTGATGCCTGATTTTAAAAGCTAAAAATCTACCTCTAATGCTTGTAGTAAACAGGCCAATTCATAGCTATGCCTATTTATTTTAGTTAACACTTAACTACTTTGTGACAGGCACTATTGTAAGTGCTTAAAGCTATTAATCCATTTAATCTGATAACTCATTGTTCTGATAGATTCTCCTTCTTTCCCAGATATCTCCTCTAATGGGAAAGTAATTACACACTAAATGGTAAAAGGTAGAATACAGTATAACTTTTGAAAAGAGAGAGAAACTGTGTGGGCAGAAAGATTGCACTGCAGTTTATTTGAAATGTCCTCCTGGATTGGGAAAATCTCTGCAGCCTGGCACACTTACTGGGCTTTTCTTCCATTCCTCCGATCAGCCTCCTCATCCTTATTATCAGCACTCAGGCGCCCACTGTCTGCTCGAACTGATTCTCATGGCAGTGCCCGAGAGGGGGAAGTCATTGTTAACTTGGAAGTTGTTACTGTTCTACAGATGTGTGCACGTCCTTCAGTAAGATGACATTTTAAAAAGTCAGTGTCATTGATGCAGGACTTTTTGCTCCTTAATTCAGCTAAATCTGGGTTCTTGTCTCATGACCAGGAAAAATTAGGCATGTGGACACATTGAAGGGTGAGAAGGGCAGAACTTATTAAGTGAAAGGAAAGCCCTCAGCTGGGCGCAGTGGCTCACTCCTGTAATCCCAGCACTTTGGGAGGCCGAGGCAGGTGGATCACCTGAAGTCAGGAGTTTGAGACCAGGTCAGGAGTTCTGGCCAACATGGTGAAACCCCATCTCTACTAAAAATACAAAAATTACCTGGGCTTGGTGGCCGCGTCTGTAATCCCAGCTACTCAGGAGGCTGAGGCAGGAGAATTGCATGAGCCCAGGAGGCAGAGGTTGTAGTGAGCTGAGATTGCACCACTGCACTCCAGCCTGGGTGAAAGAGTGAGACTCCGTCACAAAAAAAAAAAAAAGAAAGAAAGAAAGAAAAGCTCTCAACAAAGAGAGGGATTCTCCAAGCAGGTTTCTCCCTCATTATTGAATACCAGGGGTACCACACATGAGCTGATGAGGCCAGGCTCCTCCCCTGCGTAAGGTGCGAATCCTAGTGACTCCGCCCCGTTCCCCCAGCACGCACACGAGGATGCCCAGGTAAACCATAGGTAGTATCGGAAAAGGCAACATTTGATTGGTTAAAAGGCATTATTCGGAAAGAATCAATTGGGAAAGGGCAGACAAACGGGCAGACGTTCTGCCCCTGGGTCGCTGGTTTCATCTGGGACCAGCAATCTGGTCTTTCAGACTTCAGGCTGTTCTGGGCTTGAAGGTGAGGTCTCACCGGGGACCCTTCCCTATCTGCCTAGGCATTTGTCTGCCTCCTGCTTGTATCATCATTTTCTTAATTGCCTGCAGTGACTTTATCAAGCCCCCTCCTGAGCTGCGTAATAATAATACTGTGTTAGGATTTTCAGTGTTATTACTCATCATCAGCCCGGACAGCCCAGAATTCCAGGCCTTCTTCCTGTTAAACGAACGGAGAGCAGAGCCTTTGAGCTCCACAGTTCACTATCTCTGTGTCAGCCTTAACCATCCCATTGGCCTGTTGGGGCTGAAGATAAATCCCCAGGCATTAAGCATATTCCAAAAGGGAATAACTCCTTTGTCTTTGGCTTTTTGAAGTGGGCTAGTTTTCAGGACATGTAGTTGTAGATCTCTCCTCACCAGCAAAGGAGGACTCAGCCAGGACATTTTCAATTTTCTCCTTTCTGCTGACAGGGTGGTGCCTTTTCAGTGAAGTCAGCTGAGCTGGTTGGACATTTGTGGGCCCTGTGTGCCTGCAGAGCCAAGCTCTCTGCAAGGCACAGGTGGTGGAGAGATAGAGACAAGCAGCTGCCCTCAGGGAGCCGCGTACCCCTTCGGCCCAGCCTTGTGAGTCAGAGATAAGAATGAGCAGCTCAGGACTCCACTGGACCCTCACAAGAGGTGCTGCCAAGGGAAGATTCCTGACTCTTTCCAAGGCCCCTCGCACACCTGTGGGGCTGGGCTTGCTGAAAAACTGGACTGTAGTTCTCTTACTGGATCCCCAGGAAGAGCTTTGGCCCCTAACATCTTCCACCCTGCATTCCCCAACACACACATAGACACACAGAAACGGGGAAGAAAATTGCCTCTGAACATGGCTTTGAAAATATGTCTCTAGGGATGCAGAGCATGAAAACATTTCCTCGCACTGGAAGAGAGAAATCAGCAGGCATCTATTAACGAATTTAACAATCTCCCAATTCATTATTTTATTTTATGTTGGTACAGATATTTACAGAGCAGTTTAAATAAAGAAAACATTCACCAGTATGTAGCCTTTATACACTTGAAATTAAGTGGCCTGCAGTTATTCCTGTTGTTTGGCTGCTGCTTGCTAGAGGTGGTACTGGATGGAAAGGGGTTGTTTTGCTCCTTCCTCTCGTTGTAGTCACCAGAGAAGATGTGATCAGAGAGATCATAAGGATGTGAGAAAATATACAATGTGTATGAATAACGCCCATTAAAATTTCTTATGTCTTACGGATGGATGTGGGGGGTAATGGCTGGTTCTACTAAAATGCTGTGTTTTCACATTTGGGGAAGATTCTGGCATTTGACAACTTATCAGCTTTTTTGGACAGTATTGTTGCAAATTGGCATTCAAATCCTATGCTGTCCTCACTATTCTGCAAAGAGTTAAGGGCTGAAAATGCCCTTAAGTCTTCCCAGAGTGGAGATGCTGGGAGCAGAGGTTGTGGTGAAAGGAGAGGCAGGCCGTTCTTAGCAGGCTTCTCTCTCTAAGGCCTGTGCATTCGCCTTTTGGCACTTGGCCTAGTGGCTGTTGGTGTGGCTAGAAGAGGAGTGGGCAGTGAGCTTGTCTTTGTTGGGGGTGGCTGCAGAGCCACTCCTGGCTGCCGGTTACCGGCTGCCTCCTGAGCATGAGCCCTGGCTCATCTGGAGCCTCTTTAAAGGTAGAAAATGTTTGCCCCAGTGCCAGTCAGCACCAGGCCTGATCTTCACCTTCCTGACTTAGTTAAGGTGCAAAGTCTGCCTTCTAAATAGTGACTGCAGGCTAGGGAGTCACTTCAGGATCAGAAGGAGTTAAAAGAATGTGGCTAACTTGTTTGTGTGGATGTTCATTTTCTGAGCACCTCCACACACATTACCTCTTATGATCTTCATATAACAACCCTTCAAGTTCGGCAAGGTAGCAGGTGCTCTTCCTGTTTACAGATGCTGAAACTGAGTCCTAGAAGCAGAGCCAGGCCTGGAGCCCAGGGCTGCTTCCCCCTTCCCAAAGCTGCCCCTCCCCATTCCCCTGTGCACAGGCACTGGCCCTGAGTTTTCACAAAGCCTGGTTATTTATTCACAGGGGAGTCCTCAGCACTGCCTCTTCTATTTCCCTGTGGAAACCTCAAAAGAGAAATCCTGCCAAAAGCGCTCAAGGACAAAGGCGAGTAGAATGCTTTGACTGCATCCCTTACCACTTTGGGATCCACCAGGAGCCTTTGCAGTGATAGAAGTGGGTGGCCCTGCAGAGAGCACACAAGGGAGAGCAGGGCTGGGTTGGATAAGCCAGGCCAGGAGACACAGAGACCATGCTCATGGGAAGAGTGGACGTGCAGTCTGCACTTTCCTTTCTTTGGATCCACTCTTCCCAGCTTGTTAGCTCAAGCTAGGAGCACACAGTGTGTCTCCAGTCCTTCACCAAGAGGACAGGAGATCGAGATGTGGAGGTGGCCCCTGGGCAGATAACTGAGGTGACAAACCATAGAATTGGTTCCACATGTAGAAGAAAGTCTACAAATGTAGCCGATCTTATAATAGCATGCAGCACCCTCCAGCCGAGCCACACAAGCTCCACCTGCCCCTCCAGCTCCACCTGCCGTGGCTCCCAAGACTGTCAGCACCTAGAAACCAGTTCTTGCCTCTGAAGCATGCTGCCGTCCTCGATGCAGATGTCTTAGCTGTCACCTGCGCACCTTTTGCTGTCACATAGTTAGTCTGGGAGCAAAGTCTATCAGTGGTTTGGAGTACCAGCTTTCGGATGAGATAAAAACAGATTTGAATTCTCCCTCTTGCTGTTTATTAGCTATGTGAATGAAGGTAAGTGATGTAATCTCTCTGTGCATCAGTATCCTTATCTGTGAAATATGGTTATCTGTACATAACCATGGTACCTGCCTCATAGAGGTGTTCAGAGATCATGTAGCATGACACCTTGTTCTCCAAAGGCAAGCTCTCCATGGAACTATGACTGTTACTGTCTCTCCCAGGGTTTTGAAGCTCTAATAGTCCACATGAGCAGTGTGACCCAGGATGACCTTAGACCTTGTAACTTTCCCCCCGTATTAAAATGGAGCTAGATCGTATCCCTTCTACCCATATCATCTGTCTTCTAAAGCTACCAGGAATAAAGGCAGAGGACATTAGGTAATAAGATCAGCAAAATCATTAGCTTTTCGGGAACAAGAAAATACCAGGATAAAATAAGAGAAAGCTTGGTCTCAGTTACCCTTAAAGAAATAATATATAAATCAGAGGTTTGATACTTCAGTTTATTTCTTTAGTTTTCAGGGATATGAAATGGCAATAGGTTGCTGTTTTATGCTGAAGTTATCATTTCTTCTGAGAGAGTTTCCCATTTTATTTTCAGAAGCCTGAGTTTTCACTACTTTTCACCTACCATCTGGCTGCCCCTCATAAGTCAATATCTGACTGAAATTGCGTGAGTCCCTTCAGTGCCTAGCGCCTCATCACCAGCCCTGAAAACCCCTGGGAATATTCAGAGTCGCTGAATGGCACAGGGAGGAATGTGGGAAAGTCCACGGCTTAATCAGTTCTTGTACAAGTGGACACACTGAGGCCCAGAGAGGGGACGCGTGGCCATGTGGAGGCACAGCTGGAGTGCAGCCGGGGATCTGGACTCCAGGCCTCTCCCAAGAGCTGCCCTTCCTACACTTGCTGGTGTCATGCAACCAGTCTGTGTGGGATCCATGGAGTGACTAGGGACGGCCTTGTGTGGACAAACCTACATAAGCCTGGGAACAAAAGGCATTCTGGGTACAAATGAAGGCTTTGGTTTCTGGGCCTTTGTTCTTTTTCTGCCGTCTCAGCCTCCTCTTCCACCGGACCACTCCACAGCGTTTAGCAGGCTGCAGAGGACTGTTCAAGGCCTCTCTGCTGAGTCTGGCCTCTCAGCTTCCAAGCAGCTCGTTCCAGGAGGGTGGTGCTGTATTGGGAGGTTTCACCAACTGTGCTGTGAAGTGGTGGAGGCCCCATTGTGTGCCCAGTGCGGTAAAGTCTTTCCTGCTTTTGATTGTGCCCAGGGATTGCCATGGAAAGCATAACTGTGTATCAGACAGTTGCACACCCAGGAATCCAAGGGAACCTGAACAGCTACTATTCCCAGCAGGTACGTGGCGTTTGGGGGCGGTTCTGGCAGGGTGGGTGCCCAGGTGGGGAAGCAGAGGGTGAAGGGCACGAGCTGATAGATGTTGGTTCTATATGTGGTTTCACTGTCCCCAGCTGTCACCTGCATGCCTTTTCCTGTCACATAGTTGGTCTGGGATTCTAGAATTAGGAATGGAAACAATTTTGTGGTTGTTTCATGAAATGTCTATTGCAAGCTGGTTTGAAATCAGTGATTTCGGTAAGAGGTGCTTGTAGTAGGTGGTCTATGAAATCTCCCTCTTTGGAGAGATTAATGTGGTGACTTTGAGGAAGTGGTAAGTTTTTATAGGGGTTAAAGGAGATAATTTACGCAAAGCTTTTTGTACAGCATCGAAGATACATACAACCCTGAGGTAAATAGTGGCCTTGATGTTATCATTGCTATTCATCATACGGGGATGCTGGTGGAGCTGGAGGGGCAGACACTGGAGAGGGAGGCTGAGCCCATAGTGGGAAGAGCTGACAGTGGCCACCAAGGAGTCTGGATTGAATTTGGGAGTCCGTGGGGACTGTTGGAGGACTCAGGCAGGAGAATGGATAGCTCTTGCTTGAGTTCCTTGATGTCTTCAGCATTTATATGCAGTAAAACACCTCCCTTTCCTCTCCCAGGGCAAGCTTCTGAATGTCTTGCCTGGTATTGGGAGGGCCTGATAGGACAAACCAAATGCAAAAAGGCCAGGCAGGCTTGTCTGCTTGCTCTGCTTCCAGAGGGAGGGAGCATTGACAGGGAGCCAGCACTGCCTCACACCACTGCCTCATGTGATCAGTGCCGTATGACCACAGGAGCTAGAGGCATTGTCTAGGCTGCTGGGCACATGAGCTCCGGGATGCCCATGTCCTCTGGCCAGGCAGACACAGACCTGGGGCAGCACCAGCTTTCTGATGGCAGCCTGCTCTTTCCAACAGTTCCCTACCAGAATCCTGCCTCACTGGAGCAGAGGATGCCAGCATCAGCCGGGAACCACTCCTGTGCTAAAACCGCCTTGGTGGCCTGTGGCTTGAGGTCTTGATGCGGATGAAGCCGGAGGAATGTTGTCTCTCCTCAGTCTCATGGCAAGGACTGATCTTGTTTTCTGTTCCCCACAGGGGGTTCCAGCCAGCATCACATTTTTTAGTCCCTCTGGCCTCACATACAGTCTCAAGCACATTCAGGAGTTATCTGGTGACAATATCGATCAAATTAAGGTAAGTTATTCAATGAGCTTTTGGTCTTTTTCAGATTCTTTTTTTTTTTTTTAATCTTTATGAATTATCCTAGGGCTTCAATGTCAAGTGAGACACCCCTGGCCTAGCAGGTGCCTTAGAATTGGAAGGGCAGCTCTACCTCCTGCTGGGCTGTTGCACAGATTGCTCACCTTCTCCCAGCCCGTTTCCTCACTTGCAGCATGGGGATAATTGTCTCTCTGTGGCTTTCATAGACATGTGTATGGTCTTCCCTGCTTAGGATGAGTCTCAGGATTACATGAGGGAATTTGAGTAAAGTCCTGAATTAGCTCAGGGCTTGGTACAGGTGTTAACATCCTTTCCTTCCTTTCCCCCATCTTATGTTTGCCATTATTGTCTATTCTAAAAGCAGTCACCTTTTTCATATCTTTTAAAGGGTTTACATTCTCACTTACTAGGGACTGTATTTATTATGAGTCTACAAATAACCACAACTCTTGTGTCTGTAATAGAAACACCCTTGAACTGGCTCCAGAGGGACTGAGGAGAGGGTGCAGGATGTGACCCAGAGCCCAAGGACAGACACTGCCACTCACTGCAGTCAGGAAGAGCAAAAGGCTTCACCTGCCTTCTCACAGGTGCATCTCATGTGGGGAGTATGCACCGCTCTCCCAGTTTTAAAGATGGAGCACGGGGCTCAGAGACATCATATGGCCTGTCTGTAGGTCACACTGCTGAGAAGGAAGAGCTGCAGTTGAACCTGGGAAGACTGATTCCACATTGTCAGCCATGGTGATGCCTTGCCATGGTCTCAGGAGCTGCTGAGCAGTTGATGCACTTCTGGGCAGTAACTGATACAATTCTCACACCAGTCCAGTGGTGGGTATCCAGAAAAAGAGGTCAGTGTTCCTCATTACAGGTGAGGACACTGAGGGCTAGAGAGGTGAAACAACTTGCCAAAGTCATGTTTTGAGTTCCTAGAAGGCCCAGGACTCACACAGGTCACCGAGGAAGAAAAACAATATCTGAATCTTGTGGTTAGAAAGATTAGAGAGAGGCCGGGCGCTGTGGCTCCCACCTGGAATCCCAGCACTTTGGGAGGCCTCAGGCGGATCACCTGAGGTCAGGTGTTCCAGACCAGCCTGTCCAATATGATGAAAACCCCGTCTTTACTAAAAATATAAAAATTAGCTGGGCATGGTGGCATGCGCCTATAATCCCAGCTACATGGGAGGCTGAGACAGGAGAATCGCTTGAACCCTGGAGACTGAGGTTGCAGTGAGCCGAGATCGCGCCACGGCACTCCAGCCTGGGTGACAAGAGTGAAACTCCGTACCTGCCCCATAAAAGAAAAAAAGAAAGAAAAAGAAAAATTAAAGAGATAGGACCCATAAAGTGCTTAGCATGGCAACTGGTCCATATGACCAGCGCTTACGTCATATTGCAGGTCAGGATGGGTCACGGTGCTGGTCCTGCTCTGGTTCTTGTCCCTCTGTGCCCTGCTGCCTCTCCCCTGGGCCTGTAGGAGGAGTCCCCACCTCCACCCCACCCACCCACCCCCAAGTCACACAATGCTGTGAGATGCCTGGTGGTATAAGCCTAACACAGTTTTCCCCAAGCTTCTTAGTGTTTGCCTAGAGGAAGAACAAAAGATTTATACTCTATCTTCTTTCAAAGTGAGCATATTTAAAAGCACAAATGGATACTCAGCATCTGAACCAAGAACTCAGGCCTTTCTGAATAGACTGCTGCCTGCATTGTCCACACCCATGGCAGCTGGGGGCTGAGTGCGTGTTCCTATCCTGTATCTGTCACACCCATTTCTGCAGCCCTCCAGACACTCTGAGGAGCTCTCAGTAGCCCCCTCGCCTCTTACTACAGTGATTGATTACCCTGCCTGCCAGTAGTTAACACCTCTGCCATTGCTGAGGAGGAGAAAGTGACAGAGCTGGCCTTGCTCACAGTGACTATGGACTGCTTGGGGGCCACGAAGGCACTGTGTGTGGGTTGTGAGTTGTCCCTCGACACTGGGACTTGGCGCTGGATAGTGAGGTGCTTTCAAGGTTCACAGAGGACACAGTCCTAGCCCGTGAGTTGGTAGTTAGGCTTTTCTGTCTCAGCTCAGCCTCAGATTTGCTACTGTCCTCCCTCCCCAGGAGTCCCTGTAGGGCCCACTGTTTGTACAGCATTGCACAACATGCAGGCGCACCACAAAAGATCAAAGGGGGTGACTTCCGACCTGAACTTGCTACTTATCCATTGACTTGGGAAGACCACGCACTTGTCTATAAATGCCACAGAGATGTCACTGCAAAGCAGTAGGTAAGCAGATTCGTAATCACCACCACCACACTAATGGCAGCAGCTGAATTTCCTGTGTACAGCAAAATGCCCTTGCAGCCTGTGAGGTGGGTATCTTCACACCTAGTGCTCACTAGCCACAGTGGCAGAGCCAGGCTGTGAACGTGGCTGCTGCCCCCAAAGCCAGGCTGGTGCACTCACGTCCAGTTTGTGCCAGGGATGGAGAAAGAACGTTGATGCTGGGCCCCCTCGCCTGGCCTGGGGAAGACTGCTGCTCTGTGGGGCAGCATCATGTGAGCATTCATTGACACAGGAGTGAAAGGCTCCTGTGAAAAAGCTGCTGTTTCACCAAACTGTTGATACCCCTGCTCTAGGACTACAGTCATGTTTGCCATTTGCTGGTTCCCAGTCCCAGGGAGTTTCTTTTTTTCAAATTTTTAAATAGCTTTATTGAGATGTAATTCACAAACCATAAAATTTACTTTTTATGATTTTAATATGTAAACTTAAAAATTTTTTTTTTATTTTTTTAGAGATGGGGTCTCACTGTGTTGCCTAGGCTGATCTCAAACTCCTGGCCTCAAGTAATCTTCCCACCTTGGCCTCCCAAAATGTAGGGATTACAGGTGTGAGCCACCACGCCCAGCCCAATATGTAAACTTTAACATGATTTTTATGAGAGTCACAGATTTGTGCAACCATCACCACTGTCTAGTTCCAGGACATATCATCACCCCAAAGAGAAACCCGGTACCCATTCGCAGCCACCCCTCATTCCCTCATTCCTCCCACTCCTTGGCAACCACTCAACTGTTTTTCATCTCCATGGATTTACCTATTCCGGACATCTCATATTAATAGAATCATACAGTATGTGGTCTTTTGTAACTGACTCTTTTCACTAGCATAGTGTTTTCAAGGTTCATCCATGCTGTAGCTGGTACCAGTACTTCATCCCTTTTTAGTGCCAAATAATAGTACATGCTGAGGACCGTTTTATTTACCCATTCACTAGTTGATGGATATTTGGATTGTTTTCCACTTTCAGGCTATTAAATAATGCTAAACATTCAAATACAATTTTCTGTGTGGACATACATTTTCATTTCTCTTGGGTGTATATCTAGGA
The DNA here is from genome assembly GCF_000001405.40 of Homo sapiens. Lineage (NCBI taxonomy): Eukaryota > Metazoa > Chordata > Mammalia > Primates > Hominidae > Homo > Homo sapiens. Next base: position 125,791,470 of record NC_000010.11, on the reverse strand, counting down.
GTAGATTTACTAGATCTAAGGTAACTTTAACGTTCGGTCGAATTACTGCTATTTTCCAAAGTGGTTGTGCCATTTTGCATTGTCACTAGCAATGTGTAAGGGTTCCAGTTTCTCCATATCCTCCATGTCCTTATTTTTCTGTCTCTGATTATGGCCATCCTTGTGGGTCTGAAGTGGTTTCTCAGCATGTATTTGATTTCGATTTCCCTAATGACTAACAGTGTTGAGCATCTTTTTATGTGTTTGTTAGTCATTTTTATATCTTCTTTAAAGAGATATCTATTCAAATCCTTTGCCTACTTTTAACCCAGGTTATTTGTCGTTTTATTGTTGAATTGCCAGAATTCCTTATTCTGAATACAATTTTTTTTTTTTTTTTGAGATGGTGTCTCGCTCTGTTGCCCAGGCTGGAGTGCAGTGACACAATTGTGGCTCACTGCAACCTCCGCCTCTGGGGTTCAAGCTATTCTCCTGCCTCAGCCTCCTGAGTAGCTGGGATTACAGGTGCACGCCACCATGCCTGGCTAATTTTTGTATTTTTAGTAGAGATGGGGGTTTCACCATGTTGGCCAGGCTGGTCTTGAACTCCTGACCTCAGGTGATCTGCCCACCTCGGCCTGCCAAAGTGTTGGTATTACAGGCATGAGCCACGGCGCCTGGCCTCTGAATACATTTTTTTTTTTTTTTGAGATGGAGTTTTGCTCTCGTTGCCCAGGTTGGAGTGCAGTGGCACGATCTCAGCTCACTGCAACCTCCGCCTCCCGGGTTCAAGCAATTCTCCTGCCTCAGCCTCCCAAGTAGCTGGGATTACTATATGCATTTTTAGTACAGAGGGGGTTTCACCATGTTGGCCAGGCTGGTCTCGAACTCCTGACCTCAGGTGATCTGCCCACCTCGGCCTCCCAAAGTACTGGGATTACAGGCATGAGCTACCATGCCTGGCCTCTAAATACAAACTTTTTATCAGACATACGATTTGTAAAAATTTTCTCCCATTCTGCGAGTTGTCTTTTTACTTTTTTGATAAAGTTCAATTTATTGTTTTTTTCTTTTGTTTCTTGTGCTTCGGGTGTTGTATCCAAGAAACCATTAATTTAGTGTTGCTTTAATTCAGTGTTTTGAAGATTTACTCCTATGTTTCCTTCTACGAGTTGTGTAGTTTTAGCTCTGAACTTAGGTATTTGATCTGTTTTGAATTGATTTTTGTGTGTTGTGTGAGGTAGGGGTCCAACTTTATTTTTTCCTCAGGGAGTTTCCTAAGCAATGGGTGCTTAGCAAGGCAGTACTGTGGGCGGGGTGGGAGCGGGGCCTCTGCAGGACAGTGGCCTCCCTCCCCTCGTTCTGACTCAGCCGGAGGAAGGAGCCTCAGTCCCGCAGCATCCGAGGTTATGCAGAGGTACAGGTGGCTTGTTACCTCCACTACCACCTGGCCTGCTGCTCACTTGCTGGGAGGGAGGATGAAGCGGAGTGCTGGGCAGGGGCTGCCAATGTTGGATGCTCACTTGCTCCCAAACAGGTTTGGGGTCCACAGTCTCAATGCAGAGGAGAGTGGGGGATGAGGACCTTCTCTCATTTAACCCCCACACTAGCCCTCTGAGGCCAGGGTAACTGTGCCCCTTTTATAGGTGAGGATCAGAGAGGCTAAGGGACTTGCACTAATAACAGCTAGCAGGGGGCAGAGCCGGGACAGAAGCAGTGCTCCATCCCAGGCGAGGCTCTGCACAGAACCATCGAGCCTGTGGTGCTTGTTCAGAGAGAGATGTCCTGTGGATGAGGCCAGTGCCCCGGATTGGCTGATTGGAAGTATCACGACAACATAGGCAGCAGCCCATGACGGTCATTGAGCTTATCTCTGGGCCAGGCCAAGTGGTTCACACCTGTCACCTCATTTGATCCCCACAGCAGCCCAGTGAAGAGTCCTGTTATCTTTTCGGTTTGACAGATGAGGAGATGGAGGCCAGAGAGGATGGGCCACGGGCCAAGGTCATTGTCCTGTGGAGCTGGGATTTAAATCCCAACCCTGTGCCCACAGAGCCCTGACCTTGATGGCTCTACTTTCTTGGGGATTCAGTCACTGCCCCTGCCACACCATCCTCCCCTTGATCAGACCCAGGGCCCCCAACACCCGAAGAAGAACTGTCTGCAGCTAGAGCCTCTGAGGAAGGACTGCACTGACACAGCCGTGATGGTGAGCACCAGCCTGGGGCCTTCAAGTCCCTGCCCCTCACCTGAGCCTGGCGACAGTCGCTCAGGGTGGCAGACTGATGAGAGCGTGGATGCAGAGGTATTTTGCACGCTCAGAAGCTGGGCTAGAATCGGGCAGTGTTGTCATTTTTATAAACACGTCACATGAGCAGTAACGTCCAACCGCAAAGCTGGCTGACGGCCCCTGCACACATCCAGCTGCCTGCTGCCCCAGCCCCTCCTGGTGTGCTGAAGCCCTGTTTTCTCTTCTGTCTTTATAGTTTGCAGCCATCGGCCCCACTACGGCTCGCGCGCTGGCCGCCCAGGGCCTTCCTGTAAGCTGCACTGCAGAGAGCCCCACGCCACAAGCCCTGGCCACTGGCATCAGGAAGGCTCTCCAGCCCCATGGCTGCTGCTGAGTCAGCCACCTAGCGCTGGCCCCATGCAGCCTCCCTGGGCTGGGCTGGCTCTGGATGGAGCCAGGCATCGGCAAGGGCTCTCGGGAGCTGCTGCCGTCAGACTCCTGCCTCAAGCCTGAGTGGAAGCACCTGAGGACCGGGGATCGGGACCTGACCTGGGGCTGGCCTCAGGCCCACGTGCACGTGACTGCCCTCTGTGGAAGCCAGCTTAAACCCTAGCCCTGTGAGAGCTTCCTGTGCCCAGCAGGAAGGAAGTCAAATAAACCACACTGACTACCTGTGCTTACTGAGTGTATGGTTGCTGTGTGTCATTTTAAGTGCAAAGCTGTGTTCAGGGAGGAGACAGGTATGCCCACCTCTGATAACCCACAAACCTGCTATGAATCAGAAAATTTGCTCTATATAAAGTAGGTTTATTCATTCTATAAAAAGGACCGTGAAGTTCCTGCTTGTGAGCCATGGACAACTGTGGTTCAAATATAGAAAGACTTGCTTTCCCTCAAAGATGCAGCTGCAGCATTAGACAGTCAAACCATCTGATCTCCCAGGAATCTGAGGGGCTAGAGAGGCCGGTATTTACTGAGAAGAGGTTCATGTGCAAATGCAGTGCCCTGCAGAAAGGCTTTGGAAATCTGTTCCCAAACTTCATTCCCAAAGTTCCCAAACTTCATTCCCAACTCAGCCTGAAGTTTAGGCTAAGTTGACTGAAACCCAGACTTGTCTCTTAGTAGCATGTGGGCTGGTGGTGGGAAGGCTCTGCCCACACACCTCTGTCTCCTTGAAAGATCTGGCTGAAAGGCATTTGGGCTCCCCGTCTCTGATCTCCATTCCTCATAACCCTGAGGAGTGGACATTCCTATTGTTCCATTTTTCTGGTGAGGAAACAGACTCTGGTGAGGTGAAATGATTTGTCAGGGTCACATGCTAGTGAGTGGCAGAACCAGAACAAAATTAAAAGGCATGGACGAGCATAAGCACTGAGGCCTAGACTAATGAAATTCATCAGCCACCTCGTAGGAGATTCACACTAGTTGAGAGGTTAGAATTTGGTGATGATTGTTCTCCAAATCTTGATGTGAGTATACAGAAATTCTTTGAGAACTGTTCTAAAACGGGATTATGGTGATGGTTCCATGAAGTGACCACTTGTGTCAAGATTAAGGAAAATAATTGGGCAAGCACTGTTTCATACACGTTTTCACCATAGTACCAAAGTGAAATAGATTTGCCCAGGAACTAAGAACCTGGCTATACATCAGAACCACGTAATGTGCTTCTAAAATGAAGTAGCTCAGGCCCCACCCCCAGAGAGTCCCCTGAATTGGTTTCTAGAATAAAGCCCAAGCAGCAGGAGGTGTTAGACGCTCTCCAGGTGCCTCCAGTGTGCACCCGTGTTTGGAAACTGCTGGATTGCAGGAATGGGGTCCCCCATAGCTGGAGTGTGATCAGGAATGCCCTCATGCATGGTGAAGAGGCTGGAGAAGCAAGACAAGCCCGGAAGTGAGGAAGGAGGAGGAGAAGTCCAAGCTGTAGGCAGACAAGAGCGGGAGGGATGTGTGGGCTTCGGAAGCACACATTGAAGGAGGAGGAAAAACACCCTGTTGCAGGGCAGGGAAAATAGGTTCCTTTTCAGAGCCTCGGGGTAGGGGACAGAATCGGGGACAAAGGTTCACTAAATGTCTACATGCTAGTAAACACCACACGTGTGTCCTTTCATCCCCACACAACCCGAAGCCACCTTTTGAAGAGATGTGAGGCTATTAACAGTTCTGGCGAAGCCTTGTTTCAGATGGAGTGCGCCAGGGCGTGGTTAAAGATGGTTCTGTTTGGGATCAGGAAGGCAGGGAGCTCATACGGGGCGGGAGATGAGCAAAGCAGCAGGCGCAGTGTCCTCGACGATTGCGTGAGTCGGGAGCCTGGGCTTGCTTTGGCAATTGGGCTGGAGATTCCTGAGAACGTGAAGGCTGAGTAGGCAAAAGCCAGTTTGAAAGGGACTGTGGAGAAACCCTGGTTCTGAAGGTATTGGTGGGACAGAAGGTAAGATCTGTAATTACTCAGCTCAAGAAAGTGAAGCCCAGGGATGTCACACCTCATTTCTTCTGCTCACCCTCCCACGGGACTGCAGTTTCTGTTAAGGGCAATAATTATGTTAATCATTCTATGGCTCAGTGGCTAGATGGGAGTGAACAGAAGCTGGCATAAGGCTTTTCTTCAAAGATACAACTGCAGCATTAAACAGACCATCTGATCTCCCAGGAATCTGAGGGTCTGGGAGGTCAGTATTTTCTTAGAAGAGGTTCATGTGGCCAGGCGCGGTGGCTCACACCTGTAATCCCAGCACTGTGGGAGGCTGAGGCGGGCGGATCAGGAGTTCAAGACCAGCCTGACCAACATGGTGAAACCCCATCTCTACTAAAAATATAGAATTAGCCAGATGTGGAGGGTGCCTATAATCCCAGCTACTTGGGAGGCTGAGGCAGGAGAATTGCTTGAAGCCAGGAGTTGGAGGTTGCAGTGAGCTGAGATCGTGCCACTGCACTCCAGCCTGGGCAACAAGAGCAAAACTCTGTCTAAAAAAAAAAAAAAAAAGGTTCATGTGCAAATGTACAGCCCTATAGAAAGGCCTTGGAAATCTGTTCCCAAACTTCATTCCTACTTTTTAATAGATCCAGCTATTCCTGATGTGCTGGGAGAGGTTCAGCTTTGAGTTCGTAGATGTTCTAGGTGCCGGATTCCCAGAGTCAATGTGGGAAGCCGGGTGGAAGCCAGAGTCTCACTCGACACCCTGAGTGGCAGTAGGGCCACCCAGGACGGTGAGTGAGTCGCACCCCCCACCCTGCCAGCTCCAAACAGAGTAACGCCCCAGCAGGCTGGGTGGCCAGCCTCCTTGTGTCCTTCCTGGGGATCAGAAGGGACAGAAGGGTGGGGTGGGAGAAGACGCTCAACAGATGTGCTGCACAGGGTTTTGCCACAGTTGTGTGATCTACATTCCCTTTTTGCATCTGCTCTCACGTGCCTTCCCCTCCAGCTCCTGGATGGAGGAGAGTTGCTGAAGAAGTTCATGCAGGGAAGGAATAAAGGATCACACAGGAATTTGAGAGCCAAAGTAAAGTGCAACTGGCCCCCCAGGCCCAGAGGGGCTAGCAGTGAGAACTGAAGATGTTCCCTCTGGACCTTCCGGCCACAGCTCATTGATGGGACATGTTCTCAGACAGTGTTGTAAGTTTTGTGTGCTTTAACTCATGAGTTACACGTGGTCACTCACTTAATGAGTTAAGCGTTAATACAACTTCCCTGTGAATAGAAGGTAACAAAATAAAAACATTGTGTTGTATACAAGTCTTCAGAAAATAAGCTACCAAGAATCATTTTACTAAAAATTCTAAGGAAGTAGATGACAGGGATAGAGTCAGTGAGGTGGTCTCAATATTCATTACTCTGGAACAAGAATCCTTGATATTCAGCAAAGTACGTGGTCATTTGGAATAAGAACTACATTTCCCAGCTTCCTTCGCAGGCAGGCATGAGAGTGTGATTAAGTTGTAGCCAAGGGGATGTAGTGAGATGCACACCTCTGACATCATTCTTCCTTCTTCCTGAAATACAGATCGAAGAGCTGGAGCTCCAGTGGGCATCTTGGGCCCTGAGATGACATTGGGGAAAGAAAGTTTTCTGGAACAAGGTGACACTGTGGGCACAAAAACTATCCCAACTCTAGACTTCTTGAGTGTAAAAGACATATCGACTTCTATCTTGTTTAAGCCACTATTACTACGAGATTTTTTCTTTTACAATCAAATCTAAATGATAAAATAATCAAGTGAATTGGTAGAGTAAACATCAAGATAAACCGTTTCCGAGTTTGAATAAAATGCCCTTTTAAGAAAATCTTGGCCTGGTGCAGTGGCTCATGCCTGTAATCCCAGCACTTCAAGAGGCCGAGGCGGGTGGATCGCTTCGAGATCAGCCTGGCTGACATGGCGAAACCCCATCTCTACTAAAAATTCAGAAACTTAGCTGGGTATGGTGGTGCACATATGTAATCCCAGCTATTCAGGAGGCTGAGACAGGAGAATTGCTTGAACTTGGGAGGCGGAGGTTGCAGTGAGCCAAGATGGCGCCACTGCACTCTAGCCTGGGTGACAGAGCGAGACTCCATCTCAAAAAAAAAAAAAAAAAAAGAAAAGTTTGGTTACTAGAAGTCCCTCATATACTTACTGTTGAATCTTTTTATCAAGTTCAATTTTAAGCTGTGTATTTGCATATTATTTATAGATTTATGCCTTGTGCAATTATATAAAGTGTTTGAAAAGCAACTGAAACAACAAAAAGACTTCAGCAGCAGAATTCTCATTTTCACAAAATACTGATAAAACCTACAAAAGCTGCAGGAATGCATTTGCTTGGACAGTTTCTTTCGTTCTTACTGGTAAGCACCCTACTGCTTGGAAGGTATGCACAGTGCTTACAGGAGAAATGTAGTCTTTTATCATATTTATCTCTTGTTAAAAGAAAACCTTAGACAAATTACATTTGAGAGAGTTTAATTGAGCAAAGAATGATTTGCGAATGGGGCAGCCCCTAAACCAGAAAGGTTCAGAGAGGCTGGGGCGCTGCCTCGTGGTTGAAGATTTATGGACAGTAAAGGGAAAGTGACGTACAGAAAATGGAAGTGAGATGCAGAAACAGCTGAATTGGTTACATCTCGGCATTTGCCTTATTTGAACAGGGTTTGAGCAGTTGGCCACCTCTGATTGGCTGAAATTCAGTGATTGGTACAAGAGTAGGTTACAGCCTGTTTACACATCTAGGACAGAGCCCAAGCTGTATCCTACAAACAGGCTGTAACCTACTCTTGTACCCATAGCTGTAACTATTTAGGTTACAGTTCACTGTATACGGAGAATTCTTTAGGCTGAACTTAAAACATGTAAGGAGGCAGCTTTAGGCTAAACTTAACACTCTGAATTAAAAGAGACTTAAACATTTCCCCTCAACATCTCATTTAATCCTCAAAATAGCCCTATCAGGTGGGTCCTATTACCTGCATTTTGGGGACAAGAAAAACTGGACTTGGAGGAATTTAATGCCATACACAAGGTTAAGTGAGGTGGAGGCAGATTGAAACTTTGCTGACCAAGGGCTGAGAGAGAGTTAGATGAGAGAGTGTTCCCACGGGAACGCTGGAGTCCACCTCCCCTTGGCGGGGCTCCCCAGGACTGCAGGACGGGGGTCATGTTCCTCGGCATGGCCTCCAAGCCCCCTTTTCAGCCTGGCTTGACTGCCCACAGCCCGTGTGTATGCGCAGCTCCAAGCTGTGGTCACTCCACCTCTCTGACATTCTGAGACCTTGTTCTTCTCAGGGTGTTTGTGGGCTCCTGAGAGCTGGACCTGTGCTTGTCTCTGCTCCCTGAGCCCCTAGCAGAGGCCTAGGACTCATAGGTGTGGGGGGTAATGATCGGAATCCTGCCTTTACCATCAGCGATGCTTTTCCCAGATAAGCTTCTCCTCTCAGCCCCAGAAGCAAATCATGAGCAATATTATTTATTTCTCAGAACATTTTACACGGTGTTTGTTAATCACCGCATTAAGCTATTGACCCTCCAATGGGCTGTAGCAACACTTTTCTCAGTGGTGAACACATCTGGAGGCAGCAGCTCAAACTCTCTTAACGGATGGGAAACTGATGCTCCGACGACAGGGTAGAGACTCCTCAGCGTCAACCCGCTTTCGGCGGCAGGACAGAAACTGGGCCTGGGCCTGAGATGGTTCCTTCCTACACCCTTCTCCAGGGTACCGTGTCCACCTCTAAGCCTCTGGACCCTCTGACATGTAACCTGTGTCCCCTCCCCAAGCCAGCAGAGAGACCCAGGCGTGGTGCGGTTATGGAAAGAGCTGGTTCTTGTTCTCAGCCTGATGGGTCCCTCAGGGGCGGCGCATGTGTAGCAGCTTTTCAGGAGTATGGGGGGTGACGGGAGCCAGGGGCCACGTGGTGCAGATGGGAGAGAGGCCAGCAGATGGGTCTAGCAGCAGTGGGTTGAGCTTTGCCGTGTAACCTCGGCGACAGGGGCTTTAATCTGCATGGAAAATTCTGCATGCTTCACACTCATGGGGCCTGTCACCAAGCTGACTCACTGAGTTACTTTACTGAGTGTTCAGCGTGTGACTAAATTTCTGGACCTGGGGAGTTCGTAACTTTTTCCTCACCTCTCACCCAAACACCCCCAAGTCCTGTAAAAATTGCATTTCCAGAGACGGAAAGGAGTCCCACGTAACCAGCCAGATCCCATCTCTGAGCCAGGCCAGACCGCTTCCTCTTCCCTCTGCGTCTGGTCTGCTTCTGGGGTCCTCTCTCTCAATGTATTAGGGTTCTCCAGAGAAACAGAACCAATGGGATAGATGGACAGAGAGAGAGAGAGAGACAGACAGACAGACAGACAGACTAGGGGGCACTTAGGGGAATTGGCTCACATAATTCTGGAGGCCGAGGAGGCCAGCATCTGTGGGCCGCAAGCTGGAGACCCAGGAAAGCCAGTGCTTGCAGTTCAGCCTGAGCCTGGAGGCTGAGAGCCGGGGAGCTGGTGGTGTGACTTCCAGTCCGCGTCTGAAGAAGGCCTGGGGAGAAGGCAGTGCGAGAAGGCAGTGCTTCTGTAAGTCCTGGGCTCTGAGGGCCTGGGAACCTGGATAGACAGGATTCAAGGGACAAAGAAGATGAATGTCCCAGCTCAGGAAGTGGGAGGATTTGCCCTTCGTCGGCCTTTTCGTTCTCCTCGAGCCCTCAGTGGACTGGATGACTCCTGCCTGCGGGTGAGGCTGGCTCTTCTTTACTAATTTAAATGCTCATCTCTCGTAGAACACCCTCACAGACACACCCAGGAACAGTGTTTTACCAGGTCTGTGGCCATCCCTTGGCCCCGTCACACTGACATACAGAATTTACCATCGTGCTTGGGAAATCTCAGCTTCTCAACTGGTGTCATTGCTGTTGCCCTGGCAGCTGCCCTGAGAAGAGCTGGGTTTGACCAGCAGACTGCGGGCATCTCCTCATCAGAAGGCCCCACTCTCAGAGCAGAACCAGTTGGGAGCTTTCTGAGGGATACCACCAGCAACGATGAGCATAATTCTCATCCGGAGGCCAGGAGGCCTGGGTGTGCCTTGGCAGAGAAGTGCAGGTGGGTAGTGAGCGGGGCCTCCCTCCCGCAACCACTGAGCAGCCTCCATGTGCATCCTTTGCAGGGAGGAACAAGCCCCAAACGCAGACTCTCATGTGTGTAAAACACAAGCAGTTCTCCCCAGGGAGGCCGAGGGTCCTATGCCGGCCCAGAGATGGGGAAAAGGGTTTATTTGTGGATGAAAAGAGACCAAAATGCAGTCTGGAAAGAAGGGAATCAGGACAGACACTGGGAAGGGTCTTTCTGTCTCAGGCACGCTATGCAGCTGGAAACAACAGGCCTGCCCTGGTGCTGATGGCATCACTCCCCAGCACCTGGGCCCCCTGAGCTCTGCTCACTTTCAGAGTCAGAACTGACCCCTCATTGAACATAAGGCTCAAAGATCTCCTGTGGGAATGACTGTTTCCAAATATTATTGTCCAACTATACTAAGAATATGCAAATCCAGGCTGGGTGCAGTGGCTCATGCCTGTAATCCCAACACTTTGGGAGGCCGAGGTGGGCAGATTGCTTGAGCCCAGGAGTTCAAGACCAGCCTGGACAACATGGCAAAACCATACCTCTACAAAAACATACAAAAATTAGCTGGGCACGGTGGCTCACACCTGTAGTCCCAGCTACTTGCGGGAGGCTGAGGTGGGAAGATCACTTGAGCCAGAGAAGTCACGGCTGCAGTTGAGCTGTGACTGTGCCACTGCTCCTCAGCCTGGGTAACAAAGTGAGACCCTATCTCAAAAAAAAAAAAAAAAAAGCAAATCCACTTTGTAAATGATGAATGTTTTAGGGGAAAAAAACTTCAGTTCTCCCGCTGACAATTAGGTTACGCATGTCATGGCTTACAGAGATTGTAGAAGCTCCAAGCCAAAGCCTTGCCCCGCCTCAGGAACGGGAGGTGGTCTGCACAGACCAGGAACCAGTTTGTGCGGGAGCCCCTGTCCCTCATGTTGTCTTTATTGTAGGTCACGTGTCTTCCTCTGACATTTTCCCTCCTAAATCCAATTGATTTCCTTGAAATCCAATTAACCTGGAGTGAGCAATTTGGTTAATCAAACATTCTCAGCCTTGAGCAGCCAGTACATTCCAAAGCTTAGTAATAATCGGAGAGAAGAATCCTCCAAAAGAAGAGCAAACATCCACATGGTGAACATACTTCCCCAAGTCAAGCACCCAAGCTGCATGAGGCCACCGCACCATAAAGTTTCTTAAAGAATAATAACTTTAGGGAACAAGACCCTTCAGTAATGAAGCCCTCAAGCCTGTGATCTCTGTCTTAGTCCATTTGTGATGCTATACCAAAACACCTGAGACTGGGTCATTTATAAATAATAAAAATTTTCACAGTTCTGGAGGCTGGCAAGTCCAAGAGCAAGACTTGATGTCTGACGAGGGCCTGGTTTCTGTTGCCAGATGGTGCCTTGAACACTGTGTCCTCATATGGCAGACGGGCAAAGGGCTGAATGCTCTCTGAAGCCTGGCTTCTAAGGGCAGGATGGTAGAGCCTTATGATTCAATCACCTCCTCAAGGCCCCACCTCTTAATACGGTTGCACTGGGGATTAAGTTTCAACATGAATTGTGGAGGGAACACAAACGTTTAAGCCACAGTAATCCCAAAGGGGAATCATCTTACCCCACTGGGGAGAGCTGTCATGCAACTTTTCAGATTTGACTTTCAGAAGCACAGTCTTTGACCAGAGCTGGTGGAATGGACAGAACTGCCAGTCTTCAAACAGAACAAGGATCGTGGTGGGTGCCCAAGCTCCTCCTGAGCACCCCTTCCCAGCATCCCAGGTCCCACCTTTCCCCCACAGCATTCGGTGTGGGCCCAATGAGGAATGGATCCCCTGGGTCACAGTGTAGGACTGTGCCTTCCCCGGAAAGCCCGGTGTCCTAGAGCCCAGGAAAGTGTTCTAGGGTGCGGCACAGTCAGAAAAACAGAGAGGAGTTGATGATAGCCAGAGGGTTTCACCCCAGGAGGCACAGCCTACACCAACCTCAGAACTGCACAGAGGTTCTTTAATAAGTAGCCAGTCCTGGCATTGTCCACTCAAAATGTTCCACCTGAACTTACAGTGAACCCAGACTCCTTATTTGCCCTATGGGTCCTTCCCCATCTGACCTTCACCTGCTCCTCTTCATCCTCCCCTCCCAGCTCACTCCTCCCACTCATGTCCAGCCAGGCTGTTCTTTCTTCCCTACTATTGTAGGTTTGCCCAGCCAGTCCCAGCCTCAGGGCCTGTGCACTTGCCCTTTCCTGGCCTAAAATGTACACCACTCCCGAACCCCCAGTCACATGTGACTGAGTCCCTCTGATCTTTCTGCTACTGCCCAGATTTCATCTGCACAAGAGGTCTTTCCTGCTCACCTGAACATTCACTCTTCCCCATAGACACTCACTTTCCCTAATTCTATTCCTAGCACCTGTCACTATTGGAATTTTTCATTTCTTTTTTGTTTATTGTCTGTCTTCCCTACTTAGGATCTACATTCCATGAGGGTAGGTGTGATGGTTAATACTGAGTGTCCACTTGATTCGATTGAAGGATGTAAAGTATTGATCCTGGGTGTGTCTGTGAGGGTGTTGCCAAAGGAGATTAGCATTTGGGTCAGTGGGCTGGGACAGGCAGACCCACCCTTAATCTGGGTGGGCACCATCTAATCAGCTCCTAGAATACAAAGCAGGCAGAAAAACATGAAAAGACTAGACTGGCTTAGCCTCCCAGCCTGCATCTTTCTCCTGTGCTGGATGCTTCCTGCCCTGGAACATCGGACTCCAAGTTCTTCAGCTTTGGGACTCAGACTGGCTTCCTTGCTCCTCAGCTTACAGATGGCCTATTGTGGGACTTTGTGATCGTGTGAGTTAATACTACTTAATATATCTACCCTATTAATTCTGTCCCTCTAGAGAACCCTGACTAATATGGTAGGGAATGAATTCGTCATGTTCATTTCTGTATTCCCTGTCGCTAGGACAGTAATAAATATTTGCTGCATGATGACTGAATGAATAACTAACGGATAGCCCCACACAGGCCTGTGCACACCTGCTCTTCTTGGAGACCTTTGACATAAAATTCTCAGTTCTCATCTGCAAAATCACAGTGCCCAAAGAACTTTAATTCATTTCCTGCAAGCCCTCTGGATACTGGGGTAGAAATTCCTGCAGCGAACCTGAACCTCTACTTACTTTTTCCTTCTCATACTCTGCCCTTCCCCTGCCCCGAGAGTCAGCACCTCAGGGCTGTGTGTGACCCACCAAGAAGAGAGGAGGAAAGGAAACACTCAGGAAAGTGGGAGATGCGGGGGTTGCTGTGCAGTGCAGGAGCCCACGGGGAAGGGGCTGTAGTCATGAGTTTAAAGGAAATGGATGAGCAAATGGATGAGCAAATGAGTGCTCAGCAAGATGGAGGAAACAGAAAGCCAGATCCGCCCAGGGTGCGGCCCCCAGTGCAGGGGTGGTAGGAGGCTCTCAGGCAAGGGCTTGGTCGGCATCTGTGGGATCTGAGCTGGACAGGGTAAAAACCAAGGATCCAAGACAACTTAGGTGGGTGAGGCAGAAGGACCCTCAGGACCCTCAGTGCAGTTGGGGGTCAGAGGGCCAGTGATAGGGACAAGAGGGTGAGAAGCTCCGAGGAGAGCCAGCGGTGGGCATCAGGGGCTGCCTATGCCTGTGGGATCAGAGGCGCAGCAGTGCAGGGGGTGCCAGGGCTGGGCCAGGCGAGGCCAGGCCACGGGTGACTCGAGTGGAGTGGAGGTGAGAATCTTCAGATCACAGTCACGGAGAGGGAGGTCAGAGCAATGCACCAGTCATTCACAGGGATGCCAGGGTCCAGGACAATGGAAGGACATGGAATACAGGAGAACCCTGCAAGAAAAGGGGCGAATGCGTCTTGGGGAGAGGACAGCTACTAGGAAGGCTGGAAGTGACCCAGAAAACTGTCATGAGGCTCACAGGAGCAGGGCACTTCCCTGAGTGGAGGCAGCCATCAGGGACAGGAAAACCCATCCTGCTCTTTGACCTGTGCAGCCTTCACCAGGGAGGAAAGGGCAAGCTGTAGTCTCTACTGGAGACAGGTGTTAGGGAATGAGGAGCATGTTACAGGTCCTTCTGGGGACAGACTAAGCATTTAGTGGCCTGTATTAGGGTTGTCTAACTGCTGCACCCACCAACCCCAAATCTTAGGCTCCACGCAATACAGTTGTGTTTCTTGCTCCTGTCACAGAGCAGTCAAGGGTTTGAGGGTGGCCTTCCACAGGGGGATTCAGGGATCCAAGCCACTTCTGCTGGAGGCTCTGCGTCTGGTCAGGAGTTGAGGGAAGAGAAATCACAGAGAATAGGAGGGTGGTCTTAGAGTTCAGGCCTGCAAGTGGCACACATCACTCTATCCACTTTTTTTTTCCTTTTGAAACAGGGTCTCATTCTGTCATCCAAGTTGTTGTGCAGTGACGTGATCTCGGCTCATTTCAGTCTTAACCTCCTGGACACAAGTGATCCTCCAGCCTCAGCTCCCCTAAGTAGCTGGAACTATTGGCACGCATGCCACTACACCTGGCTAATTTTTGTATTTTTAGTAGAGATGGGGTTTCATCATGTTGCCCAGGCTGGTCTTGAACTCTTGCTGGTCTTGAACTCCTGGATTCAAGCAATCCACCCACCTTGGTTTCCTAAAGTGTTGGGATTATAGGTGTGAGCCACCACGCCCGGCCGATGCCAAGCTAATTTTTAAACATTTTTTGATAGAAATGAGGTCTCATTTTGTTGCCCTTGCTTGTCTCAAACTCCTGGCCTCAGTCCTCCTGCCTCAGCCTCCCGCAACGCTGGGATTATGGGTCTGAGCCACTGCACCTGGCCTCTCCGTATTTCTATGATTCTCAATATTCCCATGGACGGCTGTGACCCAGTCAGTCTGCACTCTCAGGAGGACATCTGCTCAGATAAAAGCCCAGTTCAGGGGCTCTGTCTTCAGGATCCCAAAGAAACTTGAGGCTTCTCCATGAGGGGAAAAAGTAGTGGGCTGAGGTGATTCTAGTTTATCCTTCTATAAAAATCTTTACCCACAGAATGGGACGCTGTGCAGTCATTAACTAGAACGATAAATACTTACATTCAGAAACAGAAAAGTGCCTGTAACGTTGTGCTGGCTTGTAAGAACAGAGAATAGAGTTCATGTAAAATGAGAGACACACACAAATACTTCTCTAGGCATCTGTGCATATGTATCTGCAAGAATGTTCACTGAAATGTCACCACCGGAATCACAGAATGTCTCCTTCATTCTCAGTACTTTTACAATTTATACTATCTGCTCAGAAGATCTCCTTTATATAAAGATAAACAAAAAGAAGAAAAGCCACACAAAAAATGTGTGAGAAACAAACTAAAAATCTCCAAACCCCAGTTCACCAAGAAAAAAAAAGTGACCCAAACTGTAAGCAAACTAACGGTCAGGGTTTTTAAACTCAGGCTCAGCTCTGAGAGGCATGTTGTTAGGGGCGCAGTCTCGTGCCTCTGTTAATTCCACAGCTCATTTAGCGGCAAACTTGCCCGCAGTATATCTCCATAGAAATGGAACCCACAGGCACTGGCAACTGGAGGATGTAATTATCGGAGGACATGGCAAACTCTGGAGGCTGAGAGAAGGAGTTCTCACACCAACAAGAAAGGTGAGCCTGGGGTCTTCAAAGGCAGCACGCCCAGGGCCTGCCACGTGGCCTCCTAGCGGGCACACTTCAGGGCTGGGTGAGAAATGCTTGGAAACCTGGGTGCTCCCTCCTGCGTAGCTTATAAAAGCCACCCTAGGTCCTGCTCCTTAAGGAGAGGTGACGGGGACGGGGAAGAAGCCAGGCAGGGAGGGCAAGGGTTCAGACCAGGCCAATGCTCGCCGCCTCCATCTTCCGTCCGACACTGCTGCTCTGCTGGCTGGCTGCTCCCTGGCCCACCCAGCCCGAGAGTCTCTTCCACAGCCGGGACCGCTCGGACCTGGAGCCGTCCCCACTGCGCCAGGCCAAGCCCATTGCCGACCTCCACGCTGCTCAGGTAGGAGGAAGCTGGAAGAACAGCAATACCCCCAGGCCCGTGCACGTGCACACAGGCACATGCGCACGCGCGCACAGGCACAGGCCAGGATGCCGGCTGTGCAGAGGCAGAGAAGGGCCAGGCAGGCTGGGCTGAGAGGGAGGAGTGGCTCCTGTGGCTCCTATTGGAACAACCATGAATCGATGCTTAACCTGATTCGACAATCCCACAGGTCAGCCCTAGTGAGAAAGAAATGTCAGTGCGCAGACAACAGACTCAAATGCCAAGTGCCTTTCCAAAGGCAAGCATGTGATACTGTAGTGGCCAAGGCACTGTCCGAAGGCATTCTGTGGCTGCTCACCATGCCAATCTCTGGATGTAGAGAAGGGGACAGCCCTGCAAGGTTCCCCAACACCGCAATAGTAAGGATCCTAACAGCTGTCTGGGGTGGCATCCGTGGACTTCACCGGAGTCTGTGGTGAAGCACCCAGGAGGTCCAATGCAGGCGATCCCCTCCTCCAGAGAGTCGTGGTGGCGGGCAGGGAGTGGACCCATGAGGCCCCTTCACCTGCTCTGGCACGTGGTCCTTTGGTCACCATAGGCCAGGAGCTGATGCTCAGGGTCAAGTCCAATCCCCAGCTCCCACAGTGCCCCAGAGGCCAGGGCAGGGAGCAGGAGAGCCGCCCTGTGGCCAGGCCCGCAGCCGCGTGGAGGCCGCTGACCTCCCTCCCGCTGTGCGGCCATGAGGAAGCCCCCCAGGTCCTCAGACCCAACCACTGCCAAGCCCCTCAGTTCCAATTCCCAGCTCTCAGGACGTGCCTCCCATGGCTTTCTCTGCGGTGTGGCCACGCCCGGACTTCCTTGGCACCCCCCACCTGCCCCGCACGACCTGCCCTGCGCGACCTGCCCCGCAAGGCCGGGGGGAGCGTCTTCCTCCCCCGCGACCTCTTACCTCCTCCCGGCACTCGCCCACCCCGCTGCCCAGGTCTCCTGCTCCTCCGGCCCTAGGGCGCCTCTGACTCAGCCTGGTGCCCATCCAGGGCCCGCACTCAGGAAGGCGCCCAGGACTCGCTCCTTCTCTCCTGTCTACCTCTCTCCTGTCTCTGTCTCTCACTGCCGCTCTCTCTGTATCTCTATCTCTCTCTGTCTTCCTGTTTCTATTGCTATCTCCATCTGTTTCTCCCTGTCTGTCTCTCTGCTTCTCTCTGTCTCTGTCTCTATCCCCATGTCTCTGTCTCTCTAGACTTTGGGGCAGGGCAGCCCGGGAGGGCCCCGAGCGAGGCGGCCCAGATTAGGGTGCCTTTCTCTCCCACAGCGGTTCCTGTCCAGATACGGCTGGTCAGGGGTGTGGGCGGCCTGGGGGCCCAGTCCCGAGGGGCCGCCGGAGACCCCCAAGGGCGCCGCCCTGGCCGAGGCGGTGCGCAGGTTCCAGCGGGCGAACGCGCTGCCGGCCAGCGGGGAGCTGGACGCGGCCACCCTAGCGGCCATGAACCGGCCGCGCTGCGGGGTCCCGGACATGCGCCCACCGCCCCCCTCCGCCCCGCCTTCGCCCCCGGGCCCGCCCCCCAGAGCCCGCTCCAGGCGCTCCCCGCGGGCGCCGCTGTCCTTGTCCCGGCGGGGTTGGCAGCCCCGGGGCTACCCCGACGGCGGAGCTGCCCAGGCCTTCTCCAAGAGGACGCTGAGCTGGCGGCTGCTGGGCGAGGCCCTGAGCAGCCAACTGTCCGTGGCCGACCAGCGGCGCATTGTGGCGCTGGCCTTCAGGATGTGGAGCGAGGTGACGCCGCTGGACTTCCGCGAGGACCTGGCCGCCCCCGGGGCCGCGGTCGACATCAAGCTGGGCTTTGGGAGAGGTAAGAGCACCCCGGGCTCCCTGCCTGCCCGACCCAGCCCCTCGGGGACCCCGGCGCACCTACCCCCACCTCGGCCACCTGCAGAATGGGGGGCTAAGCCCTCCCGGCCTGTCCCGGGGGCACCTGTCAGCGGGGCAGGCAGAAGCCACCGGTCAGCGTCGTCTTGTCGGAATCATGGTCACCCTGCAGATAGCCTGGTGTGGCCTACTGGGACACTAGGGCCGGCCCTGGGCACAGGCTGCTGCCCGGGCTGCTCCTCAAAGTCCCACTCGGGCCCCCTGCCTGTGCCTCCAGCTTCCCTAGGGAGCAGCAGCTGGGGTCTCAGGACAGGGCAGGGTCAGGCACAAGTTGCCACCACCTCCGTCTTACAATTGGACAAATGCGGGACAAAATACCTTGGACGTCTAGCAACAGAAGTGTTTTTAAGGGGCAGACCAAGCAGAAGAGGATCACTGCCACCTGAAATTGGGTGCTGGCGTCCCCAGGAATCCGGTCTTGGCCTAGACTCAAGGATGGGTGGGATCTGGGATACCCACAAAAAGGCACCCAGAATGGAGAGTGGGTGAGGGCATGGAAGTGGTCAGAGACAAGCAGCAAGCAGACAAGCCGCTTTGCAGCCCCATCTGTGACCCGGGGGTGCTCAGGGCTGTCTTCTGGTCTCACTGGGTTAATGTCCCAGGGTGAGAAGTATAGGGACACGGTTGGCTGAAAAAGACAAATTTTAAGGGACCCAGCTTTCAATATTTCACGACCTCCGCAGAGGCGAGGATCCGGCCCCGATCTTGTCCGGGTGAGGCCTTTTTGCCATCTTCCCAGGCCCCCAGCCGGGCTCTCACCCAGCCCCGCTCCCCTCTGCTCCCAGGCACTTGGTGCCTGCTGGTCTCTGACAGTCTGTGGACTGTAAACACAGTTTACAAACAAACCGTCTCCCACCCTCCGCACATTGAGGACTTAATCCAGGAGCT
The DNA here is from genome assembly GCF_000001405.40 of Homo sapiens. Classification (NCBI taxonomy): domain Eukaryota; kingdom Metazoa; phylum Chordata; class Mammalia; order Primates; family Hominidae; genus Homo; species Homo sapiens. The sequence goes on along the minus strand of NC_000010.11, from coordinate 125,772,865 downwards.
GCCACTCTGTCTACCTCTGCTGCCGGCTCCTGGAGGCTGGGGACCCCCTAGGTGAGGAGTCTGTATGGGGGGCACTCATCCTTCACCGGGACCAACTCCTCCTCCCCCTCGCCAGGCCGGCACCTGGGCTGTCCGCGGGCCTTCGATGGGAGCGGGCAGGAGTTTGCACACGCCTGGCGCCTAGGTGACATTCACTTTGACGACGACGAGCACTTCACACCTCCCACCAGTGACACGGGCATCAGCCTTCTCAAGGTCAGTGGTCCTGAGCCACTGTGTTGATAAGACACCAGCAGTGCTCATGGGCTGACGTCCAAAAAGTCCAAGCTTTTCTCATGTAGTGTCCGCAACCTCTGAGGAGGTGAATCCGTGGAATGGCTCCCCAGTTCCACCGGTGCTCCCCTCTTCACAAGCAACGCTCCTCTCGAAGCACAGGCCTGCGTCTGTTATGCAGGGATCCATCGCCCAGGCTTCACCCAGCACCCATGGTGTGTGTCCCCTTCTAGGTGGCCGTCCATGAAATTGGCCATGTCCTGGGCTTGCCTCACACCTACAGGACGGGATCCATAATGCAACCAAATTACATTCCCCAGGAGCCTGCCTTTGAGTTGGACTGGTCAGACAGGAAAGCAATTCAAAAGCTGTATGGTAAGACTGCTGCGGAGGGCATCCCTGAGCTAGCGGAGGACACTGTATTCCAGAGCACTGTAGGACCCCGCTCACTCCTCACTGGGAAACTGGGCCTAAGAGCGCAACGTTGTACAACTCATGTCACCCAAGGGTAGCCACCCTCTAGCTCCCTGATGCCATTCTCTCAGTTAAAAAGTGGTTTTGCCCAGTCGACAGCCAGTCCCTCCTGTGTCCTCTCTCACCACATGCATTTCCCAGGAGGACAGTGAATGCGGGGTGGTTTTCTCAACACAAGCGGGCCCCCAACCCGTGCTGTGGCATCCCACCAGAGACGCACACACTGGAAGCCCTGGGAGTTTACTGCAATCCCAAAAAACTGAGCTTAGCCTGGCCAGGATAAGCTCCAATCTCTATTTAGAATCGTTCAGGCCAAACGTTCTAGTGGTTGATTATTTAATTAAAGTGGTTAGTGATTTAGTACCGAGGCCCAAGGGAAGAAAGCTGTCCTCCTCTTTTCCATTCAAAGGTCCCTAGGCCGGGCACAGTGGCTCATGCCTGCAATCCCAGCACTTTGGGAGGCCAAGGTGGGCGGATTCTTGATGTCAGAAGTTCGAGACCAGCCTGGCCAACATGTTGAAACCCTTTCTCTACCATAAATACAAAAATTAGCCGGACATGGTGGCACACGCCTGTAATCCCAGCTACTTGGGAGGCTGAGGCAGGAGAATTGCTTGAACCCATGAGGTGGAGGTTGCAGTGAGCCAAGATTGCACCACTGCACTCCAGCCTGGGTGACAGAGCGAGACTCCATCTCAAAAAAAAAAAAAAATAGTCCCTAACAGAGACCACCCCATTTCTGTTCTCACATCCCCCCATTCTCAGCACTCTGTGTCTTTGGAGACAACAACAGCCAGGACACACGGACTTGCCCCAGTGGAAATCTTACTCTTACATGAGCCCAGAATCAAACTTCTTCCCTCTAATGAAGTCAAACTGCCATCAAGGTGTCAAGGGAGGCATTCAGTAGCTATATTTAGGGTGGTCAACCGTACATAACTTCACAACCAAACTGAGATGCTTCTGAGAGTGGCCTGGGGCACTGTGAAGAATGAAGCCAGGATGTGCCTGTGAACCAGGACTGTAGCAGGCAGCCTGGCACCTCCAGCTCCCTCTGCGCACCACCTCAATCTGTTTTTTTTTCTTTTCAAGATAGGGTCTCACTCTATCGCCCAAGCTGGAGTGTAGTGGACTGATCTCAGCTCACTGCAGCCTCAACTTCTCAGGCTCAAGCAATCCTCCCACCTCAGCTTCCCAAGTAACCTGTGCCAAGGGACCACAGGCACGTGCCACCATGCCCGGCTACTTTTTGTATTTTTTTTTTTTTTTGTAGACACTGGGTTTCACCATGTTGCCCAGGCTGGTCTTGAACTCAAGCAATCCTCCTGTCTCGGTCTCCCAAGGTGCTGGGATTACAGGCATGCGCCACTGCACCTGGCCCCACTTCAGCCTTACATGGTGTCTTGCTTTAAGGTGTTTTTATAGAAAGCCCCAGCTTTGCAACTGTCTTCATTCAAGTCACATATGAAAATATAAGTTTTGCACCATGTATGTGACAAGTGGCTGTTTTTTGTTTGTTTTTTTAAGGCTCCTGTGAGGGATCATTTGATACTGCGTTTGACTGGATTCGCAAAGAGAGAAACCAATATGGAGAGGTGATGGTGAGATTTAGCACATATTTCTTCCGTAACAGCTGGTACTGGCTTTATGAAAATCGAAACAATAGGACACGCTATGGGGACCCTATCCAAATCCTCACTGGCTGGCCTGGAATCCCAACACACAACATAGATGCCTTTGTTCACATCTGGACATGGAAAAGAGATGAACGTTATTTTTTTCAAGGTACAGATTCTTCATGGATGGTTCTATTTCTCTCATTAAACGAATGCACTCAGAAGGAATGTCTTGAGCCCCTACCAAGGAATCTGTTGTAATGCTCTTGTCATTACTTGCTTAATTTCTGTCTGCTCCATCAGACTGGAAGCTCTGAGGGCACAAGGATTGGGTTGTATTCCATTTTTTTTGTTTCTGAGACAGAGTTTCACTGTTACCCAGGCTGGAGTGCACAATCACGGCTCACTACAGCCTTGACCTCCCGGGCTCAAGTGCTGTTCCCACCTCAGCCTCCTGAGTAGCTGGGACCACAGGCACGCACCACTACACCTGGCTTAATTAAAACAATTTTTTTTTTTTAGAGATGGGGTCTCACTATGTTGCCCAGGCTAGTCTTGAACTCCTGGCTTCAAGCCGCTTTCCCACCTTGGCCTCTCAAAGTGTTGGGATTACAGGTGTGAACCACTGCACCCAGGCCCTGATCTTTTTAAGACGGCACTAAGTCACCGAATGAGTGAATGAACTTTCCTAGGTACTAAGGTGGCTGCCAAAAAACTGTAAGAAAGGGCCCTGCCCTGCAGGAGTTTTAATCTGGTTCTGGAGGGAAAAAAAAATACCTTGGACATCTAGCAACAGAAGTGTTTTTAAGGGGCAGACCGAGCAGAAGAGGTGATCACTGCTACCTGGAATTGGGTGCTGGCGCCCCCAGGAATCAGGTCGTGGCCTAGACTCAAGGATGGGTGGGATCTGGGATGCCCAGAAAAAGGCACCCAGAATGGAGAGTGGATGAGGGCATGGAAGTGGTCAGAGACGAGCAGCAGAAGCGAAGCCGTGGGGTTGGGAGTGAAAAAGCCACAGAGCTGTGAGACTGGGGTCCATCAAAGCTGGTGACAGACTTACCCGGGATGAGGTCAGGCTAGAAAGGCGGGTTGGCCCAACCACGGAGGGCCTCGAATGCCAGGGTCGGGGCTGGACTTCACTGAGCAGGCCACGAGCCATCAATGGCAATTGCTCAACATGGAAGGTCAGTGTTTTGCTGGAAGACAGAGACTGATGTGATGGAGCCTGGGGGGTCATGGGGAACACACCAAGAAAGGCAGGTCTGGGACTCTTACTGCCGCTGCTCCTTATTCACACCCGGTCTCATCCAGTACCCTGGACCCGGTGCACGAGGCACGCTGCCTTTGCAAAACCAGACAGCACAGAGTCCGATCATAAACATGATTTTGGGGTCACTGCTTTTTCCTTCCCCTTTCCTACCCAGAGACAAGTTGTGTAGCCCCTCTGCCTGAATCCTGGTAATATAACCATAGGGCTTTAAATTGCTCAAAAAGACTTAACAAGGTGAGAGCCAAACTGAATGAACTTTATATGCAAATTTTACCATAAGGATCCTGTATATAAATCTGGTCTCAGTTTTCCTTCATATCACACAAAGGAAGAATTATTTCAGTTACATAAAAAAACTGACTTACAGCTGACTTTTATAGTTCAGGTCTTTCAGAGTTGGAAGCACATCTTTCAGGGTTTTAAGAAGTCCCAGACTAGAATTTATGTTGGCAACACTCAAAGAATCATAATTATAGATTTAGGTCATCATAGGGTAACTGCTACAATACAGCTGTATTTTATTCTTGGAGCTTTAAAAACATCTTAATTTGCTATGAATATTTTGGATTAAAAGAAATTCCTGTTAGAGTGAACTGCATCTCTAACTGGATGAACGTCACACTGTTAATGGTGAAATTTTCCAAGTATATTAAATATTTGGTTGCTAAGGAACGTACTGCTTGGGGTGTTCTGTGAACTGTGAACACCAAAGCATCTAAGTGGATCTAGTCTATTCTGTTGGCAAGATGCCAAATATCCAGGATTAGGAACTAACAAGAAGCAGCTAAAATAAGCTTCTACTGATTTAGAGCACGAAATGAGCATCTGAACTCTGAAACAAAATGGAGCAAAGTTCCATTTCACAGGACAGTGGGGAGCCTCTCTGGAGTGGCATTTGAGAGTCCTGGCTTGCATTCCTGGCTCAGCCTAGGCTGTCTGAATGTGGACCAGTCACTTCAGCTCTCTACTCCAGTGTCCTTATTTGTAAGATGGGCGTGGTGGTGGGACTAGGGGACTCTAAAACACTCAAGGTATAATCCACTGATAAGGATCATGATTTCTTCAGTAAAAAAAGAACTTAGATTGATTAGGATACGAAAGTGATTCCAAGCCTTGGGCCACTAACATTAAAAGGAACATCTTTAGACTATAAAGGAAGAAGAAAAAAACATTAAGATACTAAGGTAAAAATGACATGATTTTTGCTGTTTTGTTTTTGCTTTTGATGAGAGCCGGGAGGATGATGTTCATGGGGCAGGGTTTGCTTTGGTGTGAAAGGCAACCAGCATTCCAACTGCAGCAGTGACGGCCAAGAAAAATGCACTTCCTGGGTTAAATGTAAGAGTAATTCAAGACGCGGGGAAATGGCGGAGTGGAGGCTTCACTCAGATGCCGAAAGCCCCGTTTTCTCCTAGAATCATGGCAACACATTGTACAGGATTGGCTGAGACCTAGATTGAAAACTGTCCTTTTTGTCACGTGATTTAATAGTAATAAACCACATGAACGTATTTTGTTTGGCTCTCAGGAAATCAATACTGGAGATATGACAGTGACAAGGATCAGGCCCTCACAGAAGATGAACAAGGAAAAAGCTATCCCAAATTGATTTCAGAAGGATTTCCTGGCATCCCAAGTCCCCTAGACACGGCGTTTTATGACCGAAGACAGAAGTTAATTTACTTCTTCAAGGAGTCCCTTGTAAGTAGAAGGCTCTTCAGCCTAGCAATGCTTCTGTCATCCCTAATAGAGATTCGTCAGATGACCAAGTTCATATTTAAAAGCTGTACTTGGCCTGCCACAGTGGCGCATGCCTGTAATCCCGCACTTTGGGAGGCCAAGGTGGGCGGATCGCTTAAGCCCAGGAGTTTGAGACCAGTCTGGGCAACATGGTGAAACCCATGTTTCGGTCTCAACAAAAAATACAGAAATTATCCAGGTGTGGTGGCACGTGCCTGTGTTCCCAGCTGCCTAGGAGGCTAAGGCAAGAGGATCACTTGAGCCTGGGAGGTTGAGGCTGCAGTGAGCTGTGATTGCACCACTTGCACTCCAGTCCAGCCTGGGCAAGAGTGAGACCGGGCCCAAAAAAAAAACAAAAAACGTGTACTCACTTCAGATCTAAATAGCAATGGCAGAGCATGATGGAAAATTAAGAAGTTCAAGTCTAAAGAATTTGGTACAAAGTCTTGAGTTACTTATCTCATTGTTATAAATTAACCAAAAAATATTAATAATTTTCAGAAGAGCCAGTCTATCTTATTTGCTTTGCAGGTATTTGCATTTGATGTCAACAGAAATCGAGTACTTAATTCTTATCCAAAGAGGATTACTGAAGTTTTTCCAGCAGTAATACCACAAAATCATCCTTTCAGAAATATAGATTCCGCTTATTACTCCTATGCATACAACTCCATTTTCTTTTTCAAAGGCAATGCATACTGGAAGGTAGTTAATGACAAGGACAAACAACAGAATTCCTGGCTTCCTGCTAATGGCTTATTTCCAAAAAAGTTTATTTCAGAGAAGTGGTTTGATGTTTGTGACGTCCATATCTCCACACTGAACATGTAATAAGAAAAAGTAGGAAATGGAGGGTCATAGGACTTCGCTAAAATTCTGATACTGTTTACAAAGAAAACCGGATTTTCAGTAGCTGAAGAAAATATGGCACTGTAAGTTAAAACCCAATGGGAAAAGCCTTAGTTGAACTTTTAAAATACTTGATTTAAAAACAATTGCTCAGGCAAAACATAATTCATAAACTAAAAGGTTTAAAAAAACAAAAAAACAAAAACTAAGCATCCAATGATCTTTGCCTGCTTTCTACTCTGTGGGGCTCTGCCCATCCCAACTGCTTGGCCACCTGATGGGAGTTGGAAGGGCGGCCAGAGCCCTGGGTCAAGCTGTCAAGGAAGGAGATGCCACAGAGATGATTTTACTGAGGGATTTAATGGGAAAGTCACAGGATTCAAATAAATTGCCCTCCACAGTCCCTGTCAGAATGACATTTCTCTAAACACAGTGTACAAAAGGTTTTCATGTGTATTTCTCTCTTGATCTTCACAACTCTGTCAGCGTGGCAGGATGGATACTACTGTACACATTTCCAGTCATATTAGCCAAAGTTCATCTGTTTGTATCCTGCCAAAAGTCAAACCCAGTGGTAGCTCTGGGTCCTCATCTCCAAATCCCAGCCCAGGGCCCTCTGCACTTCCTCTGTGTCACTGTGGTGGTCTCGGGCCCTGCAGTGAGTTGCACCCTCTTGTTTGAACACACAGGCCTGCAACCCAAATGGCCCTGAACAGAACAGCTTTCCTGGTTCACTATAATTCATTTAGTGTTCTCTCCTACCACTTTACATGACAGTTTACTTAGGTTCTAAAGACCAGACTACCAAAAGGAGACTCTTGAAGCTAGCTGGATAATTTTATTTCTCCAATATCAGTTATATCTAGGATAGGCATTATATCCCTTTAACTCTTACATAATATGGCTATTAACTCTTAACCCAAACAAAAACCCAATGTCATTTGTAATGATGTGAACAAAATCTGAAATTAACTGAAATGGATTCAGTAGCCTCAATGATCAGGCCACAAATACCAAATTTCTTCTTCTAAAGGAATAGCTAAAACACAGGTACTTCAGGAAATTTTAAGTTAAAAACAGCAAGTTACAAATGTATTTTATAAGGATCTTTATTCCCCCCTGTAGGAACTTTCATGTTATTGCTTTGACAAAGGAAGATAACTAGAATTTATTCTTACTTGCTTCAGAACAAATTTTCCTCGTGACTGAAAGGTTGTTTCAACCAAGGAGAGGGGCTGGGAGGAAAGATAAGCATCTCTCATACCCCTAATCCCAGCTCATTCCTACCTAAGTAGGAACATCCTTTTGAATTCATTAACCCAAAAGATACTATATCATCTTTCATTATAATCAACAGAAGTGTCTAGGTTTATCTAGCAGGGCAAAGACAGTTTTATGATGTGTGTACACTTGCTACAAGGGGAAACGGAATGACAGTGGTCCTGAAATGAAACATTGCTGAATTCGTACAACTGCTTTACAATTTAGGCAAAACTTTAAATGTTTCAGTGATTAATTGTTGCAAACCGATACAAATCTGTTCCAGGGAAAATGCAAACTAAGTAAACAACAACCAAGTGGACAAATGGCAAGAGAGAATTCTGCTAAGCTATGATGGATGTTAACTCACTGTTAGTAGGCTGGGTGTGGTGGCTCACGCCTATAATCCCAGCACTTTGGGAGGCCGAGGCAGGTGGATCCCTTGAGCTCAGGAGTTCGAGACCAGCTTGGGCAACATGGCAAAACCCTGTCTCTACTAAAAATACAAAAAATTAGCCAGGCGTGGTGGTGCACACCTGTAGTCACAGCTACTTGGGAGGCTGAGCTGGGAGGATCCCTTAAGCCTGGGAGGCAGAGGTTGCAGTAAGCTGAGATTGTGCCACTGCATTCCAGCCTGGGTGACAGTGAGACCCTGTCTCAAAACAAACAAAAAAATCTCAGCCAATGAAAACACCTGAAAATCTCTGTAAAAGAGAAAGAAGTCTCTTTTACATCATAGCTCTGTAAAAATTCGGCTTAAAACTAGGTCTTCTAGACAGTTTTCTAGTATAGTTGGAATTCCTTCAGAGGTCTGGCTGGTGTGGGAGCGGGTTCTGGCCACCATGGAGGGCCTGCAGGGAGCTGGCCGAATCTCCAGTGCACCTGCCCCCAGGCCTACGCAGCAGACCTACCTACAATGGTGTCATGCACAGAAGTCCAGACCTTCACCTCACCTCGAAAGAGCCTGTTTTATCTGTTACACTGTCTTGAAATTGAAAATATGAATTATGAACGAAAACAGCCTTGTGCACTGTAGCCATTACAAAGAACAGGGGATGTTTGTGTGTAACTGGACAAGAGCCATGTAGCAGCAGCAATAAGTAAAATATTCTAGGGAGAATTTAGTGGACAGCAGAATTTTACTTTTAATGTTTTGAGCTTTGCTTTGTAAAGTTTATTAATTTTAGACTGAGTTCAAATCAAAACTCAATGTGAAGAATGGAAATTGGAAAAATACAAAGACATTTTAAATAAATAGTTTATTTATTCAAAATAGTTTTCTTACCTTATTCACAGTTTCAAGTTTGAAATGAAAAAAAGGGGTAGTACCTGTTCTTGATCAACTGTCATATAAAGTCAAAAGTGAATCCTTTCAGAACATGCATTAAATACAGCAAATTGCACAACAGCTCGTCTTTGAAAAATCCTGCACTGAAGCTTATGAAGAACACACCTTTTTTCTGGACAATTTAAAAGGAAACACTGTAGATGTACAGGAGGTCTCCTTAACCCACTTGAACCTGTAATGTCATCTGGATAAAAGTTCTCTTGACCAAAGTAACATTTTATCCAAAATAATCATATCTTAGACCCGTGTAGCTTGACATACTTCAAAAATACGTGAAAGTGTAACTGCATCACAGCAGGTCTGTTAATACCGAGGTACTACATACTTCTCAAAGACATAAATAGTGGAAGCTTTAAGTTTGATTCTGATGTTAGCACTTCAAGTGAAGAAGCCACAGAACTCAACCGTAATTTGTCTGTCACTTAAAATAACTCTGTGTTTCCACTGATATACCTGTTTTAAATGGATATTTCCCTATTATTTAATGAAACAAAGCACCGAATGAACAAACCGGCTCCGTGTTGAAGGCACTGACAGCGTGTCTGGGACACGGCTCTGTGCAGTCACTGAACGGCATTGCTGCTCGCTGCACTGCCGGCGGCAAGCTGGCCCAGCAGGTGGACGATAACGTTGATTCTTTCCAGAAGAGTCGCGGTTTTATTTGCAGTTGCTCTCAAAAGCTGGGAGTAAATGTGCTTGTTGGTTTTGAGAATTGTGTCATCTTCGATGTTATTGCTAGGGTTAAAAAAGAAAAAGAGACAGGTAAGGGACCAGCAATGCCTACCGACAATTCAGAGGTCCAGAAAACCGGACAGTGACAGCCCAACAGTCACTCTTCACAGAGCAGCAGGCATTCCTCTCCTGCCGGGTTCAGACCTGCCTTCTTTTACATATTGCTCATGGGCCTGTTTCTACACATTTATTTCAATACATCAATGAAATCCAGTACTCATTCCTTTTATAAATATTTGAATGCCTATTATGTACTAGGAATTGCTCTTGACAGAGAACAAAACAGGCAAAAAGAAGCCCCTGCCTTATGGAATTTGCATCCTATTGAGGTAGGAGTTTGGGGGAGGGGAGGGGAGGCACTGGGGGAAACCATAGTAAACAAGAGAGTGACAGACGGACGGCCATGAAGAAAATGCAGTGGAGCCGGGTGAGGGCACAGAAGGAGCTATGCAGTATTTCCTCTGTTCCTCAAGCTCGGCCTAAGCGCCTTCCTGTGTCATAAACACACATCTAAAGCCACTGTTGTACTGCCGTCTCTAGAGCTAGAACTACCTAGGATTTAAACATGGATTCCTGAATTACAAGAACTGCTGCATCTCAGTTTACTCTGAAAATGTCAGTGCAATTCTGTGTGAAGACTGCCCCTCAGCTGAAGAGTACTAGACAGTACTCTACCTGAAAACTATTTCAGTTTACAGTTTGTCCTGAAAACATTTACCCCTTATGATGGATCGGTGAATTCTATTTTTGTTACTACTGGAAAAGACTAGTAATTACGTGGCAGTTCATATCTAGCATCTTTTTTTTTTTTTTTAAATGAGTCCAGGTGGAGACCCCTGGCTCACATAACCAGATACCAGGTAACAATTCCACAACTCTTTTCAGTGTCCATGAACACATCTGAGCCTTACAATAATCCCATCCCCTCAGATAGGCAAGGACTAGCATTTTGAATTTACAGATGTAAAACCTAAGGCCCAGAAGGGTTAACAGTTTGGACTAAGGTCAAAATGTCATGTTTTCCAATTTCAAATGCTATGCTCTTTCACCTCTTCAGGGTACAAATTTTCTCCCTTCACCCAAGGGCTTGCCAGTCAGGCCTGCCACAGAGCAGCCAGCATGCAGAGCTCCCTTCCCCAGGAGTTCCCCTTTCTATTATTCCTGGCTCCATTCCTCCTCCACAGGATCCCCATCGCTGCCTTTAGACATTTCTCCCCTCCAATTCCCACTTATTTTATCAGGCAAATCTCCTCCTGCCTTCCCCCAACAACCACAGTACAGCAAGTGACTGTTCCAAATGCATTCCCTATCTGTAATCTGGGCCTAAGATTGGCTAGATTTTAGTTTTGTGGGGAGTTAACAGTCACAAAACCTTTGATAATCTTATAGAAAATTTAAATTACTCTGACAGTAATCAAGGCATTAGCACTTAACAATTAGAAAAGGCATTTGAAAGATGACTTATTCTTTGTGGACAATGACATCACACTGTCATTTTATTAATAGTTGGGTGCCTAAAGATAATTGATGGCTGCAGGGATCATAAACTTAAAATCTTTTGATTTGTCCTAACCATAACTCTGAATCTTAAATCTTCATCTTCCAATTTCTACAAATCACGCCTTCCTTAATGCATTCTTATCAGCAGTTTCACTGACCTATGACCCCTATTCAGAGGGCTCCATCATCTCACAGGCTTTTTCTAAAGGGAACTAACTTACATTCTTTCATCTCCCTTTTTACTAATCTTAACAAAATATTAAATGTACACATCTAATGGGAACAACCCATGAATCCAAAGGATCTGTTCTTAGCACTGCAGCAGAGAGCTCCCTGAATCTTCAGAGATTACTTCTACTTTTTATGGTATTTCATTATATTAAACCGCAAAGCCACCAAAATGTTAAGAGGCCTGGATCTGTGAAAGCAATGAATATTAAAATACAGTAGAAGAGTAAATTCTAAATTCAAAAAGAGAAAAGAGAAAACCTTTGGCCTAACAAACTGCTACTGCTAGAATTTCTAGCAGGTCAATGCCAATGCAGTTGTCATATGATGATGAAATGCCTGCATCACCTGAAAATGAAAACAAAAATTTTTTTTAAACAAGTAAAATGCATCTTTCACTCTAATTCTATAGGAATCTAATAAACTTAAGATTTTAATTATTAAGCCTTGTTTATTTTTTTGCCAGAGGGCATGAAGTGGAAAAAGCAGTAGTCAAAAAATAAAACAAAAATTTGTTTAACATGGCCTCTCAGTATCTGTGGAGGATTGGTTCCAGGACCCTCCAGGAAACTAAAATTTGAGGAGGCTGGAGTCCCTGATATAAAATGGTGCAGCATTTGCATTTAGGCTGTGTACATCTTCCTATATACTTTAAATCAACTCTAGATGACTTATAATACCTAATACAATGTCAATGCCATATAAATAGTTGTTATACTATATTGCTTTTTAAATTTGTATTATTTTTTATTTATTTAATATTTTCAGTCTGTGGTTGGTTGAATCTGTGGATGCAGAATCCTTGGATACAGAGGGCTGATTGCATTTTCTTTCTTTTAGGTCTCATTCTGATTTCTCTCTATATTGCAAAAGAGAATGTTCATGTATTCACTGTGAAACAACTAAGCCTGTGGCAGAGGGTATTTTCCTCTTAACAATAAAATTATAGATGTTTTCATTTGCACATCAGTGAAAAATGAAATAGTCACTGACTTAGTAATTAATATTTTTGTTTTGAAACTTGTCAAAGTGTTTATTTTATTAACACATTATCACATTTAAGTTTAATAAACCTTAAAATCAATATAAATTAGCTAAATAAGATTGTATGTGTCATGCATGAAAACTTTAGATTACAATAGTTTTCAGCAGAATATTAATAACCTAAATAAACAGAAGCTTAGAAAACCTTCCATTAAAATAAAAATTACTTAGGTCATACATATGACTGTTACAGTTATAAAAGATAAAACTGAAACTATTACCTATTACCAATTACTCAAATGATTGACTTGTGAAAAATCAATGAATCACTTTTTCTCATGTATCATATATTTATATTACCATCTTGTGGAAACCAATACAAATTTAAAAACTTTACCCACTGCTGTTAGAAAAAGGCAGGAATTCTTTCCAAGCCTTGTTACCATATGCAGTATCTGCTCCGCCTTAGGGCTCTTCAAAAAGATGGATGTCTCTGCTAAATTACAGTGAGTGTATCAACACCCGCTGCTGTGTACCACAACCAGGATATGGTGCAGACACTGTGGATTAACAACCAAATAAGGCCAGGCGCGGTGGCTCACACTTGTAATCCCGGCACTTTGGGAGGCTGAGGCAGGTGGATCATGAGGTCAGAAGATCGAGACCATCCTGGCTAACACGGTGAAACCCCGTCTCTACTAAAAATACAAAAAATTAGCCGGGTGTGGTGGCGGATGCCTGTAGTCCCAGCTACTCGGGAGGCTGAGGCAGGAGAATGGCGTGAACCTGGGAGGCGGAGCTTGCAGTGAGCCGAGATTGCGCCACTGCACTCCAGCGTGGGCGACAGAGCGAGACTCTGTCTCAAAAAAAAAAATAAATAAAAATAAAAACACACACAACCAAATAAAAGCTCTCCTTAGACTATAGAGAATTATTCAAAAGCCATTTTTTTTCTTTTTTTTAAAGAGTTGGGTTTTGCTCTGTCTCCCAGGCTGGAGTGCAGTGGTGCCATCAGAGCTTGCTGTGGCCTTGAACTCCTGGGTTCATGTAATTCTCCTGCCTCAGTCTCCCAAATAGCTGGGATCACAGGTGTAAGCCATGGCACTTAGTTCAAAGGCAATTATTGAAAGAAGTTTCTATTCATGGTGCAGAACCGGAAAAAGTCTCTGGCTCAAGCAGGGCAAACTACAAGGTCATGGCTCTTCTTAAATCCATGAGAGAGGTGGGGCAGCCAACTAGCCTGCAATCTAAGGAGAGACAGGCTGATACAGGGAGAGAAAGGACAGTCCTTCCTTACCTGGGGCAGATGCAGCCAGATGCCAGTAAGCATTTAGCTAAAATAGTGAATGGGTTGGTGGGGGCCCAGTGAGGCTGGTGAGAAAGTATAGGGCCTCTGTGGAGTCAGGGGGTTCACATCTTCTTACTGGCTTTTCTCCAAGGACCTCACCAAATGCCCACATAAAAGACCAGTGAGAATCCTGACAGACTGACCCTCCTGCTGTAGACCTATGACAGGGTAACAGCAGCTGCTATGGGAGGGACCAGCAACCCCACCTGGACCCTTCTCCTCTATGAAACAAAAGACTCAATGGGGGTGGGGGAAGACAATGAACCCTGCCAACCTTAGGGCGTTGGTTAAAGTCAATGAAGAGAGGGGAAGGGAACAGAAAAAAACACTCTGAAGGGTTAGGTGGGGGTGCAGGAGCAGTGGGAAGGCCACAGTCCTGAGACTCAGGGACACGAGTGTCTGCCTGGACTGAGGCTTAAACAACTATGGAGTCCTTGCTAACTCCCTGCTCCCTCCCAAACAGGCGAAAAGGCACCGAAGGACCAGTGACAGTGGAATATGGCTGGAAGAACTGTGAGAGTATAAAGACAGACCCTCTCTAAGGTGCAAAACAAAAGAAAGACCTAGAGCTGAAGGTAGAGAAGACACTAAGAATCACCTTCTGCAGATCTGTTCCACCCTACACACGAGGACTGCTAGGAAAACTTGAAGCCTGTGGTACATGGAAGGTAACCATCGCAATAAAAAAATCTCAACCACAGCTCAACTCCAGGCTAGAAAAATGAATTCCACTTCCCACACTAAAGCCGTAGCAGGGGGAAAGTACAAAAAATTCCAGGCAAAAAAAAAATATTTCTCTTGGTCTCTACTATCATACATAAGGTGTCCAGTTTTCAACAAACAAGAGATATACGGAAGGCAAGGAAAAAACAACATACTTCCAAGAGACAAAGAATCAACAGAACCAGCTAATTATGACACAGATGTTGGAACTATCTCATAGGGAATTTAAAAGGACTATAATTAGTATGTTCAAGACACTAATGGACAAGATGGATGCCACGCAAGGTCAGATTGGTGATTTCAGCAGAGAGCTGGAACTGTAAGAATGAACCCAGGGCAATTGCTAGAAATAAGGAACATTGTAACAGAGACAAAGAATGCCTTCAAAAAGTTCAACTGTAGATGACACAAAACCAAGTAAGGAATCCATGAACTTGAAGACAGTTCAACAGAAATTACCCAAACAAAATCACAAAAAGGAAAAAATGGCATCAAAAAAACCAGAACGGAATATCCAAGAGCTGTGGAATAACATCAAACAGTCTAACATAGGCATAACGGGCTACAGAGGAGGAGAGAGAATGGAACAGAAGAAAGAAAAATGCTGAAGCCAGAGGTAAAAGCCATCACGACACACTCAAGCCTATCATAGTTAAACTGCTGGGGGGTGAGGCGCCTACAGGCAAGGAAGATGCATTTCTAACAGATGAACAAAAGTAGGAAACACAGCTGGCTTCTGGTCAGAAAACACACAGGCCAGAGACAATGGAGTGACATCTTTAAAGTACTGAATGAAAAGGACTGTTAACCCAGAATTCTATACTCTGCTCAAAGATCTTCCAAGACTGAAAAAAGAATAAAAACTCTCTCAATTGAAAAGATAGAATTCATTGCTAGCACACCTACAAATGCTAAATGCTAAAAGTTTTTCAGGCAGAAGGAATATGATGCTAGACAGAAACCTACACAAAAAGTAAGAGTACTGAAATGGAATAAATGAAGGTAAATAAAATTTCCTGTTCCCTTTAATTGCTCTTAAAGATAACTGTATAAGGTAAAAACTAGTAGCAGTGTATTCTGTTTATAACATATGTACAAGTAAAACGTATAATAACAGTACAAAAGACGGGAGGAAGGAATTGGGAGTCTACTGTTAGAAGGTCTTTACAGTACATGTAAAGCAGTATCATATTACTTGAAGGTGGCCTCTCATGAAAGATTAACGATGTATACTGCAAAATCCTAGGTCAACTGCCAAAATAATTAAAAAGTGGCACATAATAAATCAATAGTGAAATAAAATGGAATCACAGAAAATAATTAACAGAAGGCAGAGAAAGAATCATATTAAATGTGAATGGTCTAGAGACACCAATTGTAAGACTGGATTTAAAAAGCAAGACCCTTGGGCCAGGTGCAGTGGCTCATACTTGTAATCCCAGCACTTTGGGAGTCTGGGGAAGGTGGACTGCTTGACCCAGGAGTTTTGAGACCAGCCTGGGCAACATGGCAAGACCCCATCTCTACAAAAAATTAAAAAATTAGTTGGGTGTCGTGGGGCACACCCGTGGTCCCAGCTACTCTGAGAGGCTGAGGTGGGGGATTGCTTGAGCCCAGGAAGTTGGGGCTGCAGTGAGCTATGATCATGCCACTGCACTCCAGCCTGAGTGACAGAGTGAGACCTTGTCTCAAAAAAACTAAACATAAATATAAGTAAATAAAAAATAAAAAGCAAGACCCAACTATTGCCACCTATAGGAAACCCAATTTTAATATAAAAGACATACAAAAAAAGACATTAACCAAAAGAACGTTGAGTAGCTATATTATCAAAGAGGGACGGACATCTGTAGTAATAAGGAGGTCAGTTCTCCCAGATATCACAATCCTACGTGTGTGTACCTAACAGAGCTTCAAAAACACATGAAACAAAACTGACAGTGCTGAGAGGAGAAACAGATAAATCCATAAGCGTAGCTGGAGACTTCAACACTCCTCGCTCAGTAAATTGATAGCAATAGACAGAAATTCAGTGAGAATACAGAAGACCTGAACAATACTATGAACACGCTTAACCTAACTGACATTTACACAATGCTTTACCCCAAACAGCAGGACACGCAGATTTTTCAAGTACACATGGAACATGTGCCAAGATAAACCATATTCTAGGCCATAAAACAAATCTACACAAACGTGAAAGAAGAGAACAAACACAGTTATGGTCTCAGCACATAATAGAATTCAACTAGCAAGCAATATCAAAAGATAGCTAACAAGTCCCAATATTCAGAAACTAAACAGCACACTTCAAATAACAAATGGGTCAAAGGAGAAGTCTCAGGATATCAAATATTATTTTGAAACAAATGAAAACGAAAATATACAAAAATATATGAGATGTAGCAAAAGCAGTGCTTTAGAAGAAAATTTTTGGCAGCAAATCTTATATTAAAAAGGAAAAATGTCTCAAATTAGTAATCTAGGCTTCCACCTTAAGAAACTACAAAAAGAGCAAATTAAGTCCAAAACAAGTAGAAGGAAGGAAATGAACGGCAGAAATTGATGACATTTAAAAGAGAGAAACAATGAGGGGAAGAAACAGTCAATCAAGCCAAAAGTTGGTTCTTTGAAAAGATTGGAAAAAAAAAATCGAAAACTTCTAGCTAGAATGACCAAGAAAAACAGAAGGATTACCAATATCAGGACTAAAAGAAGGGCTATCATCACAAACCCCCTTAGACATTAAAAGGATAATAAGGGATACTGTGAATCTATACATTTGACAATTTAGATGATGGACCCTCGTTTATTCAAGAAAAAGACAGCCTGAGTAATACTGTATCCATGAAAAGAAATTGAACTCACCGTTTAAAAACTTCCAACAAAGTAAACTCCAGGTTAAGATGGTTTTACTGGTAAATTCTACTACATGTTTAATGAAGACATAGTACCAATTCTATACAATCTCTTTCAGAAAACAGAAGAGGGAACATGAACCCACAGACTTTATGAGGCCAGCACTGTTCTAATACCCAAACCACACAAACCCATTATAAGAAAAGTGAGCTGTAGACCACTATCCCCTATGCATAGACACAAAAATTATCAACAAAATATCAGCAAACTGGATCCAGTAATACATAAAAAGAATCCTTCATCACAACAAACTGGGATTTATCCCAGGAATGCAAAGCTGGTTTAACATCTGAAGAATCAACGTAATCCACTAAACAAGGCTAAACAAGGGAAACCATGTAGTCATCTCAATAAATGTAATAAAAGCACTGGACACAAATTCAATATCCATTCATGATAGAAACACTCTTAGCAAATTCAGAATAGAAGAAAACATCCTCAACTTGATAAAGGCCTCTACAAAGCCCCACAGCTGATATGAGGCTTAATGGTAAAAGACTGAAAACTTTCTCCCTGAGATCCTGAGGAATTGGGGGCAGGGGCAGGGTTGACTGCAAAGGGGACAGCAGGAGGGAATTCTTGGAGTGACGGAACTGTTTTCTGTCATAACTGTGGTGGCAGGCACACATCTATATGCATTTGTCAAGGTTTGAAGAAGTATACACCACAAAGAGTCCATTTTACTGTATGTAACATAAAAAAATAAACAGACAAAAATGATCTGTACCCTAAGATTATACATCGGTAAAATATACATAAGATAACTGGTAACAATGGATGTATTAGGATAAATGGTTGTCATTTCCTTTTCTCTATTTTCCAAATTTTGTAATATGGCCAGATTGCACTTATATTTAAAAACAAGGAAGGCATATCATTGATATTACTTTCCTGATCTAGTACTTACTACTGAAATTTCAAATTAAATCAATAATGCCAAAATAACAAACTTTGACAAAAGAATGTAAGCGCAACAAGATGACTCAGGGCCATTAGAACATTTCTGCGGAGGTGTGCGCTCTTCTCTCCTGCTTCTCTCCTGCTTCTGTGTTCTGTCCTCTATTCTGCAGTGCACTTGGCCCTGAGCATCAAACTCCAGTCGAGACCCTCCATTAATGACAACATTCAGAAGCATCACTAGAAACGCAGATCTTCATTCCAGGGTTATTCATCTCCCTCAAGGAAAACGTTAACAACAGAGTATTTGCCCTTAGGCAGCAAGATTTCTTTCTTTCTGTAATTTCAATACATAGAAGGCTTTGTGGAGAGGGTTCTTACCTAGTTTAACAAGTCAAGAAGGAACACCACTTAAAATTCTACTATCCACATAGAAGACAAGACAGAATACAACCTATTTTTTTCTTTCTTTCCTTTTTTTTTTTTTTTGAGATGGTGTCTCACTCTGTTGCCTAGGCTGCAGTGCAGTGGTGTGATTTCAGCTCGCTGCAACCTCCACCTCCTGGGTTCAAGCAAGTCTCGTGCCTCAGCCTCCCCTGTAGCTAGGATTAACAGGCGCCCGCCACCATACCGGTTAGTTTTTGTATTTTTGGTAGAGATGGGGTTTCACCATGTTGGCCGGGCTGGTCTCGAACTCCTGAACTCAAGTGATCTGCCTGCCTTGGCCTCCCAAAGTGCTGGGATTGCAGGTGTGAGCCAATGTGCCTGGCCCCTAGTTTTTCTTTATGATGTTAGTAGAGAAAATTTTTATAGGTAGGGTGCTAGGAAAGAAATTCCTACAAATAACCACTTAATTTACCTTGTTTTCTTTTTAGTTGAAGATAGCAGTTTAATGGACTGAAGGAGAAGAAATGACAACCGAGACTCAAATATACTGAGGAGTTTCATCACTTCTTCTCGATTGAGACTAGGAGAAGCATCAGCAGCTGCAGCGGCGTCACCACTCTTAGGCTAAAAACAACAAAAAGTTATTTTACTCGAGCTATCCAACAACTGTAGTTTCATATCGTACCAAGTGATGGAACTGCAGTTTCATTCATCCAATACATTTTTAACCCTAAACAAGACAAACAAACAAAAAGCACACCTATGATCATTTTGATAGACTAAAACACATAATTAAAATGTCTCAGCCCCAATAGGCACTTTTGTAGAAGAAATTAATCCTGACTTTCCAACATTAGACACAACGCAGAAATGTACGGTACCACACAGGATTTGACCAAGCAGGGCTAGAAGAGCAATAGGTGGGCGCAACATGGGGGCTTCAGGAAGCTTTTAGCAACAGCAGAAGGTAAAATGAATGCCGGAATGCCCAGAAAACGAGAAATTCCTTCCTGAGGAGCCTGCTTAGGCCCATTCACCATTCAACTGCTCCCAGGCATTCTAGTGGAAATTAGAAAAGAGGGCACAGGCCTTTTCTTTTAAAACATAAAACAAAACAAATTCCCACCAACAGCAACAAAAAAACTTAAGAGACTTTATAATTTGTTAACTATGGTCTTGTTGAGATATATTCTTAAAAATATTTTAAAATACTTGCAAATTAAAGAAAGGAGATGAATACCAGGCAAATATAACAAATCACTGTTAAAATGTTTTAGTGCATAGCATACATATGTACATGTGTGTATATATACCCACACACATACACACACACGTCCACTATATACATTCACCATGTAGCTTAAGACACACAAAAACCAAAGACAGTCATTTTCTCCATGTACCTGGCCAAATTCTTCTATAAGCTCCTTCTGGATAAGCTGGAATGCGTGCTCAGTTCTCACCATTATATCAAGAGCCCCAGATAGTGTTTTCAACTTTCCAACATTGCTATTCTGACCTAAAGTTTTAAATACAAAACGTTCATTTCTTTAATATAAATCTAGAAACCCATCTAATGTTAATGTATTAATGAAAATTCAGACTTTCAAAATGCTATAAAGGAAGCTAATGAGAATCTTAAATCTTCTAAATCCAACTTCTATTTAATAATATTCCCTTGACAAAAATACTAAGTCTGGACAAAGCAATAAATAATCATTGTTTCCCTGCCCCACCATTTGGTTTTGTCAAGACAGGCCACTTTTTCAGAACAGGAGCCTTAGGAAAAGGGACCAGCAGAAAAGAGTCTGGGGCTCGAGGCCCACCTCACATTTTACCAGTTGTGTGGTCAAGTCACATAAGCACTTAGTATCAGTTGTCCTATCTGTAAAATAGTTTATTACATCTCTGTTCAAAGGCAGGAAGTCAGACCAGATGAACAAGGTTTTGTTTTATTCTAGAGCCTTCTAACTACAATTTTTCTAGAGCTATCAGATACTACAGGACACCTTTGCTCCTGTTCTCCTAGAACTCAATTGTGTGCGGTGTGCAGTAGAGGATTAAATCTTGTACAGAGGTTTAGTCTTTGTCCTTGGCTCCCAGAAGGTAACCACTAAGTCCTTGAAATGTCCTGCCCGGTAAGAACGCCTTTGTTTACCTGGGGGTCCTTGGGTCACAATGGATAGCCTAACAATGGGATTTACTGTGGGGACTTTGGGCCCCAGGGTAACAGCTTGACCTCTGGAGGCACTGGAGACAAAGATCAGCCACGTGGCAGTCAACCATGTCTATCTGACCAAGTTCCAATGAAAACTCTGGACACCAAGGCTTGGGTGAGCTTCCGCAGTTGTACATGTATTGATTGATACACTTGGTGAGCACTGTCATGCATCACTGCCGGGGTGAGTTAGCACTATCTGTAACTCCAGCAGCAGAGGAACTGGGAGCTCCGCGCTTAGAACTCTCCAGGACTCTGCCTCCCGAGCCTCTTCCCTTGGCTGATTTTAATGTACATCCTTTCATTGTTAAGAAATTGTGGCTGTAAGCAGAACAGCTTTCAGTGAGTTCTGTGAGTCCTTTAGCAAATTCTCAAACCTGAGGGTGGTCTTGGAGACCGCCGACAGACTCGTAGTTAGTGTGAGAAGTGACAATGGTCTTGGGGACTCCCCGACTCTGCGGGTGGGGAGAGAATAACTGTTGCCTTCTTCCTTTAGAAGTATAATCCCACACTTTCTAAACAACCTATTCTCTTTAAAATCAATGGATCAATGTGATTTCAGCATAGATTTGGCATCTGGAAGACAAGCTATTGCTTATGTATGAAAGTGTTGTTGGGACAACGACCAGACAATATAGACATTAGGAAGGGAGGTCTGAATCATATGTACTAGAAAAAAAAAACAAAAAAAAAAACACTGGGTAAAATAAGATAGAATAAAAGGTGTCACAAACTAGAGCATTTATTAACTTGGCTTACAAAACCCACAAACCTGGCTAACAAAACCCTCTAAAATATTTACATTATTTTCTAAAGTACTCACAGTAGTAAAACATTTAAAGGAGAGAATTAAACACACTTATCATCTTAGCAAATTTGTTCCAGTATCTTCCAGCACTTTGGGAGGCCGAGGCAGGAGTATCGCTTGAGCTCAAGAGTTTGAGTCCAGCCTGGGCTTATAACATAGTGAGACCCTGTCTCTACAAACAATTTTTCCAAAATTAGCACTTGTGATCTCAGCTACTCGGGGAGGCTGAGGATCACTAGAGCCCAGATGGTCAAGGTTGCAGTGAGCCATGACCATGCCACTGCACTCCAGCCCATGTGACAGGGTAAAACTCTGTCTCAAACAAAACAAAACAAAACAAAAAACAAAACCCCAACAACAAAAAAGATGCTTGATCATTCTAAGGAATTCAAACATGGCAGAATATTCAAAGGTGCAAGTGAAAACTGAAGATCACTCTCCCCAAACCTTCCTCACATAAAGAGCTACTGTTAATTCTGGTGACTGTCCCACACATCTAGCCATGCGTTATATGCCAGCAAAAAATTAGTTTTAGTAAAAACCATTTTTAGAAACTGTTTTAGATAGGTAATACATTCCCAAATTTACAAGGTCCAAATGGGTATGCAGCAAAACCCCTCCTCTTGGCCTTCCAGGTTTCCTCCCCAAAGGGAACAATGTTACCAGTTTCTTATGCATCCTTCAGGGGCTACTGTATTATGTAAACTAAGTCATACAGATTTAAAGTATTAACCTTATTTTACAGCAGACTGAAAAACTAAATGAACTGCTGCACTTCAAATAATTGTTTCTTGTTTCTTTACCACACAGGAGATATTTCTCAAAAGACTCCTCTGCGGGAGAGGAGAATAGGTGAGCAAGAGAGAGAGGGGGAGAACTTAGGAAAAATCATTAAGTGGTTGAAGTATCTGCTTACTCCATGCCATGGAAAATAACATAAGAAAGCATTCTCACTTTCACCCTTCTCTATCTCCCGACTTATCTTGACCTCGGTCAGGCTCTACAGTAGTGTCTGTTCTGGAACCACAATCCAAGGGTCAGTTCTATGTTTAAGGGGTTCAATAAGGTCCACTACTCCTTTACTGTTGCCTCTCCATTCCCAAATTTTTCATGCCGATTTAAATCTTTTTTTTTGTTTGTTTTTGTTTTTTGAGACACAGTCTTGCTCTATCACCCAGGCTGGTGTGCAGTGGCACGATCTTGGCTCACTGCAACCTTCGCCTCCTGGGTTCAAGTGATTCTCCCACCTCAACCTCCTCAGTAGCTGGGACTACAGGCCTGCACCACCACACATGGCCAATTTTTGTATTTTTAGTAGAGACGGGGTTTCACTATGTTGGCCAGGTTGTTCTAGAACTCCTGACCTCAGGTGATCTGCCTGCCTCAGCCTCCCAAATTGCTGGGATTACAGGCGTGAGCCACTGTGCCTGGCCGATTGAATTCTTTAACTGTCTAAATTTATTTGTCAATTTTTTTTCCAAACTAGGGGTCATGGGCCATATCTCAGTATTTCTAGTCACTGAACATAATCTAATACATTCCTCTAAGTTTTAAAAAGCACTTCAAAACATGTAGTGATTTCTCACCCTCTCTACCCGAAGTCATTAACTATGGGGCAAATTAAAAAGAAAATAGTATTATTTAGATTCACAGGCCTGCCTTACTCTAAGACAATCCAGCACTAAGCCAATGCATACATATCTGAGAAATGAAAATTAAGACTTACTGGTCATCTGAAATTCAGCAAATGCTACTCTCTCTAGCTGTACTCTAAGCAGTTCGCAGGGAGCATCTTTCAGCAGCTGAAACAGCTTTGCGGCCTTGCTGTAATGAAGATCTGCCAGCACCCGGTGTTGTTTCCTAAGGTGTTCATCACCAACCTAGAACCAAACCAAAACAAGCAACAAATCCTTCACGGTAACTACTTCAGGCTTCACTAAGTGCTTCTTAGTTATTTTTCCCCCACTGTGGGTCTTACTAGGTCTTATTAGTTTTAGCTTTTATATTTAGGTCTTTAATCCATTTCCTTTCTTTTTTTTTTTTTGAGACAGGGTCTCGCTCTGTCGCCCAGGCTGGAGATGCAGTGGTGCAATCCTGGCTCACTGCAACCTCCGCCTCCTGAACTCAAGCAATTCCCCTGCCTCAGCCTCCCAAGTTGCTGGGATTACAGGCACCCGCCACTACTGCTTGGCTAATTTTTTAATTTTTTTCTGGGGTTTTGTCATGTTGGCTAGGCTGCTCTCTAACTCCCGACCTCAAATGATCCAACCACCTCGGCTCCCAAAGTGCTGGGATTACAGGCATGAACTGGAGAAGATTTCTTTCCACTTCGACTTAGGAAGTCCTCAACCAAAATTCAGGTTTGCCCAGATGGCCTAATATCCTGAGGGCAAAAGCAAGCTTAAGGGTGCCAAGACAATGCAGCAGAGGAGTAGTCTTTTCAGCAAATGGTGCTGGGACAACTAGATATCTATATGCAAAAGAGTGGGGAGGCCTGGGAGGCGGAGGTTGCAGTAAGCTGAGATCGTGCTACTGCACTCCAGTCTGGGCAACAGAGTGAGACCCTGTCTCAAAAAAAAAGAAAAAGAACTTCTCCAGTTTAAGCTGTATCTCAAAAGATACTTTTCAGAATAAAGGCAACCCAGAAGTAAACTCATGCCAAAGGGACTGTAAGGTAAGTAGTCTTACCTTACGGGGGGGGAAAATCAACAAAACAAACAAAAAAACATCACTGAGAAACTACAGGCCCAAGACTCGCAGCAAAAGCCAAGCAATCTCTCGGAAGGAAGTGCCTTTATCCTCGGCCTCAGATTATTCTCAGAAATACAGGCATTTGGGCACCAGGATTCATGTACAATCCTGCTGGCACTAGATTATTTCTAATAGCATCAAACTGGAATCTGGAATAACCCCAAAATTCACTAATCATAGACTAGATAAACTAAGATATAGTCATTTAATGACTACTGAGCTGAGAAAATGAACAGCTACGTGTGCCAACACAGATGTATCTCAAAAACACGATGTTAAGTGACAGGCAGTAAGCCACAGAACACCAACAGCGGATTCGTTTTCCCATGCTCAACATGGAGCACAATGCGGACATATTGTTTAAGTGGCACAGCACAAAAAAAGGCACAGACGCAGCAGAAAATTTAGGACAGCAGTTCACCTGAGTGGACGTCAAGGAAGACATATATGACCATGTTAAAAAAACAAAAAGCACCCAGAACACTTTTAAACTGATGTGGCACTGTACTTAACTTGGACTGACAATACCTGATTCCTCAGACAGCTGTGGTACATGGAGGCCAGCCTGTGATGGATGGTTGCAGCTCGATACTGACAAAGGGGCTGTCGAGCAGACACTGAATCCACATCGCAGTATTTTAGGGACTTCATCATGGCCTCACTGACTTCTTTCTCAATCTGTTCTTGTTTTGAGGGGGAAGAAAAAAATAAGCTTCTAATCTGACTGTAGGAGTTTTTAAAACGTTTAAATACTGCTTATTAGGGAAAAGACAACAGACGCTAAATATTTGTTAAACAAGGGAATTAGATTGAGAACTTATTTTATACTCCAGCAAATATTATCACCTGCTCCTGAGCTTTTCTAGATAACGGAGCATAATCTTGCTGTAGAGTTGCCATAGTAAAGTAAGTAGTGGACAATTCCCAGTTCACTGAATCCCAAACAGCTGGGTGTATGTCTCGTGTTCCCAATGACCTTAGCGCTTTCAAATAGTAATCAATAGCCTGCAAAGGAGAAAACAGTGTACATTTCTGACTCAGCTTAAACATATACCAATACTGCATTAAAATAAAACACACTTCACAACTACCCAGATGTTAATTTAATTTTGGGATAATTTATAAAGAGACAATATTATGAGGAAATGAAAAAAGTAAGTCAATGAAAATATTTCAATGAAGAAAGTTATTCCGAGTAGACTGAAGACCACTCTGTGTTCCCATCTCAAGGCTACAAGAAGCCAATCCGTGCTGCTGCTTTCTGACTCAGGCTGAGCATGATGATGCACTTGTTTCCTTTGTTTTTTTTTTTCTTTCTAAATGAAAATTACAGTTTATATAACTAGTAAATTAGATTAAAAACTTGCCAAATTTTACGTAAAAAGAAGTATCTCCTCCTACCTTGTTACCCCAATCCTCAAATACATGGCCATTATATTGAAACCAAAAACAAAACCACACTTAATCACCCAGCAATAATTTCTACATTTCTGGTGTTTATTTATTCACTCTTTTCTGTGTATATATAAATTTAAAAAAGAAAATCAAAAAAGGTCACTCATTTAAAAATTTATGCCACCAACATTCTTCACTAATGTCATTTAAATGGCTTCAATTCCTCCATTATATGAGTGCTCATATCTTTGTACCCTCTCCAACAGTGGGTGTGACCATTTGTCATAAAATTTGGCAATCTAATAAATAAAACTCAATTTTGAGGCCAGGAGTTTGAGACCAGCCTGGCCAACATGGCGAAACCTCATCTCCACTAAAAATATTATAATGCCAAAATGAGACAGGCGTGTTGGCAACATGCTTGTAGTCTCAGCTACTCAGGAGGCTGAGGCATGAGAATCACTTGAATCCAGGAGGCAGAGGTTGCAGTGAGCCAAGACTGTGCCACTGCACTTCAGCCTGAGCAACAGAGTGAAACTCTGCCTCAAAAAAGTAAATAAATAAAACTAAACTTTGAAAATTTTCTTTTATATATATTAGCCATTTACTTTTTTTAAAAAATGTGTACATTTTCTGTTCAAGGTTATTTGCTCTTTTTTCTCTTTGGGTGGTTTATTTTCAATGATTCTTATTTTATACAGCAAGAGTATATTAACCTCTCATCTCTATGATTTGCTTTCAATTTCAGTTTCTGTTGAGCATTTTTAGATCTTTATTTTTTATACATTTGTGCATTTTAGAACTTTAATTTTACACATTTGAGTTTATTCAACTTTTACCCAGGATTTCTGCTTACTGTGCCATGCTGGGAAAGTCTTTCTGTAACCTATCATATAAGCCTCTACCTATATTTTCTTCTAATACTTTTACAGTTTCACTTTCTCCATGTCAATCTTTAATCCATTTGACATTCATGCTCGTTGTACAAACCATTTGCAGAATCATCTTTTCCCTTCCAATTCCACATGTCATCTTCAATACTCAATTCTTACTAGTCTTAGGCCAGGTTGCAAGTGTTTTCACGATCTGTCTGGTGTTGTATCATTAGCAGAGTTTAATTATTTTTAGTTTTATAGTATTTTAGTGAAACTGGCAAAATGTAAATAAATGACAGGTGTGAATGGGTGAGGCCCAACATGTACGCGAATGTGTTACCTTATTATAATACAAGCCTTCTTCTGGTGAAAATTCACGTTTCAGTTCATCCCCTGCACCACAGTGGGCCTGCGCACAAATCCGCATGAGCCTTCCCGTGTTACATAATAAAAGGGCGGCATTGGTGGCATCCTCAATTGATTCAAAGTTGTGAATTCCCTTTTCAAAACAAGAAAAGCTTTTTTTCCACAACTGTTGCTCGGCAGCAGACACAGATTTGCTCACTTTACAGAGAAAGAAAGAAAACAACTGTGTAAGCAGACATCAGTGTAAACCTTAGCACTGTCTCTTGATGAGATAAGAGGAGGATGGCAGTGACAGGAGTGTGGTGGCGAGCCAGTCACCTGCAGTCAACCACGGCTCATTGCTCTCACCATGCCTGTTACATGAAGGTAAACGTGTCCATATGAGTTCATATGTTGAAGCCCTAACCCCTAGTTCCTTAGAATGTGACTGTATTTAGGACAGGTCCTTTAAAGACGTAATTAAGATTAAATGAGATTGTAAGGGTGGGATCCTAATCCAGTATGACTGGTGTCCTTTTAAAGAGGGAGGGACTCCAGGGCTATGCACAGAGAGAAGGCCCTGTGTGGACACGGTGACAAGGCGGTTATCTGCAAGCCAAGGTAGAAACATGAGAGGAATCCAATGCTGCTGCCACCTTGATCTTGAACTTCCAGTCTCCAGATCTATGACACAATAAATTTCTCATTATGTCACCTAGTCTATGATATTTCATTACAGCAGCCCCAGCTCACTAACATAGCTTGATGAAGTCTCTCACCATCCTGCTCTGCCTCACCCAGGATGGGAACCATCCCTTTGTCCAGCACATTCATGCTGTATGCACGGCCCACCCATTAGTCACTTAGTAGCTGTCTGGGTTATCAGATGACTGTTACAATATTGCTGTGCTTTTGTACAAGTAACCCTTATTTTGACTTAATGTCCCAAAGCACAAGAGTAACGATGCTGCCATACTGTTGTAAATGCTGTTAATCTCTTACTGTGCCTAATTTGTAAATTAAACTTCATCGCAGGTATGTATGTATAGGAAAAAGCACTGAAAAACTCTCCAGTTTCAGGCATCCACTGGGGATCTTGGAACGCATCCTCCAAGGATAAGTGGGGTCTACTGTACAACACTTAAGTATAACCCTCTTCACTATTAACCAAATGATATTAAAATAAGCAAAGAAAAACATCTGAGCAAAGTGCCATTTTGTGAAGATCCAAAAGCGTGGTCCCCATGGAGTCTGAAGAGATTACAACCTGTGTTGTATCCAATTTCCCTAGCTTCCTGACTACCACTTTCCAGGCTCCCTCACTGACTGCCCCCTCCAGATGCACCGTAAATGCACAGGTTCTCCCACTAGCAATGAACTCTTTGAGGGCAACATTTGTATCCCTAAGTGCCAAGCATTATTCACAGATCAACAGGCACACAGGCTGGGTGCAGTGGCTCATGCCTGTAATCCCAGAACTTTGGGAAGCCAAAGCGTGAGGACTGCCTGAGGCCAGGAGTCCGAGACCAGCCTGGGCAACCCAGCAAGACTTCATCTCTAAAAAAATTTTTAAAAATTACTTGGGAGGCCGAGGTGAGAGGATTGCTTGAGCCCAGGAGTTCGAGGCTGTGGCAAGCTATGATTATGCCACTGCATTCTAGCCTGCGCGACAGAGTAAAACCCTGTCTCAAAAAAAAAAAAAAAAAGAAACAACCAAAACCAAAACCAAAGGCCCACAGATGTTCAGCTTACCTGCTCACCTCAGTTCTACCTCAGCCCCTTTCTGTTCTGTCCCTGTGTCCAGGCTTTACATTCTTATCTATTCTCACGGCTTCAACTATTACCTTTATGTGAATGGTTCTCAGTCTGTCTCACTAGCCCTACAGCTCTTAGCACACTTCAAATTGACTACAAATTATACCTTTCACATACATGTTCCATAGTGAACTCAAATTCAACATGGGCCCAAATGGTTTACCATCTCACATCTTACTTACACCATCCCACATCTTACTACGCCATCCCACATCTTACTTACCCACTATCCCACATCTTCCTCACACAGGCCTCTTGCTCCCTCTAAACGTACACTTGCACCCTTTGAGATCCCTGGCTTCTTCCTCACACCGCCTCCTTGGTCTGGAGTGCCCTCCTTTCCTCACATTTGCCGGCTGATGCTCTACACATCCTGCATCACCCTGCTCAACAACACTTTCCCAAAAGCCTTCTAACTTATAACCTCCATAAATGTCTTATTTCCCCAGTCTCCCATTATACTTCGTCGGTACTCATCCACAGCATTTTGAGGCTTTGTGTTCCTATCTAGCTTCCCAACATGAAGAGAGAACCATATTTTAGCCAGTTACATATCCAACATAGAGCCTGGCACATGGCTGGATGTCCCATTTGCTTCTGAATTGATCAGATGGAGTGAGTACAAAAGTAAGAATGAAGAACATTGAAATAATTCATTCCAAGGGAAAATCATGTGTTCCTAATTCTATTTCTTAAGAATAATAAGAGGTTCTCTAATAGAGCACCTCTTTATGATATAAAATCAAGTGCCACAGTTCTTTGCTTGACTCATACAAAATTAGCATAATTTTCTGAGAGAACAAGCAATAGAGAGGAATCTAAAGAGATACTCACCTAGTCTCTCACTCTGTAATGCAGCAGCCTGATTCATGTAAAACACACCAATTTCATTTCTAATGTTACCCATTCTCTTTAATACTTGTACATAGTGTTCTGGATTTTGGCTTTTCAAGTCACTAAACTGCAAGATTTCATTAGCAGCCTCATAACATTTACAACTAACAGAGAGTTGACTTTCTAAGTCTGTAGACAAATCAGTTGCCCATGCAAATCCTGAAAAGAAAAAAGGGATACATCAATGCGAATCATGTGATTCCTTCTTCCTCAGTATCCAAATGAACCTGAGATTCTAAATTCTAAGTAATAAAAAATGCAATATAGTGTAAGTATACCAAGATTCAATCAATACAACAATATTTAAGTTTCATAATAAAGATCTATTTATTTATAAAATTATATTTCTTGGGATATTAATGTTGGATAAAAATATTTTCCTGCCTATGAATATCAAACAATTTCTGTGACCCAGGTTTTCCCAGGTACACTTGTTTATTAGAATGGACCTAAAGTTGTCCACTAATACAAAGTAAAGTTGCTATTTTTAACTAATGGAAATAGTTCTTGAAATAATGTCCCAATATTAACTTTAAGTCACTGAAGAGGCTGCTACAGAAGCCCTCGAAGATTAAAAATGCCATCTAGTGGGGACTAGAGTAAAAAGAATATTTAACTGAAATTGCTATGATGGGAGTAGTAAAAATACACCAAGGACTTTCCTACTACATTAAAACATGATTATTTGAGAAAGACGGAGAGAGGGGAAGAAAGGGCAAAACTATTACAAAATAACACATTTTTCCCTCTCCCCCAGTATACTCCTCTAGCTATGAATTGTCTAAAACTCTGGGAGGCAAACATCAAGTAATATTCAGTATAACAATTTAAGAGCATAATAAAACAACCCCATGAGACATTACAGAAGCACCTTCAGAAGACTCATCTTTTACTTCATTCACTGTGTTAATGGCAGCGTGGTTACACACTGTGCTGAGGTAAGAGGGAGGGATATCGCTGCTGCGGATCAGATTATTCTACTTCCCAGTTTTAAAGCCTGACAATTCCAAACAGAGTGACATATTAAGCAAGACAGGTGGCTATGAACTAACTTTAAAAACAATGATCACTTTATTTCAGCCCCAAGGAATCATTCAGAAGGTTAATTAACCTCCTTCACCAACTGTTATACCTTTCAAAAGGAAACCTATGGCTTTGTTAGCTGACTACAAGTGTTACCTAGAAGAACCTCATGAAAAGAAGAGTGTAAAAAGCTGACACAAGGCTGGGTGCAGTGGCTCGTGCCTGTAATCCCAGCACTTTGGGAGGCCAAGGTGGGAGGATCGCTTGAGTTGAGGAGTTTGAGACCAGTCTGGGGCAACGTGGTGAAACCCTGTCTCTAACAAAAATACAAAAATTAGCTAGGTGTGGTGGCGCATGTACTAGTCCCAGCTACTTGGGAGACTGAGATGGGAGGATCACTTGAACCCAGGAGGTGGAGGTTGCAGTGAGCCAAGACTGCCCCACTGCACTCCAGCCTGTGTGGCAGAGCGAGACTGTGTCTCAAAAAAATAAATAAATAAAATAAAATAAAAAGTTGACACAACTGTCTTCATATCTTACTTTATATTTAGTTCTAGTTATATAAACAGTAATTATAAAATACTTAAAAACCATTTTATACAAATACACAAGATCATGCTTAATCTTAAAATTAGGAAATGAATAAAACAGCAGGCCAGGCGTGGTGGCTCACACCTGTAATCCCAGCACCTTGGGAGGCCAAGGTGGGCTAGCCGGGCATGGTGGCGCATGCCTGTAATTCCAGCTACTTGGGAGGCTGAGGCAGGAGAATTGCTTGAACCCGGGAGGCGGAGGTTTCAGTGAGCCAAGATTGCACCATTGCACTCCAGCTTGGGCAACAAGAGCGAAACTCCGTCTCAAAAAATAAATAAATAAATACAGAGCAAATATCAAAACTCTAATATTTCTACCCCTTTTCTGAATACTCAAATAAGCATGAGCTAGACTGCACAGTCCCACTGTGAACCACGTGGTCCAAGCCTGTGGCACACCTTGGCAACTGGACTCTCTGTGAAGGCTATGCAGGATCTCCTGGTCTTCTTTTGTTTGGTAATGAAACTCTTCAAGGTGTGCTGCTCTATTATTTGCATTCTGGGCCAGCATTAGTTGGATATCACCACAAAGTGTCAAATATTGAGAGAGAAACAACAGCACTTCGGAAAGCATATTGGTGCAGAGGCAGCAATAAGTATCTGTTTAGAAAGGGAGGGAAGAAGAAAAAACACAAATGCAGAAAAAAATTAATGATCATAGGAAATATGAAGAAACTGTGTTACCAGCTGAACGCTTTGTAGCACTGTATCTATTCTGTTTATTTTAGGTCCAACAATACATATTACGGCTTCATGTAGTTCAAAGCAAAGAGATGTTAAACCACTGAGCAGAAACTAAAATAGAAGGTAACACACACAGGATTGGAAACAGTCATTTTAAAATAAAGATTTACTAGAAAAATAGGAGTAAACTTCCACTGTGATTCAGATGCCTTCTCTGTTCTCTCTTCCCAGTGCCTATTAAACATATTCATTTATAGTGGCTTACCATGGCTTTGCAAAGCTAATTTAATGTATCGTAATGCTCTTCCGTATTTCTGAAGACTCATGGCAGCATCGGACAAAACATAATAGGCCTTTGATGACTTGAGAATCAGCTGAAGTTTCATTTTATGTTGCCAAGAGCCAGGGATCATTCCAGATTGACTGGAATAATTGCCCTTCTGAAGGGAGCCCACTGTGACATGGAGAGAAAAAAAAAGACAGCACATTTCATTTGACTGTAAGTCTCATGCACAAAAAATATTTTCTGTTTCTTGATGGAAACACTCTAGACTTAGGTGACAAGACTGGTAAATACTATGCTTTACTGCTTAAATACACTGGAGTGAAATGGCCGTGTTAAAAGACTCTCACTTGGGAGTTCTAAGGCCTTCTGCTTCCCTGACATCGGCAACTCTGTCATTCTCTTCCAGTGTCACTGACATAGCTAACCTCATGAGTGACACCTGTCTCCTTTTTCCAGTCTATGTGTCAACCTGTCAAAGTTTACCTTCCTAAAGCACAGCTTAGATCAGCGTGAAAGCCTGTCCTCAAACATGAAAACGGCTTCTCCCCACTTAGCTAGTTGCATGTTTCTCAGTCTCACTTCCTACTTGTCCATCCTACTACCCATCAGCCAATGTTAAGTTACTGCTTGTCACCTATAAACATGCCTGTTTTTCCTATCTCCCATCTTAGTTTACTGTTTCCTCTACAAGGAATACTCTTTATTTAAAGTCCAGCCCATCGCTACCTTCTTTACTCAACAAATGATCATTTTTCTGCCAAGTACTGTGCCAGGCACTGGAAACTGTGACATGAAGTTATATGGCCTCTATCCTTGATAACATAAACCACAACAAAATATGTTAAGTGTAATTAACAGACAAAGAACAAAATACTGTGGAAAATTTTGCTCTGCAAATAACAAAAACACCCACCCCTTCCCCCAGCCTGAAGGTTTCTCATTTTTTAATCAGCTAGAACACAAGTCTTTCAAGGCAATGAAAGGTACTTAGTCTTCATTATGGTTTAATGTGTGTATGGATTTTTTTCCTCTGCTGATATAAGCATCATCTGTGAGTAAGAGGCATTGTGAGAAACTAAAATTAAGATGAAGTTCTTGTTCACAACCGTGTGTGTGCATGTGTGTGTAAAACCATTTAATGCTGGAACTCTGACATAAGGCAGGCTCACAGGACAAAGTGGTAAGAGAATCAAGTAATTCTGATGGAGAACAGAGGGAAACATGGAGATTCTGAGCTTGAGCAGGATTTTCAACAGGGGAGATGGAGAAGGAGACAGAAAAGGCATTTCAGAAAAAAAGAATGGCAAAAGTCCTGGTGTGATCTCCTTACTGCCTGTAGGCCGAAGCCTGGCATACCAGCAGCACTATATAAATGCTGGGGAAATAAATCTATTCCTCTCCTACCTCCACCATGTTTGTTCAGGAAAAGAAGAAGGGTCCAGAAAGCGCTTCCACTATGATTCAGATGTACTTCAAACATACAGGCTTTCTACACTTTTTTTTTTTTTAAACAATTGAAACTGATTTAAAAGGGGGAAAGAAATAAGGTTGGAAAAAGAAATACAACTTAGGTTAAAATAAGAAATTCACAACTTCTGCTTCGAAGTCCATATATTCTTCATGATGTTATATTCCTGAAGAACTAGATAATTTAAAAGTGACATTTGTAGCTTATTCAAGTACTGTGCAGTAACAACAGCCTACACTTCTATAGTGCTTATTATGTACACTGTTCTGAGCACTTTACATATATTAATCATTTAATCATTTAACAACCCTTTAAAGAAACCATTATTATCGTCTCCATTTTGAAAGAGATAAAAAGTGACTCAAAGAAGTGGAGCAACTTGCCCTCGCAAAGCCAAGATATGAAGTTAGGCAGTCTGGCTAAGTCTGTGGCTCCTACACGATCCAGCGAGAACTCCACCAGGCTGAAGCATTAGTTCCCCACTGTGGGTAACAGGAAGATGCAGGCTCCTTATGCTCTTATTAGAAATGTCCATGAAACATCAAAATTATCCTTTTTATATTTCAAATGAAAGAATACTACCCCTAATTCCAGTTCACAGGATATCTTTTTCTCAATGCCTTTCAATTAATGCCTTAATTGACATAAGTCTGCTGTTGATAAAGAACCAGTGTATTATTCTATTGAAGGCCTTATTTGCACATCAATTCAACTTACTTTTGTCCAAAAACAAGGCCATCTGCTTCTCTAGCCCCTCGGGACCCCCTCTTGAGGATTCATCTTCATATTTTAACGGGATTGGAGTGCTGGGGTCAGCTGCTGGAAGGTCGCTTTCTTTTTTGATGCTGCTATCGACAGATTTTAAACCCTGCAAAAAAAGGAAAAGCATTCACTATCTATCTAACTTCAGGTCAACTGAAAACTAAATATAAGACAGTATCTGGACTACTGAATACGTTTAGGAAAATTTCCATCTCACAAACAGACTTTCAAAAACTATGTTTGATCTGAAAGATTTGGGAAAAACAAATCTGATTTTCACTTTATGCTTAAGGAAAAAAAAATCGCAGCAGAACACAATTCAGAATAACATTTAGATACCAACAAACAAGTGTAATTTGCATAATCAAGTACAAACTTTACGAAAAAAGTGAAGACTAAACTTAAACTTACCTCTAGAACATAGCTAAGCACAAGTCTACAGCGCTCTTCTGTGTCATGGCAAACTGGAAATGCACAACTGGGCTTGAGGAACAAACATAAAATTATTAATACACTACCAATGTATTAAGGTCAACATATTGTTTTTGTTGAAGATTAAATTACTGTAAGCATTATCAACAAAAATCTTGCTTAAAAAGATCCTACAACATATATGTTGCTTTAAGTACTTACAATTTTAAATACAATTCTATTATGACAAAAAAGCAAGAACTAGAGTAGTAATGTTTTAGACAAATATAGACATCATCTAATAGGTCAGCTCCACTCATAATTAGCACCGATACTGGACAAAACACAATTAACAATTAGCGTCAATTTAGAAATAACAAGTATCACCAATATTCTCGTTGTTTAATTTATTTGCTTAATTAAGGAGCAAAAGCAGCTAGCAACCTCCAACTATGAAGGATATTATGTGTAGGGGCTTCTGTGAAGCATTTCATTTCGCTGAATCCCGTGGGGTTGGAATTACTGTTCTCATTGCACAGAAGAGAAGCATGCACAGACAGTTTAGCAATTTGTCTGAGGACACGGTGAGTGAGTGGGGAGCTGGGACCCTGGAGCTCATGCTGACTGTCCATACCACAAAGTCATTCAATGAGGATAAGGAAAGGCTAACTAAAGACATGTTTATATGAATACTAAGACTGCATTTTTTGAGTGCTTCAGATACGGAACAGAAAGTGCTATCTGTGAAAAATAGTGACACTAACTCATTACATCTTTAATTATTACCTAATTGCCCCGTAAGTCCATGGCCTAGTGTTACAATGCAGTTTTCCAGATACATGTAACTTTTGCAATCAATGATTATAACCAGAACATTTTTTCACTCCACTGTGGAAGTTCAAGCTGAAAGTGAACTAAAATTTAGATGGACAGTTAATGACTTTTTCCTGCAGTCATTTAGTCAAATATTTACTGAGCACCCATAATGTGTTCTAGACATGGGAGATAGAGGGTCTGTACCTGCAGGGAGCTTACGTTCTAGTGAAGCAAGACAAACATTAAGAACTTCAGGAACAGATAGGCTCCTTGAAGGACAAAAAAGTAGAGCATGCTTTGGCCAGAGTGGTCAGGGAACATCTCCCTGAAGAGGCAACATTTCAGTCAAGACTTAAGCCTTAAAAAAGGCAGCCATGAACAGACCTAGGGTAGGTACATTCCAAGCAGAAGCAACAGCAAATACAAAGACCCTCCAATGAGCATAATCTTGATGCTTTTGAGAGAAAAAAAACCCAGCATGGCCACGGCAAACCAATGGAGCAAGTGAAGGTCAGAAAGATGGTCAATGTTTTAAGGTGACAGACATAGCCCCTCAAAAACTTGCTTAGAGTTTCCATCTGAAAGTTACACTCAGTGCTTAAATTAAGAGATTATCTGTAAATACGACTGTATTTCAGTTCAGGGAACAGCCAGAACTCTTAAGGCTGGCCTGGATCTAATCATAGGGAGACGGTATGTTGAAAGGTATATACTGCCTGGAGATACACTGATGGTAGAGTCAGTGCAATCCACACAGGGAGAAATCTGTCTGGCCCTCTCCAGGGCAGAGACATGTCCAATACAACAGACATGACCACAAGAGTCACGAAAAAAGTACTGTCCTATATAGCACAGGGATAATGTACCAGAGCTCACCATATACAGTTCCAAGAGCCACCCCCTTCTCTACTCTATGTTCACCAAGCAATCTATATATGTCATTTCCCAGCAACCCCAACACCGGATAGAAGTGCCCTAGTAATGAGACATGACTATGACTACACACTGGTCACTGGAAAGGAAAATCCTTCACATAAGAATAGACAGACACCTGGTTTACACACCTGTCCACTATAGGCTTGCATAATGTGGGTCAGTTACCCTCGAACAATTATAAAACCAACTTTAAGAATTCAGAAAACTAATGATTACTAGATGCTAGACCATGAAAGGTTTATTGAAGTAATGGTATCTTTTGAAAGGCTAACTATATTCGATTAACAATTATGTTTCCTTGATAAAAATTTAATATAAATTCTAAAGGCTTACTCTGATTTGATGAATAGATTTGTATTTTTCTGGTACTGATAGTTCTCCAACAGACTTGATTATAGCTACTGCTTTGCTATCATCTGATGGATCAGAGCTGGTGCTATAGGATCCATTTTCATCACTGTCGGGCATCTCTTCCTCCTCTTCACTATAACTTTCATCAGAATTCTCATTTAAAGGAGATTCTGAATTTTCTTCCTTTTTAGGTTCATCCAATTGAAAAAGTTCTGAAAGCATGTAATTGGCGGAAGCAATAATCTTATGAAAAAGAGAGAAATATGTGTAAATTACTGTCATCAAAAAATACATGAATTTTACTACCATACTAACGAATTTTAGGAGGAGGTCTGCACACAGGCTGTTTCCACCATATAGACTGTAACACACACAGAAATGTTCCCAGTTCAAAGCTACTGATACTCTGGGTATGCTCTGCAAAATCTTTATAGGCTGATGCATTTCCTATTTCCCGAAATTACTCCACCCTGAGCCCTCCCTCTTAAAAGGTGTCAACTGAATTTCACTGGAGACAAACAAAAGCTTTTGAGTACAGAGTGTCATAACTAAAATATTAACAAAAATTTAATACCACCCTATGCCAAGTGAGAAACCAGAATTTTTCTTTACAAACTATAAATTAATTCAAGTTTCTCTATAATAGGTAACTAATATTTATCATATAATCTATGGTTCTAGAAAAAAAAAACCATTACATTAAAAAGGGAAAAGTCCATTCTGATATCTCTTAAAATTAGCATTTATATATGACCATTTAACCCATTCTACTATTTATCAGTTCTTAATCACAGACAATAGTCTTTAACACCATTTCTAACATCCAAATAAACCACTCAAGTTCCACTAAACACTGCCACCTCAGTCAGCAATTAGGTATTTCAGTCAGAAACAAAATGTTTTACTATTTTTCTTCAAAAACATTTCTGAGTTTGGTCTCTAGGATAATCTTTATCTCTAAATCAAATGTGGCTACAATTAAAATTACTTTGGCTCTTCAAAGAAAAATTGCGTATCTTACATACCTTTACTGATTTGAACAGGATACAACAAATAGCCTTAACAGTGAAAAATAAAGTTGTCAATCAGACAACCGAGGGTAAGGATGGTGTAAAACTGTTGGGAGCATGACTGAGGGAATATTTTAAGAGATGCTTTTTCCCCTTCTCTTTAAAAGAAATTTTACTGGCCTTTATTTAAGAGATGCTTTAATATCCTGAAGTGTGGAATGTGAACCCTATTTATATTAACAAAGTGGTAACAAGGTCTAATAGCGACAAAACAAAGAACTAAGGGCACTACTGTTAGAATTACATGAATTCTAAATTCATTGAGCAGTGCTGTCTGAGAGAAATGTAACATGAGTCACATACAGAAATTTTAAATTTTCTAGTAGCTACATTTAAAAAGTAGAATCTGTGAAATCAACTTAAATATATTTAATCCAATATATGTAATATTGCATTTCAACATGTAATAGGTACAGACATCCAATCTTCAAAATTCAGTGTGTATTTTACACTTACAGCACATGTCAATTCAGACAAAGCACATTTTAAGTGATCAACAGCCACATGTGCTAATGGCTACCACACTGAATAGGGCAGTTACGGAATATGAATCAGGAGGCTTTACTGTCTAGGTAACAATCTCCTATTAGAATGCTAGGATTGTTTTAGAGAATACATAAATGTTAATCTTACTTGAGGATGCCTACTTTTGTCCAGTAATTTCAGACAATTAAGAAGCAATGTTCTAATAGTTCCATAGTGTTTCTTATTTTGATTCTTCTTCATCATCATGTTGCAAGCAACCCTAAAAAAAGAGTTTATATCAACTTTACTGCCCATTTCATCGTTGTCTGCAAGACTCAAGTCTAGGAGTGCTCTTGTTTCTTTCCAACAAAGAGCTATAAGAAACAACAAAATACTAAACTTTACACTTTACCCACAACCCCCAAAACGTTTATACTATGGTGGCATAAGAAAGCTGAGTAATATTTGGTACAATGTGTACGTGTATTTTTCCCCCTACTATGAAAACCTAAAAGCATTTAAAAGCCTTGGTTTGGAAACTGTGACTGTATGCTTTAAAACTTTATATAATAGGCTACTTCTTCATCTTAAATTCTTAAAGCACTCACTTGTACAAGAGAATGGCTACCGGCATTGTGAATGGATTTTGGTATTTGTCTTCAGTTTCTTCACAAAGAGTAGTGAGGTCATAGAGCTTCACTATATCGCTGCCACTTGCTGAAAAGAAAAACAAAGAAGACTCATTTCACAGCAGTTACCCAAATCAATTATTGTTCACTCAAGAAGTATTAATAGCTTACCTTTAAAGAGCCAATAGGTATGTCCTTCTTTGGTACAATTAGATTTCAAAAATGATAAAATATTCTGTGCAATGTCTTTTATGACTTTAGTAGAAAAATTAGAATTTTCCAAATTGGGAATTTCTTCTGTCTTTATCATTTCATATTTCTGTAAAATACAGACAGATGGAAAGCAGTTTAAGAGAAAACCCAAGGAAACAACACCTTTCTTTTTAAAAAGCAACCAAATGCAGAAGTCCTGCAAACAGAGACCTATGTAGCATGAAAGTGTTTAAACCAGTGGTTTTTAATCTTTTTTCTGCCCCAGCCTCCCAAAGGAATCTCATCCACCCCATCAGCAAGGGCAGTTCACTATTGGAGTAATTTCAATGGAGAATCACTACCAGATTTAGAACCTCAGATTCAGGCATGATCTTATTTCTGTTCTAACATGGAACAAATCATACTGACTACTTTTATTCCACTTGAATGGTTTTCAACTGGGAAGATGGTAAATGAAGGTAGGCTTTACCCAGCAAGATTTTAAAACACATGTATTTCTGGCCTTTTTTTTTGCTAGAAACTACAGTCAGTGACTCAAGGAGAGAGAATCATTTAGGAAATTTTCCAGTAGACACCTCTCTTCCCTTCATCTATGGACTTTATTACTTCACAGGGATGGAGCAGGGGGGAATGGAGGTGGCAATAAGAGTAAAGGCTTCATGGACATTACTACCACTATTTTAAAAGTGCCTTTGCATTTTTCTTGTTTATCTTCTGTGCACACTCTCCTAACCATCTCCTACCACATTTTCTGAAGTACTCTAAAACTGGAAACTTCAAATCAACTGGAATGTAAGACCAAACACAATCGTCTGAGGTTGATTTTCACCCCACTTTGTTCATGTGAAGTCCCCAATGTTGATTATTTCCTTCCTTAAAATGCTCCTTTCCTGTATTTTAATCTGTGCTATTCTTGTTCTCCTTCTCTCTCTCTAAATGCCCTTCTATTTTTACCCCTATGAGGAGAGGCTCCAATGTCTGATTTTAATAGATTCCTCTGGTGATGAAATCTGACAGTATCTAGGCAGATGATGCTTCAATTTATTTCTCTAATGGCTGCAACTTCAAAATGCTCACTAGACATTTTTATACTTTCCTCAAACTGAACATGTGACAAAAACATATTACCTTCCCTGTCTAAACCAATTCAACATCCTTATCTCACTAAATGGCACCACCATTATTCTAGTCCCTAAACCCTGGAATCTCCTTTGACTCCTGTTCCCCTCCGCCTTGCTAACGCTTTATCTGCCTCTCTCTTTTCTCTTGCTCCCCACTCCCACCCCAGCCTCTCACTAAATGTTGCCATTTAGGGAGATGGTCTAACAGTGGTTTTCAATCAAGACTGCAAACCAGAATCATACAGCAGACTTTCAGAAAAGACAGAAGTACACATCCTACTGATACTAGAACACTGGGGGCCCAAGCAAGTGCATTTTTTCAGAGACCACAAGTGATTCTGATGCACAACCAGGTTAAGAATCACTGGGTTGGAATATAACGGTTCAAAGCATGTCCTCAGCCAGAGAGAGGCACAAAGACTGGCACCGCCACTCACTACTAAGTTGACCCTGGGCAACTCACTTGAGCTCCTTGATCCTCAGTCTCTCTTTCCATCAAATAGGAATAACAGCATGTGAGGTAGCTAAGAAGATCAAATAAGGTAAAGCATTTAAAGCATTCAGCAAAGTGCTTGGATAAAATAAGCACTCAATAAATGCTATCTATTCTTACCATTGTTGATTCTTAATAGTTCCTCTCTAGTGGAAAGTACATTACACTATCTGCAAAATGGTACAATGCCTCTGGTTTTCTTGTCTCTAAGTCCTCCTTTTCTGTCCTATATGCTATCTCTAAATTAATATTCTAACACAACAAATTTCCCCTCCTAGATGCAAAGCCTTCTGATTCCAGATTACCAACTGAACCAAGTCCATACTCCTTAGCTCAACATTTAAGATCTCCATCATTTGACCATGACTTTTCCAACCTTACTTGCAGCTATTCTGCTACATAAATCCTGTGTTCCCTAGCTGGATTTATTATCAATCCTTTCATGTATTTACACTAGACTTTTAAAATCCAGCTCTTATTTTTTGAGATACTAGCTATCATTCAGGACTCAGTTAAGATGTCCCTTCTTCCACAAAGTCTTTCCTCCAGACCTGAATGGAAGTGCTCACCCCCTTCTCTGATGATCTAGATTTCTGTGTGCTACACTTCTAATTCTTATCTGTCTCCTACTGTTCTCTCTGCATATTATTTCCCATTAGATTATCTCTTTCTGAATAACAACCAAGCTTATTCTTTGTTTTCCTTCAACAATTATTTATTGTTTAAATTCTCAATTTTTTTATTTTTTTGAGACAGGGTCTTGCTCTGTCACTCATACTGGAGTGCAGTGGCACGATCATAGCTCACTGCAGCCTCAAACTCCTGGGCTCAAGTGATCCTCCTGCTTCAAGCCCCCAAGTAGCTGGGACTACAGACATGTACCACCATGCCCAACTAAGTGTGTGCGTTGTTTTTCTACAATTAGGGTCTCACTACGTTGCCCAGGTTGGTCTTGAACTCTCGGCTTCAAGTGATCCTGCTGCCTCAGTCTCCTGAGTAGCTTGGGATTACAGGAATAAGCCAACACGCCTAGCTTCCCCCAACACTTATAATGGGGATACGTGTCTTCTAAACAGAATATGCTCAATAAGAATTTGCTATATAAGCTATCCACCATATGCAATTTTTACAAGACCTTTCCCTAAAACTTTGCATGTACTGAGTAGATATTTGCATAACGAAGAAACGCCTCCATTGTGTAGACACTTTCAGTTAATTATTAATGAGAGCTTGGCATTAAAATTAGAGTTCTATGGCTACAAATGCAGGTTTTCATATATTTATGAACTTCCTCCAAATTACCTGTAAAATTATACTTCTATAACATCTACAATTCTGTTATCACCAACTTAAATGTACACTCAAATTCAGTTTATTCACAGCTATCTTCCCTGGCAAAAATGCACCTTAGTACTTCAGGGCCGTAAAGACTTTGGTGAGGAACTCTCTGTACCAATTTGCATTTGAGAGATCAGAAAAATCACACTGTATCTTACCTGTACAATTCCATTTACATGAAAACACATCACAAGCTCTGGCACATTGCATATCA
Source organism: Homo sapiens (assembly GCF_000001405.40). Taxonomy (NCBI): domain Eukaryota; kingdom Metazoa; phylum Chordata; class Mammalia; order Primates; family Hominidae; genus Homo; species Homo sapiens. The sequence continues at coordinate 125,730,343 of NC_000010.11, read as the reverse complement.
AGTTGTCCAACCAATAGTCAATTCCAGTTAGCACATTAATTGGTTTGTTGTTATCCCTAAAAATATACATTTCTAGTGTTATTTGGTTTAATTAAGATGTTCCTTAATTAATCATCTGAAAGTTATTTCACCATTTAAGTATCTTAAGCTGTCCTCTCTAGATAGAAAATGCCATCTATGCTTTCTTTTCTGATAAGATATGCACATGCAGCTCAGTGGTTGTGCTATATTTAACATCTTTCCAAAAGCTTGCTTGTATTTCTAACTGACATTGGTAAGTTTTCAGTAAGAATAGAAGACAATATAATAGGAAAGGACGGTGAGCCTACTGCCTGCTCCTCACACACAACTTGAAGAAAGACTGAACACCATACAAGACCATGCTTAAGTTGGAATTCACATTGGCTAATATCAACAAATACACGTGGAGCATTAAGAAAAATGCTCACAAGTAGTTAGTAGGAATCTAACTAATTAAATAAACTCTCTTGAATATTCTCACAAGTTGTAGATTCAGACCTAAGACTAGGCCAGTCCAACAAACCTCTGGCTCTATTCAATGAGGTCTAGAATGAAGACTCAGCTATAGGCCTGCCTTTCAGCATCTGCTGACAGTAGCTCCTTCCTTAATGTGGCCATTTCAACTGGCAGGGGAAGGAGGGAGGGGAAAAAACCTAGAGAAAGAGGAAGATGCCCAAATAGATGGAACACTGATTCTTTTTTGAGACGAGTCTTGCTCTTTCGCCTAGGCTGGAGTGCGGTAGCATGATCTTGGCTCACTGCAACCTCAGTCTGATGGAACACTGATTCTAAAGGAAGAATTTAAATACCATAAGCTTGAGGAGGGGTATGATGTTAGTTCACCTGAGACGTAAGCTGACTGCTGGGTATCTGCCTCCTCCAAATATGGGCATGTTGGAGCCGACCAACATATGGATATCTTCAAATGTCCATAGAATATTCCGAACAAAATCATTTTTAAGACCCTGTGATTTAAAATAGGGAGGATTATAATAAACAGTCAATCTGTAATTTCCCCCCATGATCCATAAAAAGACTAGAAAAAGGAAGAGACAAAGAAGACAAAGTCAGGCCCCAGAGCTAAGATCACAAAGATGCTTAGAAAGCAGTTTCAGGATCAAGTGGAGTTTTTCCCTATCAATTTCGACTTAGGCTAGTTTTGAAATGACAAAGTAGACTGGGGATTTGCTGTCACCTTGGACACCATGGAAAGCATACCTGACTGTGCTCCCCGTCATTGAATAAAGTAATCAGGTTTTGTTCTTTGGGGGCTGAGGCCACATGCCCCACTATGTATGAGGGTTCAAGAGGCTCACTTCCCTGTGAAAAGTGCAAGGATAAGGAGTGATTCTGCTGTCAACATTTCTTAAAATTGACCCACTTTTGAGAGTATCACCTAAATATTCAAAGCACACACTTCAAATCTACCATTGTGAATTATTAGGCCAATACAAATAATAACACGCCTCATTGGGTGGCTTGCTTTGGCTAATGATCATAGCTACTATAAGAAGCGAATCACATTTAGATCTTACTCAAGAGAGATAGATTAAAGATTATTCTAAACTTTCTAAGTTTTTCATTTTTCTCTTTTTTGGTGCATCTGATTACCACTGCTCTTTCAGCCTACTCTATCTATATTGAATTTAAAAATTCCTAAGAAACTGGCCAGGCACGATGGCATGTGCTTGTAGTCCAAGCTATGTGGGAGGTCGACAGGGGAGAACTGCTTGAGCCCAGGAGTTCGAATCCAGCCTGGACAACATAATGAGAGTCTGTCTCTTAAAAAAAAGAAACCCTAAGAAATCTTACTCAGCCACAGTTTGAGATACTCATTATCTTAACAGTCTCCAGTTTAGCATTTCCTGATGAGTGTTTCACAGAACACTAGTTCCTGGGAAACTGAATGAAAATTTTCCAGAGTCAGGTTTGAAAGATGACGTTTACCAGGTACTCACTTTTGTGGAGTAACAATATTTATTGATATTAAAACAATAAATATATAATAAGTAATCCTGCAATAGAAAAATCTACTTTATCTTTGTAAAAACCAATGTTTCCCAAATGTATTTAATCTCAGAACACTTTTTGTTCTTAAGATATTCTCTGGAATACTTTTTTTTTTTTTTTTGAGACAGAGTTGCCCAGGCCAGAGTGCAGTGACATGATCTCAGCTCACTGCAACCTCCGCCTCCTGGGTTCAAGCAATTCTCCTACCTCAGCCTCCCGAGTAGCTGGGATTACAGGCACGTGCCACCATGCCCGGCTAATTTTTTTTTCTTTTTTTAAATAGAGATGGGGTTTCGCCATGTTGGCCAGGCTGGTCTCTAACTCCGGGCCTCAAGTGATCCACCCACCTCGGCCTCCCAAAGTGCTGGGATTACAGGCATAAGCCACTGCGCCCAGCCTGGAATGCATTTTGGAATACACTTGGGCCCTCTTGACACTGGGTAAACTCAGCCTACCACTCAATTTTCCAATCATTAGGAAAGTAGTACTGCCATTAAGAAATACTACTTTAAGCTTTTAATGTCATTGCCTCAACAGAACCCAAGACAGGCATGCGTGTGTTGCTTATTCCACAAACATCTGTCTTACTTGTCATCTGTGTGTGCCAGTAGGCTTGGCACCTGCTTGGGAAGAGTGTGTGACTATAAGCACAGGTGGCTCTCTAGCACTTCTATTGTGCCTTGTCCTCTCCCTCAGGAGTCCTAAGAGAACTTTAAACTCTTTTTTATTTTATTATTTGTTTACACAGACAAGTTATCAACTCATGAACCGATTCTCAAAACAGTTTGCCAGGCAGTTGCTTTAGTCAGAGTATGAGCTCTAGGTTACAACGTTCTCAATAAATGTCTGGCTCTAGGACCATCCCACAGTCACCTATTTAACCTCTATAACTGCTTAACAAAGGCCTCAAGCCAGCAGTTTTAGTTTTTGGAACAAGAATTTGTGCAGAGATAGCTTGCAAATATAAACAAATCTCTAAAGCTGAAATTTAAGCAATATAAGAAAAGTACTCTGTAAGAGACTCTTAAGGCAGGCTAGCTGTGCCTAGGGATACACCACTACTACGATGATCTGACTGTTAGTAGGGCCTTGCTGTGTGTGGAGTACACGGACACAGTGGAGTACTGCTGGAGGAACAGGCCTCTGCAGGCAGAAAGATCTGGGTTTAAGCCCTAGCCTGAGAGTTTCGCCAGCTGTATGACCATGTGAAACATCTTTTGATGAGCGTTAGTTTACTTATTTGTACAATACGCAGCTCCAAGAATGAAAAAAAAAACCTTGTACAAACATACACATGGCATAAGAGCTATTCAGTAAATGCCAGCTTGCTTCCTCAACACGCAAGTCTACAGATTCCCGACTCTCCAAGAGTTTTCACAGTAATTCCTAAACAAGGTAAAGACAGAACAACACTGGGAGATGGGTGACATGGGTAATAGGAGGGTAGTATTTGTATTATGTAGTCTTTTCTCCCTTCTGAATCATAGAACATCCCTACTTCTTGGTTGTTACCACTATGTGACTTGCATATTAATTACTTCCTTTTCCTTACATTTTTCTCACTTTTGAAAGAAATTTAAATTCATTATGGAGTTTTATGGGATGCTTTCTCTATCTTAAACCTACTGAAACTAAAATCGAGTTAAATGTATCTGCTCCCTGTAATTTGTGAAGATTGAAACAATCTGGTTGAATAGTGCTCAATATGTGGGAACACAACAGCAAGAGGGAAGACGTAACTTATCAAGTCACAGATCTTATTATCTATTTATCAATCTATTTTCCTGAAAATAGACATGTCACAATTTACATCTATGGCTTTATTTTATTCTTTGATAGATACAGTAAGTACAAAAATAAACAAGCATTAGGAAGAAACAAGGATGTAAGAGATAAAATGGACAACCTAGTTCATTCTCTTTTCTAAAACTTTTATAACATGAATGTGGACTAAGTTTCAGGAATTTTATCTGGAAAACCTTAAAGGGATATTTTAGGTCTAACAATCTGACTGAAAGTTATGGTAAAAAGGTTAGAACTTAAATTACAAATGGGTCTCTGAGTCTCAATATTTGGTAGGAAATGTCTATCAAATATTGACAGATATTTATAGTTAAAATAGTATTTATAGTTAAAAATGACTAGTATTTATAATTAAAATATACTATATCTCTATATAATACTCATCACTTGAAGGAGATAATCAGTATTAATAAACATATCAGTCAACTATTATATTTCGATTTAATAAAAAAATCTGATCTCCCCACCTATAATAGCTCTTGTAAATTCTATTGCGAAAAACTAAAAAGTATTTCTCCAATTCCATAAATTGACAGAAGTCTTTTTTCCCCCATTCCATAAGCTGACAGAATATTTCTTAGTCCTGTTCATCTTTTTTTTTTTTTAACGAGATGTTAAAAAAGGCTTTGTTTTCCTATGTGAGTTTCTAGAATTAGCATTTAAGTACTAACCTGACTGGAAGCACTGGGATCTTCAGAAACTGAAGAAGGCATTTCGAAGGGAGCAGGCCATGAAGCCCCTTCCGAATCATTTGTCTGATCTGAACTGGACGATTCCTGCTGTTCTGCGGTGGATGAGACAGGCTGAGCGGCTCCATCACCATTGATACTGGCCAAACCAGAAATAAAAAAGGATTGCTGTTACTAAAGTTAACTTCATGCAACAGTCTACCCGTTTATAAAAACTACAATCTGTAATTAAGCATACATCTTGTAAAAAAGAAATATGAAACAAATGTTAACAGTATCACAGGGGCAAAACTTAAATTATAACTTCATTAAGCTTCACACTAAATTTTAGATCAGAATTCCCTTTTTCTCTTTAGAGATAAATAAGTAGCCAAGTACCTGTAATATAAAAACTTGGAAAGAATTGCCTTTTGATACCAGTGCTCTTTGCTCTTTTTCTTCCTCTGCCACTTCTGATCAATGAGTCTTTGATAAAACTCTTTCAACCATGTCCAGTCACCAGTCTGGATAACATGAGATACATATTATTAATACAACACACATAGTCGAAACAATGTTACCTAGTACTAGCTTACAGAAAAGGCTCCTATTATTTTTTGAATAGTTTCATAAACACATACTCATTAAAAACATATCTTTCTGGGTCAATTCATACCACCTTTCTTTTGTTTTTTGTTTCCTAAAGGAAACCCGTCTTCCTCCTCCTAAGCCAGGCTGGGAGAGGTGAGTCTTCTCTATAACATGTTCCTTAGCAGCTGCAGTAGTTCCCACTTTGCACACTATATTGAAATGATCTGTGTATGTGTTTATAACCCCAAACAATGAACTGCTGAGGAGCAAGGCCTGTGATTTGTTCACTGTCACATCCCCGTGCCTAGGCTCATACTCACATGATGAACTAAACGGTGGTCTTTTCAAAGGAAAAAAGCACTTATTTTAAATGTCATTTACCTCACCATAATTTAATTTTCTTTATCAAAGCACTGTAGTAATATTCTTTAAAGACTGACCATGAACTATTTCTTGCCAGCCCAAGAAAAGTACAGATATGGAGGGTAGTTCTTGAGAAACTGCAACAATGTTATTATGTTTTTCAAAAGTATCCATTCTCAACATGTGGGAAAAACAGTCCTTACCAACATACAATTTGAGAATCTAGGCTAAAGAGCATCAATTAATTCTAATAACTACAGCCATGTGTCATTTAACAATGGGGATATATTCTGAGAAGCGCGTCATTAGGTGATTTTGTCCTGGTGTGAACATCGCAGAGTGTTACTTATAGAAACCTGGATGGTACAGCCTACTCCCTACCTAGGTCATACGGTATAGCCTATTGCTCCCAGGCTACAAATCTGTACATGTGACTGAAGTATTTGTGTATCTGAACACTGCAAATACAGTAAAAATACAGTATATTATAATCTTATGGGACCACCGGTATATGCAGTCCATCGCTGACTGAAACGTCATTATGGGAACATGACTGTATTTATTCATAGGAACAGCTTCTAATATTTTTCACATTTTCCAGTAGCTGTGTTTCCTGAGAATCTGTTTAAGGGAGACGTTAAAGGATTCTTAAAAATATTAAACTAGTCCCTTAAATTTCACAGTTTTTTTCACAACTTTCTTCATTGGCTTCATCTTTTTTCTTGTAAAAAAGAATCTGGCTGTTGGAATCAATAAAATAATTTTCTTCACCATTCTCATTCTCTTCTTTTTTCTTCATTCAAGCTTTTCTATCTTCAGTGAAACTTTCAATTTCTCGATTGTTGAAGTACTCAACTACATTTCCACTTTGGCCATTCTCTGAAACAAAATCGTATTTCTAGTGCTCTTAAGCTGTTAATGTTTTGTTGGATTTTTTCACAAAAGCATTACCTGAGACGATCTCATAAAGAGTTCTTGAATATCTAGCTCATCTAGTAAGAGAGTCCTTCCTATGCGGTGTACTGCCATGCTCACGTGCGACTTGCTGTAGGGAATTTTCAGGAGTTTTTTTATGTTCTTAAAAAATTAAGAGAAAAAATAGTTTAGAAAGACTGTTTTAGTGTGATTTGGAATCTTTTAAATTTTAGCTTCATTCATTTTAAAGCATAATAAACCTTATTTCCTTAAGGTTATACAAATAGAACTTTAAACAAAAAGCTACATGCAAACACACAGAGGACGGAGCTTTCAAACCAGAATCACGTACACTTTATGAGTCACATTATGTTAGTGACAGTCAAACATTTATTTTTACATGATAGGATTTCTTAAAGTTAAGGGTGTATACGTCACACTGTTATGCTGACCCAGGCTTTTAGCATATCAGATCAAAGCCACTAAGGATCCAATAGATTTTACTAGAAATATCATTTGTAACTCAACTGGTAACATATACAGAATAATCCCAAACACTATTATCAGTTTCAATTACTATCATTAAAATATAACCATCAATATATTATTACCACTGCCAGTGTTTGGGGATTGATTATTCCTTCCTCTTTAAATACAAATGTGGTAAACAATGATACTTTAACAACAAAAAAGATACTCAATAATCAGGTAAGTTTTATCTTATTTCATCACTAATTTCTCAAGACTTGCACATTTATATTATGCAAAACACAGCATGATATAAAACACCTATCACAAAACACCTCCAAAATTACATTAAGCGACAAATAACACTTACTTCAGAGTCAGAGACAACATCCACATCATTTCCCACTGAATCAATAAAGTCATATGCCATGCCAAAGCTACCAAAGAGAAAAAAGGACACAGGTTATGAGGTCATGCTCATAATCATGCAAGTAGAGCTTAATAACAATACTGTAGCTCATTGCTTCTAGGATACACATTTTCCACATTTTAACAACTCTGAAACCAGGATGTGTATCACCATCACAGTTGGCAAGTTTTTTTTTCTTAGTGGTACTAAAATAATGGTGTGTCTTAAAGTCAATGGCATCTTAGATTTGATAAAACATGGTAATAATCATTAGAAGCATCCAGTAGGAAATATTTAGAATAAAAACAATTATTCTTTATTTTTGTAATCACAAAACTCAAAGTCTCCAAGGGAAAATAGTTCAAAACTTTATTCTTTTTAGGTGGAGAGATAAGAAAAACAGAAACAGAAACATTTATCAGGATTTTACTTTCTGAGATTGTGTTTCTAGTGATATACAATACCTCTTAAAAAAATACATGAAAAAAATGTACCTGACACCAATTCAGCCACAAAAGGAAATTAAAAAAAAATGTTAATTGAGCAGCCAACTGATGCCACGTACCACCTGAAGCACATCTATAGTCTATAAGCCTGAAAGGTACCCGACATCACCATGTTCCAACTACTAAATGGCAGAGTCAGGACACTTACCAAGGACTACCTAACAGCAAAGCATGCTTTGTGATTTACTGTATGCTTGAGCCAAATTATTTAGCTCTTCTCAGCTTCCGTTTTCTCAGGTGCAATATAATTAACAGTGCCTATCTCAAAGAGTTGTTGTGAGAATTAAATGAGATAAGCATATAAATACTTGCCACAGCATTTGTATAGAGTCAATATAATTATTCAAATTTCCTCACAACATTTAATTATGTTGACAAATCACAACTGATTAAGCCATTCTTTTAAAAAATGATATTTGGGTTATTCCCAACTTTTTGCTCCTATAAATGATGCTACAAACAAACAGCATTTTTGCAAATATAACTTTTATTTTCTGAGGCTTTAGGATAATTTCCAAAATACCAGCTCATAAAGTATTAGTGTATTTGTGCCTCTTGCTACAAGTTACATGGAAATATTTTAGATTGAGTTGCTGAGAAGGGGGAAGAAGAAAAGAGAACCCTACACATTAAATGTCCTACAGTATGTACATTAATACATTTTTCTCTATAAGACCTCAGGCTACTCTCTCAACTTTGAACACCATCAGTTCTGGTGTCAAAGTCAAGGTGTAGGTCACCCAACATGCTGGGTTTTTAAATCTGGCTTTTCCAGATCAACCTGCCACCATTTAATGAAAAACTCCACAGGAAAGATGAAGGAATGTTCAAGGTTTTCCTCCTCATGCACCAAGCTGATCCTTTGTATTCACATATCCAAAAGGTATGCAAATTGGCTAAAATGAAAGGGCTGATTGAACTTTGGCAGTCAAAACTCATCTTTGCTGATAACATGACGTAGACTTAAAAGAAGCATATGCAATTGATATTGTATGTATATCTTCATGTTTTAACATCATCTATTATCAGAATAAAAAGCCTTTGAAAATCAAATGTGATCTTTCTCTAAAGAGAAATCTCGACAAGTTAATAGGCATTACAAACTGAATTTAAAAGCAAATAAGAGTTTTAAGTGAGGGTGGAGGGGCAGGTAAAAATGCCACTGATTAATATTTACCTTGAAAATGGCTTGCTTTTCTTGCTGTTGCCAAGAATGGTAGTTCCTGCTGGCCCTAGTTTGGCACTCTCTCGTAACCAGTTGGCAGGTGGGAGTTTCAAGTCTGTTTTCTCTTCAAGGCGTGCAAATGCTGTTCGAGGAGGGGCAGAAGAGTATTTCACCACAGCTCGGCTCTTCACTTCATTGCCTCCAAGAAATAAAGCTGATCCCTAATTAACACATTGGGTGAAACTTTAATGAAAATTACTAAGAACGAAAAATCTCACCTTTATAAAAAGAAAACAAGAACCTGTCACACCAGGCTTCACAAGGAACGTATGCCACATGTTACTAACAGCACTTAATAAATTTGAGCATAAATGGTAACATTTACTTAGTTCTTTTACACCAACTTCAAAGAAAAAAGATGAGTCAAGGAGTATGATGGTTATGGTTATCAGCTAGAAAATGGACCACCCACATCTCTTTTAAAATGTATTCATGTAAAGTGGAGAAGCAGAAACCAAGGAGACTCAATGGTATCATGTTAACTAGATGCAAACTTTAGTAAAGCCTATTTTCAGTATTAAAGATGTATTTTAATTCTTTTTTTTTTTTTTTTTGAGACGCAGTCTTGCTTTGTCGCCCAGGCTAGGGTGCAGTGGAGCAATCATGGCTCACTGCAACCTCGGCTTCTGGGGTTTACGCCATTCTCCTGCCTCAGCCTCCCTAGTAGCTGGAATTACAGGCGTGCACTACCACGTCCGGCTAATTTTTGTATTTTTAGTAGAGACAGGGTTTTGCCATGTTGGCCAGGCTGGTCTCGAACTCCCCGACCTCAGGTGATCCACCCACCTCGGCCTCCCAAAGTGCTAGGATTACAGGCGTGAGCCACCGCGCCCGGCCAAAGATGTATTTTAATTTTAATAACACATCATTCATAAAATAGTCTGGTAGAACATTTGGGCTTTTTGTTTTAATGCAAATATTTAGTAATCGATGCATCGGTTCATGCATGCATGCATGGTTCAAATACTCTTGAGTCTCTAACTTCATAGAAAGGCATTGGGGGTTCGTTCCTCACAGCCTGCACTTGCACACTCCCAAAGCAAGTTCGGCGTCTGGGTTCAATATTCTAACCTTTCACGCAGTACCTCTTCTGCATGGCAAACATTTTACACCCTTTGTGAATTAGTTCGGTCTCATTCTCGGCGAGTCACTACCTGGCACCGTTTCTTCCCTCCTGCTTTGCACGACTGTGCCACGTTTTGGAACGACATATTTACATGTACCCTCCTTGAGAGGAAAGATCGTATCTAATTCACCTGTCGGCTACCAGAACTGCTTTTAATACGAATACCTGCCGACTGGAGCATGGACTTCAACTCCCTGTTTTGGGGGTGTCAGGGAAACATGGAGAAGCCTCCAGAATCTGCCGGGAACCGTGGCATCCCTCCCCGGTGGAGCGGGTCCTCCGCTCCCACATCCCTGGCAGGTCCCCCTCCGCGGAGGACTCACCTGTGCAGAAGATTCCTCGGATTCTCCCTGGGACAGGAGGCTGAGCCCTCCTCGAGCGGCGGCCCCGGCCGGCGGACCCTCGGCTCCGGCCTCCTTGGCATCCCCCATCACTTCGATCCAGGGCAGGCGATACGACGGGGGAGCGGAGGAGCAGCAGCAGCAACGCAGGCCCAAAGCAGGGTAAGCGCCAGAGACGCTCCGCGGACCGCACTTCCGGTCTCTGCCAGGAAGAAGTAGCTGTGACTCGCCATTAAATCTCGCGATCTTTGTCCCGAAGGCCCGGCCCCGCCTCCCGCTGCGGGTGCCACCTTCGCGGCCAGGGCGGGAATTGTAGTGCGCCTGCGCTTGTCCGAACCTCTTCGGGAGACTACTTCTCGCGGTATCTGACTCCTAGGCTCCGCCCTCTGCACGCCGCTCACGGTATCTGACGCTCAGGCTCCGCCCCCTGCATGTCTTTGTTGGCAAACAGTTCTGGGGGTCGTCCGATCCTGCAGGTAGTGTCCGCGTGGGAGGGGAGGTGCAGCCGTCAGCGCTGCCGGCGGCTCCCGTTACGTGAATTAGTGAGAGGTTCAAACTTCTTCCCCAGGCTTCAGTGTCACATCTTTTCACACGGGCACCCCGAGGGCCCGGACTGGAAAGGCGAGCCAGCCATCTCGAGACTGGGCGCTCCTGCCCGCCTTTTAGTGCCCATGTGGCCCCATCCTGGGTGTGGGAGCGGCGGGGCTTCCGGGGAGGGCGCTGGGACGCGCGGACGAGGCCCTCCCCGTTTAGGGAATGGGTGGCTTTCGGAGTCTTCTGGGGGCCCGGCATGCCCGCTGCTTGCGGGGCGTCCCAGGTGGTGCAGGACCCGTGAGACGCTGAACCTGGGGCCTCGTAACGCCTAGGTTTCCATTCGGGCGCTCTGGATGGGTCCGAGACTCGGCATTTCTCACAGGTTCCCAGGAAACGATGCCAGCGCTTTGAGTAGCGAAGAGGTGGAGAAATAGCCCGGGCCGTTTGCAAGCTTTGAAGGTCCAGGCTCTCTTTCACACTCCTCAGTGTCATCTCAAACTGTCAAACGCAGCCACATCCGTTATACAATACATGTTTTGTAGTAAAAGTGTTTTGTTGTGCCGTAAGATACAGAAAGTGTTTTTAAAAATTAACTTGGCTCTTGCAATTTGGCTGTCTCAATTTGTAATTCACGTTTGGCTCTTACAACTCACTGTCCTGTCCGTTTTCAGGAATGCTCCTGATGAGTAAGCATTCAACTCACAAATTGCTTTCAAATGTAACAAAACAATTTTATGAATTAAATTTAACAGGCCGGGCGCGGTGGCTCACGCCTTTAATCCCTGCACTTTGGGAGGCCGAGGTGGGCAGATTGCCTGAGGTCAGGAGATCGAGACCAGCCTGACGAACAGGGTGAAACCCCATCTCTACTAAAAATACAAAAATTAGCCAGATGTGGTGGTGGGCGCCTGTAATCCCAGCTACTAGGGAGGCTGAGGCAGGAGAATCGCTTGAACCTGGGAGGCAGAGGTTGCAGTGAGCAGAGATGGCAACACTGCGCTCCAGCCTGGGCGATAGTGAGACTCTGTCTTAAAAAAATAATAATAGTGAATTAAATTTAACAGTTAATTTGATATAATAGTGTATTTTGTAGACATTTACTTCAACATGTATTGATTTTGATTTTTATCATTTCATTTGAATATTGCAGCCAATAATTCTTTTTTGGTTTTTGCAAGTTATGCATTGTTTTTTATGGTGAAAAGTTGAACATAATATCTAACACTAGGAGGAGGATAGTCAAATTTGGTTTTGGTAGAAAATAAACCCTGTGCAACCATAAACTTGTTTTTCAGGAATATTTAAGAACATTTAAATTGCATATCATATAATGTTAAGTGATAAGTGAAATTTTAAAAAGCCAATATGCAGCCTAGCGCGGTGGCTCACGCCTGTAATCCCAGCACTTTGGGAGGCAGATGCGGGTGGATCACGAGGTCAGGAGATCGAGACCATCCTGGCTAACACGGTGAAACCCCGTCTCTACTAAAAATACAAAAACAAAATTAGCCAGGTTTGGTGGCAGGCACCTGTAGTCCCAGCTACTCAGGAGCCTGAGGCGGGAGAATGGTGTGAACCCAGGAGACGGAGCTGGCAGTGAGCCGAGATTGCACCACTGCACTCCAGCCTGGGCAGCAGAGCGAGACTCCGTATAAAAAAAAAAAAGCCAATGTGCAATATGATCTTAATTTTAAAAACGTCTCCATTTCTGTCTCTGTGTCCACAAAACAGACCTCTGAGCCGTAAAATGAAGTGATTTAAAATTTATTCTTTACATTTATTGATTTGCATATATTGAACTAGCCTTGCATCCCAGGGATGAAGCCCACTTGATCATGGTGGATAAGCTTTTTGATGTGCTGCTGGATTCGGTTTGCCAGTATTTTATTGAGGATTTTTGCATCAATGTTCATCAAGGATATTGGTCTAAAATTCTCTTTTTTGGTTGTGCCTCTGCCCGGCTCTGGTATCAGGATGATGCTGGCCTCATAAAATGAGTTGGGAGGATTCCCTCTTTTTCTATTGATTGGAATAGTTTCAGAAGGAATGGTACCAGTTCTTCCTTGTACCTCTGGTAGAATTCGGCTGTGAATCCATCTGGTCCTGGACTCTTTTTGGTTGGTAAGCTATTGATTATTGCCACAATTTCAGAGCCTGTTATAGGTCTATTCAGAGATTCAACTTCTTCCTAGTTTAGTCTTGGGAGGGTGTATGTGTCGAGGAATTTATCCATTTCTTCTAGATTTTCTAGTTTATTTGCATAGAGGTGTTTGTAGTATTCTCTGATGGTAGTTTGTATTTCTGTGGGATCGGTGGTGATATCCCCTTTATCATTTTTTATTGCATCTATTTGATTCTTCTCTCTTTTCTTCTTTATTAGTCTTGCTAGCAGTCTATCAGTTTTGTTGGTCCTTTCAAAAAACCAGCTCCTGGATTCATTAATTTTTTGAAGGGTTTTTTGTGTCTCTATTTCCTTCTGTTCTGCTCTGATTTTAGTTATTTAAACAGAACCAAAGACAAAAACCACATGATTATCTCAATAGATGCAGAAAAGTCCTTTGACAAAATTCAACAACTCTTCATGCTAAAAACTCTCAATAAATTAGGTATTGATGGGCTGTATCTCAAAATAATAAGAGCTATCTATGACAAACCCACAGCCAATATCATACTGAATGGGCAAAAACTGGAAGCATTCCCTTTGAAAACTGGCACAAGACAGGGATGCCCTCTCTCACCACTCCTATTCAACATAGTGTTGGAAGTTCTGGCCAGGGCAATTAGTCAGGAGAAGGAAATAAAGGGTATTTAATTAGGAAAAGAGGAAGTCAAATTGTCCCTGTTTGCAGATGACATGATTGTATATCTAGAAAACCCCATTGTCTCAGCCCCAAATCTCCTTAAGCTGATAAGCAACTTCAGCAAAGTCTCAGGATACAAAATCAATGTACAAAAATCACAAGCATTCTTGTACACCAATAACAGACAAATAGAGAGCCAAATCATGAGTGAACTCCCATTCACAATTGCTTCAAAGAGAATAAAATACCTAGGAATCCAACTTACAAGGGACGTGAAGGACCTCTTCAAGGAGAACTACAAACCACTGCTCAATGAAATAAAAGAGGATACAAAGAAATGGAAGAACATTCCATGCTCATGGGTAGGAAGAATCAATATCGTGAAAATGGCCATACTGCCCAAGGTAATTTACAGATTCAATGCCATCCCCATCAAGCTACCAATGACTTTCTTCACAGAATTGGAAAAAACTACTTTGAAGTTCATATGGAACCAAAAAAGAGCCCGCATTGCCAAGTCAATCCTAAGCCAAAAGAACAAAGCCGGAGGCATCACACTTCCTGACTTCAAACTATATTACAAGGTTACAGTAACCAAAACAGCATGGTGGTACCAAAATAGAGATATAGATCAATGGAACAGAACAGAGCCCTCAGAAATAACGCCGCATATCTACAGCTATCTGATCTTTGACAAACCTGAGAAAAACAAGCAATGGGTAAAGGATTCCCTATTTAATAAATGGTGCTGGGAAAACTGGCTAGCCATATGTAGAAAGCTGAAACTGGATCCCTGCCTTACACCTTATACAAAAATCAATTCAAGATGGATTAAAGACTTAAAACGTTAGACCTAAAACCATAAAAACCCTAGGAGAAAACCTAGGCATTACCATTCAGGACATAGGCATGGGCAAGGACTTCATGTCTAAAACACCAAAAGCAATGGCAGCAAAAGCCAAAATTGACAAATGGGATCTAATTAAGCTAAAGAGCTTCTGCACAGCAAAAGAAACTACCATCAGAGGGAACAGGCAACCTACAAAATGGGAGAAAATTTTCGCAACCTACTCATCTGACAAAGGACTAATATCCAGAATCTACAATGAACTCAAACAAATTTACAAGAAAAAAACAACCCCATCAAAAAGTGGGCGAAGGACATGAACAGACATTTCTCAAAAGAAGACATTTATGCAGCCAGAAAACACATGAAAAAATGCTCACCATCACTGGCCATCAGAGAAATGCAAATCAAAACCACAATGAGATACCATCTCACACCAGTTAGAATGGCAATCATTAAAAAGTCAGGAAACAACAGGTGTTGGAGAGGATGTGGAGAAATTGGAACACTTTTACACTGTTGGTGGGACAGTAAACTAGTTCAACCATTGTGGAAGTCAGTGTGGCGATTCCTCAGGGATCTAGAATTAGAAATACCATTTGACCCAGCCATCCCATTACTGGGTGTATACCCAAAAGACTATAAATCATGCTGCTATAAAGACACATGCACACGTATGTTTATTGCGGCACTATTCACAATAGCAAAGTCTTGGAACCAACCCAAATGTCCAACAATGATAGAATGGATTAAGAAAATGTGGCACATATACACCATGGAATACTATGCAGCCATAAAAAATGATGAGTTCATATCCTTTGTAGGGACATGGATGAAATTGGAAATCATCATTCTCAGTAAACTGTCGCAAGGACAAAAAAACAAACACCGCATGTTCTCACTCATAGGTGGGAATTAAACAATGAGAACACATGGACACAGGAAGGGGAACATCACACTCTGGGGACTGTTGTGGGGTGGGGGGAGGGGGGAGGGATAGCATTAGGAGATATACCTAATGCTAAATGACGAGTTAATGTGTGCAGCACACCAGCATGGCACATGTATACATATGTAACTAACCTGCGCATTGTGCACATGTACCCTAAAACTTAAAGTATAAGAATAAATTAAAATAAAATAAAATTTATTCTTTAATATTTTCTTTTCCTATTTTTATTTCTGATTATTATAATATGTAATTTTGTTAAGCTTTTACACACATACATAATTCAGCTTGTGATAATCTTTAAATTCTGTTGTTTTATTGTGTAATTCTATCTTTGTAAGAAAGAAATAGCAGTGATTCTTTTCTCAGGATTCAAATATTTTGCATGCTTCTTGAGAAGTGAGTGCCTAGACACGTGTTGATGATGCTTAGTGGGAAAATGTGCCGGAAATAGCTTGTGAAAAGACAAAGTATGAAACAGAACCAGGAAGTCAGCACAGAAAGAGAGGTTGGGAGCACACAGAGGATAATGGGAGCTCTAAGGGTGACCAGTGACCCTTAGGACTGACTGTGGAGGAAAGCCTGAGTCGGGGCTGGGTCTCCAGCAGCCACACACAGGACCAGGATTACAGTACTGTAATTTAGTTCGTAAAGGAGCATGATCCCTGGGGGCTGGAACAATTGGGCACATGTGGGTTACATAAAATTTATATATGCCTCTTGCTCTAAGGGCTTATTAATTTTTTCTTTTTCCCTAGTCAAACACTTTCACATGCTGCTGGAGCTCATAGTGGTCAGGAAAAATTTTAAAAATAAGTGGGGAAAAAAAACCCACTTTTACATGGTGTAGTGTTTTTTAAAAAGTTATTGTCACTGTTTTTAATATAGGAAGTTGAAATATTTTGTGGGAAAACATGGAGAATAAGACATTACTCTTAGAATTTCAAGTTTTCAGACACGAATTGATTTTCATTTTTATATTGTACCAGTGTCTGCCTGTTTCCTCCATCTCTGTCCTCCTGCCCCAGGGACCCACTTGGGATGTACCCCATCATCCATGGCCTGCTCTGCCTTGTCTGTGTAGTTATCCTGGCTCTTGTAACTACCCATGGCTCTCACGTGTTTACTTGCCTCTTCAGTGCCTGATGCTCTAGCTACTAAGAGTGTTTGTTGAATGAATGAGCAGCATGCTTGTCTGCTGCTCCAGCTACTTGTTCCATAGCTCCACGTTTGCTGGTGCTTTCCTCTGCCTAAAATACCTTTTTCTTCCTCACCTGGCTTCTCTCCTGACACCTCTGCCTCCTTACCCCTCAGGGTTCCTTCCTTTGTTCCAGTCGCTTGTATTGCTTTATCCTGCACTTGTCACATTATAGAAAAATTACCTGTTTGTATCTGCCTCCCTCCCCGACTGTGAGCTCCTCAAAGGCTGGTGTCCCGTCTGATCACTGACACCAGGCACAGCACCCGGACAGAACTGTTTCAGCCCTTAGGCAACGGAGGGAAAATGACTGGGGTTGACAGGCTTTTAAAATGCTCATCAAAATGTTTGAGACATAAAAACAATGTTGTTGGCTCCAAAATATTTTTTTAATCTGCAAAATCAAAGCTAAAAATGTTTAATGAAGTAGCTCCAAAATACTGCAATGTCAATGTCATTAATTATTAAAGTTAGTATTGACATACAGTTTGTTTCATTCTAAAACAATTTGTAGATTAGACTTTCTCAGCAAAAATCCTCCCAGCATGCAGTGATTTCTGAGAAATCCCAGTCATTTGTAAATTCATGTAGTTATTTGTATAGTTTCCAAAACTTTTACAGCAAGACATTCATAAGTAAGGCAAATGTGGTTGGGGCTCCTGCCGAAAGTACGAGTGCCCAGGGTACTCACGGTTCTTCTCTAGCCCCACTGGCAGAGCATGACAAACTTGAAAACCTTCTAAACTCAGGGACCATTTGGGGAATATCCTTTTCAGTTTGCCCTGGGCCCTTCCACAACCTAATGTCTTACCCCTAACCAGCCTCATTTGTTTACTTTCTGGACCTTAGAAGGTTCTGAATTTCTGGCTCCTGATCCTGGACTTTTAGAGCTGAAAGAGAGATTTGAGGTTGTCTGAGCCAATCTCTTTCCTCTTTAGATGAGAGCAATGCAGTCCAGAAAGGAGAATAGGATTGACTTGTTGAACATCATACAAAGTTAGGACTAGTACCCAGGTCTCCTACTTACTTAGCTTTCTAAAAAGTCAAATAGTAGACATAGGCCAGTGGAATTTGAAGTTGTCTCATAATCACCTGAGGAACTTGTTTAGCAAACAGATCCTGCAGCCACCTCCAGAATCTAGTATCTCTGGGGTAGTGCTGATTAGTCTACATTTTTAGTGCAATTGTTAAGTTTCTGACAACCTTGCCCTGTAGACTACACCTTTGGACAGTGGTCTCCAAAGACAGTCCCCTGAGGTGCAGGAAGACTAACTTTTTTTTTTAATATGAAAAGTAAGGGCAAAATTAAGCTTTACTAGTATGTAATATACAGATTGACACAGGTGCTCTTCCTTGGGCCATGGTGAGCTAGTCAAATAAGATTGGGCTATGCTGACAAAACAAATGATCCCTAAGTGTCAGTGGCTTACAACTGGGTTAGCCAGAGAAAGAACAGGACGCAAAGTTAAATTTGAATTTCAGATAAACGGTGAAAAAATTTTTAGGATGAGAATGTCCCAAATATTTAGCATAAGTATGTCCCATCTGATGAAGCAGCTTCAATCTGGAGCATTGCCAGTTGCAGTAGCAGAGAGACAAAAAGAGATTGGTGCATTGCAGACTAGCTACAAAGGCTTTTGGTCAGAAGTGGCAAACATCACTGTCATTCACCTTTTTTTGGCCAAATAAATCACATAGCCAAGCCAAGCATACATGTGGCAGGGGAGACTGGATCCTAAGGAGGAATGTTGGTTATCCGTAACCATTATGCAGTCTACCACAGGCATATATGGTGGCTTGGATAGGCTATTGGGTGCCATTCACAAGGCTAAATTTGGTGAAAAAACAAGGCCTTTTGCAGAATCTTTTCAGAGTTTTGTGATGAGGGATGTCTTAGTCTGTTTTGCATCATGATAACAGAATACCTAAGATTGGGTAATTTATTTTTAAAAAAGGTTGATTTAGTTCATGGTTCTGCAGGCTGGGAAGTTCAAGCACATGGCTCTAGCTTCTGGTGAGAGGTTTCAGGCTGCGTCATAATATGGCAGAGAAGATCAATGGGTAAATGGACATGTGTGAAGAAAGGCAAAACCAGGTGGGTGTTCTGACTTCATAATAACCCACTCTTGCAGGAACTAACCAATTCCTGAGAGAACTAATCCAGTCTTGCCAGAGCAAGAACTCACTGCCATGAGAACAGCACCAAGCCACCCAAGAGGACAGAGCCCTCATGACCTGAACTCCTCCCATTAGGCCCCAACCCCCAACACTACCACAATGAGATCAAATTTCAGCATGAGTTTGGTGGGGACGTATATATATCCAGACCACAGCAAGGAGCGACCTTGAAAATCTTGTACCACACAGAGATCACAGATCATCAGTGGTAAAGCATTCAAAAGAATTGTCAAGCTTGAAAATGAGTTAGTTACTATATTTTCTTTTATAAGGAGTGTTCTACATTTTCTCATCTGTGATGACATGAAGCTGTCATTAGGATGATACCCAGGAGAAAGTTTCACAAAAACAAACAGACTCAATCTCTTTCTTCAAAACAAAGGTGATATTTTAACAATGAGTGGGAAAGTATTTGGGTTTTATTTATTTTTTTTTTTTTGAGACAGAGTTTTGCTCTTGTTGCTCAGGCTGGAGTGCAGTGGCGCTATCTCGGCTCACTGCAACCTCTGCCTCCTGGGTTCAAGCAATTCTCCTGCCTCAGCCTCCTGAGTAGCTAGGATTACAGGTGCCTGCCACCATGCCTGGCTAATTTTTTGTATTTTTAGTAGAGACGGGGTTTCACCATGTTGGCCAGGCTGGTCTCGAACTCCTGACCTCAGGTGATCCACCCACCTCGGCCTCCCAAAATGCTGGGATTACAGGCATGAGCCACTGCGCCCGGCCAGTATTTGGTTTTCAAAAGAATCTTATGGAGAGCATTTTTGAAAGTAGATGTTTGGAAATCTTTCCAACATTATGTGATTTTTGTCTCTAAAAATGATGTATATTGCTTATAAAAACTCATATCTGCACACTTATCTTAGAAACTGAAATTCCTAACCTCTTTTAGAAATCTTCCAAATGGAGAGGTTGAGTTTTAAATATATTGAGGAATTCTAAGGAGGACAGTGGCGCAGTTCTGGCTTACTTAAGGCGTGCGAAGGGAAGAGAGCCAGCAGAGCTCGTCCAGAGGCAGCAAGCCTCATATGCTCCTCAGCCATACCATCAGGGGGTTCGAAAAATCTGTCCACACTTAATTGTTTTCTTTGATACTAGTTGTCCTACCCAGAACGCCCAGACTGATCTCTTTATCAGCTGCCAACTGATTTGTTTACCCCAAAAATATGCCTGCAAGATTCACGATTCCCAGGCTGCCAGCAGGTTTTTCTCTCTCCTATCTGTTATACATCCTGTTTTGAATTTTGTTCCATGACAACAGTCTATTGACCTTTCTTCTTGTACAAGTAAACAAATTGCATATAAAACAACTAACTAAAAATCTCTGAGTTATTCCTTGATACTGTTTAATTGGTTTGTTAAAAAAAAGACTGATGGACTTCAAAGAAGATGGAAATTTAACTAATTAAATTTCAGTTAAAACCTGTGCGTGATTTGTGCATACAACCGAAATGAGCAGTTTGATTTAGTAAACCCTGAGACCGGGTGATTTTTTCAAGTAGGCTTGCTTATCTTTTGAGATATTTTAAGTGACGACAGCCATTAAAACCACATTTTAAAATAAAC
The DNA here is from genome assembly GCF_000001405.40 of Homo sapiens. Taxonomy (NCBI): domain Eukaryota; kingdom Metazoa; phylum Chordata; class Mammalia; order Primates; family Hominidae; genus Homo; species Homo sapiens. Next base: position 125,709,827 of record NC_000010.11, on the reverse strand, counting down.
TTGACTTGGAAGGAGACCTCAAACTGTTACACCACAAAGTTTTCAACAAAGATTCTCAAAAATAAAAGAAGCCTATTCAGCAGTTTTGCTCTTTTAAAAAATATTAATGAAAATAGAACTAATTATCAGTCAATAAATTAAAATGTTACATTGTTTTCTACTTGTTTAATGTCAATGTATTAGTGACAGTATATCATTTACAAATAAATACATATTGGGGTTGCATGTTCAGAATTTTTTTTAAATTTTAATATTTTTAGAGACCGTCCAGGCTGGACTTGAACTCCTTCCTCGGCTGAAGTGATCCTCCTGCCTCAGCGTCCTGAATAGGTAGGACTACAACTGTGAGTCACTTTACTCAACCAGAAATGGTGAATGATAAAAAATGTTTATAGATCATTGCTTCTAAAAAGACTATATTAGACACACTGTGGTACCCAAAACCAAATGCTAGCTACTTTTTAACTCAAAAATAATTAGTCAGCTAATGATCTATATTTTGCTTTACAGTTTAACTTGACGAGTAGAAAAATGTCAAGGTATAAGACAATGCAAAATGTAGGGACAAAGAAGAAAACTTCCCCTTTCACCCTCTGAAGGTTTGCTGAAAATGAACTGAAAAAGGCAGAGCAACAGGAGAAAAGGCATGCGTTTATTTTAACGTGCATACCATGGGGAATTGCAGAAGAGTAATGGCCTAATAACCCAGCAGGGTCCAGATGCCTGTCTACCCTCTCTTCTTAGGGAAGGCGGGGATGAGGTGTGTAGGAGTAAATGACAAAAGTTCCTCTGAGCTCTGGGGGAGGTGTTGGGAAGGTGAGGAGTGAAACGTCACCTTGCACAAAGGTTGTCAGACCTGCCCTCGAGAATAGATGAGTAGTCTATCTGGGTATAGTGACAACTCCGTCTCTTTGCTTCTTTCCTGGTCATTTGATGAGATTCCTAAAGATGGGGGGGGTGGTCTTAAGACAATTGCCTTTTTTTTTTTGGAAAGAAGCTTTGTTAGATAAGAAAATTCCAGAGAGTCAGTCCAGTCCCTCCAGGTGCTTCTAGAAAGAGGATCAGAGAAACAAGGAGGTAAGGAAAGTCAGAAAGAGAGCTTGGGTCTAAGGCTGATTTCTAAAACCTTCCGATTTTCAAAGTACTCGGCATGCCGAAGCACTATATTTTGGGGGATCATTTTCTGCACCCCAGCAAAACCTTAATATGTAATTTTCAGTGTAATAGCAAGACACCCTTGGTTATAGGTATCTGACATTGAATCATTAACTGATAATTATTTAATTGCTGCTCTGTAGATTCATAACAGGCAGAGTATTTGAAGTTATTGAAACTATTTCGACTGCATTTGAAGGAGTTTATTTTCTGGACACCTGATGAACTCAAATTCTTTTGCAAGCTCTTAGCATTGACTTTTGGGATATAATGCAAGTGACTGCAAGGGCAGACTGTCTCTGCTAGGTATCACTTTTGCAACAGAATTCTTCTTAGAGTGTTTGTGAGTTTTCCTCTGAAGCTGATTAATACCCTGAATGAATCCTAGGAAGAGTGTCAGAGTCACTAATGTCTGCTGTTCAGGCATGTCGGTGGCTGGAGCCCAGGCAGTTATTCATGCTGCATGTGCACCTTAAACTAAGGATGAGAAGGAAAGAATTCTCAAATGAACCTTCCAATCAATCTGATAGAGACTGCTTCTGAGTTCCCCTCTGCCTTTCCAGTTAAGGGCCTGACCTTTGCAGACTCTGGTGAGTCATTTAGCTATTAAACATTTACAAGGAGGCTTCCAATGGAGAGAACAAAAGGACAGCACTGCTTAGTGCAAAAGCATCAAGTGTCAAAGCCACTGACTGGACCTTTTTACTAAACATTTCTATAACATTTATCTTCCCTCAGGCATTGAAGAGAAATATATTTTACTTTCTCAGTGTAATGCAGTCACAAGGGACCCAGTAATAGAATCCATAGCTCGTGAATGTTAGGCAGAATGGTAACTACTGGATGAACCAAGGGTGTCATCCACATATGACAATTTTTTACGTATTTATTTACATGTTTTTTTTCTCTCTAGGAAGTGGAGCCAGAATCCACAGATGTCATTATCCATCTGCACACTTTGTTTACTACCCAGAAGGCAAGAATATTGCATTTTAAAAGTGCCCGGACTTTTGTTCTTTCTTATCACAAATGACTTGGGAAGCTCCGACCACTCATGTTTACCCCGAGTGAAAGTCCCATTCAAAGCCTTGCTTCCTGGAGAGCTTTGAGATTCTGGTACAAAAGGCATTTTATAAGCACAAAGTGGAAAAGCATCATTCATATTCATTTGCTGCTGCGGCATTTCTCCCTGGAATCTTCCTCTTGTCTGTCAACATTGGGCAAAAGGACTGGCCTCATCTACATTACAGATATCCTTGTGATGGTCTGGAGGTAGGAAAAGGACACCCAGCACAAGAGTGAGAAGGGAAACTCAAGCTCTCCTGTTGGAGAGTCTCAGGCTTCTTTATCCATAAAACTGATTGGACATAATTGGTGTGGGTTTATGATTTGTTTTGGAAAAACCTGAGTATGAAATCAATACTGTGCTTTGTGCATCTTGGCTGCAATGAGTGTTTTTTATGTGATTGCAGGGACCTGTGGGAGAGGCGGCCATCCAGAGGGCTCTCTGAGGGGTCATTTAGAATGCAACTCTTCTGGGCAGAGGATGGTCTGCACTGGCCTCCACCACGCAGGAAGGCTTCCAGAGTGGAGAAATGTCCACTAACATGGCTTCTGTGAGGTGTGGGCAGCTCTTTTCTTGGTGTGGGGCTCTGTTTGGTGTGATGTAAGAGGTATCACAGGGCTTTCCTGTCCCAGAAGATCTTAGTGGATGACACCTATGGGGGTTGCCAGCTGGATTAGGTGAGGCAGAGCACACAGCTCTACCTAAGGGGTCCCATTCTCATCTGGGAATATTCTAGGACATAGGACACTACCCAAGAGGCAGAGCCTGGAGTGGCATTATACGGGTGAAAGATCTGAGTGCCAGGTCCATATAAATGAGTGGGGTTGGGGGGATCGAGGTGCTTAGAGAACAGGAGAGCTGCCACAGGAAGGGATGGTACCCACAGGGAGGAAGAACCATGTCTCAGATTCCTTCCTTTATACCTCTTCCTGGGACCTCCTTGGAGTCTGCAGATCAGCTGGTGCTTCTCCATCTCCTGTCATCTTCTTCAAATCTTTTCATCACAAAAAATTTTCAGTGTAAACCTAAGTAGAGAGAACAGTAAAAGGAACCCCCAGGGGCCGTCACCATCACCCACCATCAACAGCGATCAATGGGCCGTCTAAGTCCGTTTTCCCTACTTTCATCCCCGCTCCAGATTATTATCAAAAGTAGCTCATCCCTAGTTATATTTCATTTAATCCTCTCAGTTGCATTTTTTTCTGGCCACGTTCTTCTGTCTGTCAATCATGGTCTTAAGTCAGACAGTCTGCTGGGTTGGCTAGGAAAAGACTCTTTCTTTCTCAAGAAAGAGTTGTAAGTAATTTTGAGAGAAATGTTGCAGATTGACCAAACAAGGTATGCTTAATTTAGTTCAATTCATCAGTTACTTATTGAGTCCTAGGCTTAGTGCTGGATTCAACATATCAGTCAATCATGGTTTCTGGCCTACAGGGTTCAGTGCTCTAGTTCTGGGTGTGCGACGAGGACCACAGCAAGTATTCACTCAGGAAAGGCAGAATGTGGCCACAGGGAAAGGAAAGGTACAAGGTGTGGTGGAGGTTACAAGGCATGACAAACACACTGGGCTGGGAATGGTAACAGTGGAAGAGGATCAGGAAGGGTCGTGAAGCCTGAGGCATTGGAGAGGGACTTGGAAACCTGGGCAGACAGTGGGACGGTGACTGCAAAACACTCAAGTGTGCAGGTGGGAATGGCAGTGGGGGACAGGCGAGCCTAGCAGCGAGAACACATGGTGCAAGGGGCCCCATGGGGGTTCTGGGGTGGAGGAGGTAGGCAATTGGGCTCTCAAAGAAACCCTTGGGCTTTTTCTAGCTTAATAATAAACAATTATTATTTCTAAGGAAAAAGAAAACTGGATTTCTAGAAGCATGGCTATTAAAAAAAAAACAACTCCAGACCCCAATTAGGAAACTGAAAGGAAATCAAAGTGGGCCTAATGGAAATTAGGTAGTAGGGGCAATAAAAGAAAATGCAGGTAGCTGCCTAAAATCCAGTGGACTCCAGGTCCACCAGCCAGGCACCACATTGTTTTAACCTATAAATGAAGTATGTCCATGACTCTCACTACATAAAATGGAAGTTAAGCCATAGTCCTTTTCCAATGTGATCTGAAAATGTACTGTTTTTGCCTCTAGCAAAGCAAATATATAGACAGAAAATTCCTAGCACTGCTTTCACGCGAGGGATGACAAAGGTGACAGACTCGGGCAAAATGTTCATATTCTATACGTGAAATGGAATGGTAACTTGATTTTTCAAAAGGATAAGATTCTTGTTACAAATTTAAGCATATTTATTAAAGAAAACTCAAATTAGTAAAATGTGAAAAGGCAAGGAAATTCATGGTCCCACTACCCAAATAACATTTTTTTTTCAGAATTTTGGTGTCATATAATGATTTTGGAACACGCTTTTCATACTGAATGGCTTCAATATCTTATCCCTGCTCTCTTCCACCGCCCCCCCCCCCCAATTCATTATGATTATCAATGAGTTTGGGGAATTGTATTGACTTTTTTTTTTTTTTTGAGACAGAGTCTCGCTCTGTCGCCCAGGCTGGAGTGCAGTGGCACGATCTCGGCTCACTGCAAGCTCCACCTCCCGGGTTCACACCATTCTCCTGCCTCAGCCTCCCAAGTAGCTGGGATTACAGGCGCCTGCCACCATGCTGGCTAATTTTTTTGTATTTTTAGTAGAGACGGGATTTCACCATGTTAGCCAGGATGGTCTCGATCTCCTGACCTCGTGATCTGCCCGCCTCGGCCTCCCAAAGTGCTGGGATTACAGGCGTGAGCCACCGCGCCCGGCCAGGGAATCGTATTGACTTTTTTAAGAGTCAATTCTCTTTTGAACTCAGATTTCAAAAGGGGTACAGGGAATCATCTCGATATAAGTGTTGATATAAAGTTTATTCTCAGATACTTGTGAAGCCAAAAACTCTGTGCTAACATTTGCAGGCCTTTGGGAAAACTGTGCATGGAGGTCTGAATAGCATATGTCCAAATAGTTGAAGTTTTTATAAATTAAGCTAACTCATTATTAAAGAAAATCTGTTCTAGCCTCCTTCCTTGATAAATACACCTTCATAACAGCTGCCCCTTGGAAGCTATTAAATATGTTATATCCTCTTGCCTTCATAACAGCTGTCCCTTGGCCACCCCTCTGGGTTGGGGTGCGTATGCCCAATCATCTTGGGGACAGGCCCTCAAAGCAGGCTTGGAGCCGTTAGGGCCGGTTCCCTGGAGCTCCACGTGCACCTGTCTTCTCACCCTATGTGGGGAGTGATGGTCAGAGGAGGGCCAGAGTGGAACCGCAGCCTCATGGGGCCCAGGGCAGGCACCTCTCTGGCTCTGGTCTGAGTGAATCATTCCATATTTCCCATGTGCAGGTCATGTGCTGGGTGCTGGGAACACAAAGGTGAGTAAAAGCCGTCCAGTGGGGGCACACAGACTTTCAAATAAGTGCCCCCTAAAATGTAAATTTGCAACTCTGAGTTGACTCAGTCAGGAAAGTTAGGAGGAGGTCACTTTGCAAAGAAGAAAAGAGAAGAGAATTTCAGGTGGAGAGAAAACTGGGCAAAGTCCTAGCAGCAGTGGAGAGCACAGCCAGAGTGAGGCATGAAAAGCTAAGAGGACATGGGGCTCAGGTGTGAGTTGGGCTGGACAGGCAGTGGGCACCAGATTAGGAAAGGCCTCTGTGGCCTTACTAGGAAACTAGGTCTATCCACGGTAAAAGGCTTTTAGCCAGGGGCCACATAATCAGGGGCAATGAGGCTAGACCAGGCTGCTAAATCAGTCCAGGCTAAAACTGTTCTTTTTCCCTTTTTTTTTTTTTTTTAAGAAAAGCAAAATATTAGACAAAGAAATGTGAAATATGTAAATATTAAGTAGACATTTGATAATATTAAGGAATTAATGTTTTCTGATAACAGTATTGTGTGTTTTTTTTAACTTTTATTTTAGGTTTGAGGGTACATGTAAGGATTTGTTACACAGGTAAATGCATGTCACTGGGTTTGTTGTACAGATTATTTCATCACCCAGGTATTAAGCCCAGTACCCAATAGTTACCTTTTCTGCTGTTTCCTTCATTGTGTTCATAAGTTCTTATCATTTAGCTCCTACTTATTTTTATTTTTTTGAGAGGGAGTCTCGCTCCGTCGCCCAGGCTGGAGTGCAGTGTTGCCATCTTGGCTCACTGCAAGCTCCGCCTCCCAGGTTCATGCCATTCTCCTGCCTCAGCCTCCCGAGTAGCTGGGACTACAGGCGCCTGCCACCGCACCCAGCTAATTTTTTTGTATTTTTGGTAGAGATCAGGTTTCACCTTGTTAGCCAGGATGGTCTCAATCTCCTGACCTCATGATCCGCCTGCCTCGGCTTCCCAAAGTGCTGGGATTACAGGCGTGAGCCACCACGCCTGGCCCATTCATCTCTCACTTATAAGTGAGAACATGCAATAGTTGGTTTTCTGTCCCTCCATTAATTTGCTAAGAATAATAATTTGCCTCTAGCTCCATCTGTGTTCCCACAAAAGCCATGAGCCCATTCCATTTTTATGGCTGCATAGTATTCCACGGTGAATATGTACCAGATTTTTAAATCCGATCTGTCATTGGTGGGCATTTAGGTTGATTCCATTAGACCTGATAATTCTTTGGAATAGTAGCGGAGAGGAGGAGATGGAGTGAGGCAGACAGGCTTCAGGGGGATGTAGAAAGTCAGATGGCCAGGGCTTTGGGTATGGATTGGGTTAGGACTGAGGAGCAAAGTAGGTACCAGGCATATCTAGTTGGATGAACCATGTATTAGTCTGTTTTCACACTGCTATAAATAACTATCTGAGACTGGGTCATTTATAAAGAAAAGAGTTTTAATTGACTCACAGTTCTGTATGGTGAGGGAGGCCTCAGGAAACTTACAGTCATGGCAGAAGGCAAAGGGGAAGCAAGGCATGTCTCACATGGCAGCAGTACGGGGTGGGGTGCCACACTTTAAAAACCGTCAGATCTCATGAGAACTCACTATCACGAGAACAGCATGAGGGAAACTGCCCCCATGATCCAATCACCTTCTGCCAGGTCCCTCCTTTGATAGGTAGGCATTACAATTCTAGATGAGATTTGGGTGGGGACACAGAGCCAAATCATATCAAATGGGATGGATGAGCTGGGGACACTGAGAGAGGATGAGGACTGAAGTCCGGGGAGTTCATGAGCTGGCTTTGGGACATGTGCATTTTGAGATGCCTTTGGGACATCTGAGAGGGCAGCAAGTAGACACGAGCAGGTACTGCCAAGCTATGAAAAGAGGTTGGGGCTGGGCATGGTGGCTCACGCCTGTAATCCCAGCACTTTGGGAGGTCGAGGTGGGCGGATCACTTGAGATCAGGAGTTCGAGACCAGCCTGGCCAACATGGTGGAACCTCATCTCTAATAAAATACAAAAATTAGCTGGGTATGGTGGCGGGCACCTGTAATCCCAGCTACTCGGGAGGCTGAGGCAGAAGAATCGCTTGAACCCGGGAGGTGGAGGTTGCAGTGAGCTGAGATTACACCACTGCACTCCAGCCTGGGCGAAAGAGTGAGACTCACTCTCAAAAAAAAGGGCGGGGGAGAGAGGGAGAGATTGGGGCTGCAGATTTAAAATATGTAGGAGCCATCCCCATGAGAGGTAAGCCATGGAGGCGATACCTGGGGAAAGGTACCTGCCTGCCTACCTGGTAGAAATGAAACAGTCCAAGCTTTCCAATGTGGATGAGAACTTTAGAAATGAAATCACACAAGCAGTGAACTAAAATGAGACAGGCAAACCTTCTAGCAACCTTGCATCTGACATTTGTCACTGTAAACCTGCTTGTCATACACAAATCACTTGCAACCACAAGGAGGACTGTGGATCAGTTGGTCACTCTGCCCAGGTCTTTGTATGCCTGTGACTTTAAATCAGGTTCTTGTGACTTGCACAGCATTTTGTGCCGTGTATTTGTAAAGATATCTTGCCAGCATATTTTATGCTTCAGTTAATTTAGTTGACATCTAATTTAGTTGACATATAAAAATAAAATCAATTTTCAGACAAAATACCCATAAAATAAGTGAAATGCTGTAATAGGTTTCAAGAAATTAAAATGTAATATATTTAGGCTTCTATTCTAAAGCAATTTGATCTAGAATAGCAGATACTGTAGATGTAATTTTTTCCATGAATTCTTGTCAATTATATAATAAATGTTGCTACTATATATTGAGAAATTTATTGCTTGGAGTTGTTTGTCATAAAAAAATGAAAATTTTTGTTGGGGTTTCCTTTAAAATGCCAAAGAGCCTAAATATGAATACTTCGTATATTGATGTTCAGGCTGTAATTAAGCCATGACAGAGATTATTACTTTGGATGTAAACACTATCAAATTTTCATTGGGTGAGTTCTTTTTAAATTAATGTTGAGTTATGTTCTGTTTATTATCCTGTTTGCCTTACGTTTCCTGTCGTTTTCCAGTTGTCTGCTTGAATTCTGTTTTTCAATAGTGATTTAGCAACTGATAATGTATATTGATTTCAGTTTTGCTTCTAATTTACATTTGTATCTGTTTGGTTGATGTATTTGGCTTAATCATTTTATTTTTATAAGCAGTTGTACAATTTGTTAATTTAGCTAGATGATTAAATTTGGCTTCTAAAGAGTTTGTTTTAGAAAATAGTCCCTGAAGTAAATTAGTGTTTGGCATTTCCAACATGTCAAAGGAGCTGGTCTCTTAAAGATAACTAGAAATGTAACTCTGAATTCTTAAAAGTGGTTTTGTAATTTTAAACCTCTGACTATATGGAGCTGTATATTCCAGTAGGTGGTGCAAATCGACTCCATTTCAAATGGAAATGTAATTTAAACTTGTGATGTAACTGTTTTCACTGTAAAAATAATATTTCAACATGTTTCGCAACTGCAAAATTATTTTCCTCTCTTTCTAAAGGAAGCTTGATTTACCCTCTCAATGCTCATTTTTCTTATGGTTTATTCCTCAGGTATCATTCTGATCATTGTTGTTACAGGAGAGATGAGAGGAAGTTAGAGGGGCTAGAAGAACCAGGAGACCTGTTGAAAATCATGAATACAAAGAGAGGTCGTTTGCTTCTGTGCTTCAATTCTATAATAAAATGAGTACAATGTCAGTATCAGTGTTCTAATAGTTTTTATATCCAAAAGATGAATTGAATGCCATGTTTTGTCTGTTGTAAAACTTGAGGTTATTTCACTTCTAGGAGTCTGATATCCTCACACAAGCACATAAAATATGTATACAAGGATATTCACCGCAGCATATTTTTAAAATTAATTTTTTTCTTTCATCCCAGTCATATATGTGCAGCAAAGTAGGATGATTAAGAGCAGGGCCTCTGGGCAGCTGCCTGAGATGGAGGCCTTACCACGTGAGTATCTCTGTTTCCTTTTCTGCAAAATGCAGATCCTCACAGGTAGCGCTACTGCATCATGGCATTGATAGGAGGATTAAATGAGCACATATGTAAGTGTGCAAAGCATGCCTGGCAGGTCGTAAGCACTGTATCAGTGTTAACTGTACCTCTAAAGTAAAATAGCACTGAAAGGATTGCAGTGAGAGGTAGCATTCTCTTGCAGTATTCCTCCAGCCCCCGAGTATCACTTCCTGGTGCTAAGCACTCACAACCCCTCTCCACCCCTGCTCCTGACAGTCACCACCATAACTTTAAATAGTATTCTTACACAGCTATTTTTTAACCACTTTAACTATTTTAAGTGTCCAATTCACTAACATTAAGTACATCTACAATGTCATGCAATCATCACCACTATCCATCTCCAGAATGCTTTCATCTTCATAAACAGAAACTCAGTCCCCATTAACCAATAACTCACCATTCCCCTTTGTCCCCAGGGCCTGGTAACCACTACTCTACTTTTTGTCGCTATAAATTTGCCTATTTTAGGTATCTCATGTAAGTGGAATCGTATGATATTTGTCCTTTTGAGACTGGGTTATTTCACTTAGCATAATGTCCTCGAGTTTCATCCACGTTGTACAGAATTTCATTCCTTTTTAAGATTGAATAATATTCTATTGTTTTTATATGTAACATTTTGTTTCTCTTCATCTGTCGATGGACATTTAGTTTTCTTCTGCCTGTGGCTACTGTGAATGATGCTGCTATGAACATAGGTGTACAAACATCTATTCAAGTCCTTGTTTTCAGTTCTGGGCAGCTATTTTTTGATGTGTCTGTTCTTACATTATCTTTTTACTTCTAGGCACGGTAAATTAGATAGACAAGGACTTAAGCATAATCAACTCCCTGCCTTTCTACATACACTCCCAGTCCCCACTCCCACATAGCTTTGGTTAAAAAAACAGTGTTTTCTCTATCGAATGTAAGTTCTCTTACCTTCCCTGGGATGGAAGGGACGAGGAAGGAGATGGTGTTCCTGGAATCCAGGGAGAACTGGAGCCTGGGAAGAAGCAGAGGGAAGCGGAGATGACGAGCAAGACTGCACCGGATGCCAGAGCCTGAAGGAAGCAGGGAAGAAAGATGCTGGCCTTCCTCTCCTTTCTCTGCTCCATCTCTTATAGCTCAAACCAGCTTGAAAGCCAGAGGGCAAAGCAGCCCAGGCCATGCATCCGCAGGGCCCAGGAAGATGAGAATGGACCAAGGAAGGAGGCCAAATGGAGCCCACCTGCACCCTTTTCTTCCTGAACTGTCCTCTCCATCGCCAACTCCCTGCCAGTACCCATGGCCCCTGCTGCCAGCAGGAGGACACCTTCCCTGAGAGCAGCCTCACTGTGCACATGGACCTGGCAGGGAGGCTCACACACACCCACACTCAGAACGAGCACAGAAGCTTCTCCCAAGGCCAGATAGAAATGGCTTTTGGATTACCCGCCATTTGGGCAGATTATCTGCACCACTGCTTCCGTCCATTACTGAGGAGAGCCTGGAGGTATCTGGACTGTCCTTGGTGTTCTGGGATGACCTTGTGGAGAGCTGATTACAGTCTGTGTGCGGAAAAAGAAGACGTCTGCCTGCCATTCTTTTCCTCACACTGGTTCAGCGACGTTTGATCTCTGGCCTGTGGCTGGAACCCATATTAAAGAGCCTGTCATTGCTTGTGATTTTTCTTGGAAGACCAGAATTCAGATTGGAGCAAGGCTTTCCATCAGAGCTGTAGAGAATCCATATTTGCCTTTGAGCCTTCCCGGCTTCAATTTAGTACTTGAGACCCCTTCTCCATAGCACTCCTCTTCACCCTCATCCCAGCTACGTGCCCCCTGGCTGTGCTCCCCCACCCCCAAGCCATTAGAAGGGCAGCTACCAACACAGCTGTAGGTGTCTGAGCAGAAAAGAAAATGAGAGCGAGAGGCAGCCTCCAAGGAGGTCAGGACATGCAAGAGTCGGTGGATACGCCAGTAATGGGAATTCGGGGTCTTCCTGGTGGGCTCCTTGGATTTGCACAGAGAACATGTGCCTCTGCCATAGCCTCCTCTCATGTCTCAAAGCCCTGACTCCAGGACTCACTTCCAGAGCCTCCAAGCTGTACCGCTCCCCTAGCTCTAGTCCTACCCATTTCTGATGTCCTGGGCCCTTTTCTCCTTTCTTCAACCACCACTGCATTCCCACATAGGCACTATCGTTTATAGATGAGAAGCTGATGCATGAAAAGGTTAAATAACTTGCCCAGTATGGCACGTCTAATAAGCGGCAGTACTAGGGTGCAAAACCAGGCTGGCTACCTCCAAAGCTTGTGCTCTTACCTGAGGGTAACTCTGCCTCCGGGGCCATTCCTCGATGGGTTCCCAGGGCTTTGGCTACTTGCTTCCTTGCTTGCTTTCCTTCTTTTTCTTTCCTTTCTTTCTTTCTTTCTTTCTTTCTTTCTTTCTTTCTTTCTTTCTTTCTTTCTTTCTTTCTCTTTCTTTTTCTTTCTTTCTTTCTTTCTTTCTTTCTTTCTTTCTTTCTTTTTCTTTTCTTTTCTTTCCTTCCTTCCTTCCTTCTTCTTTCTTGCTTTCTTCTTTCTTTCACTTTTCTTTCTCTCTTTCTCTTTCTCTTTCTCTCTTTTCTCTTTTTTTTCCTTCCTCCCTTCCTTCCTTCCCTCCCTCCCTCTCTCCCTCCTTCCTTCCTTCCTTCCCTCCTTCTTTTTCTTTCCTTCTTTCTTTCCCTTCCTTCCCTTCTTTTCCTTCCTTCCCCTTCCTCCCTTCCTCCCTCCCTCCCTTCCTCCTTTCTTTTTTGAGTCTCCTTCTGTTGCCCAGGCTGGAGTGCAGTGGCGTGATCTTGGCTCACTGCAACTTCCACTTCCCAGGTTCAAATGATTCTTGTGCCTCAGCCTCCCGAGTAGCTGGGATTACAGACGTGCACCACTACACCTGGATAATTTTTGTATTTTTAGTAGAGACGGGGTTTCGCCATGTTGGCCAGGCTGGTCTTGAGCTCCTGGCCTCATGTGATCCGCCCACTTCGGCCTCCCAAAATGCTGAGATTACAGGTGTGAGCCACTGCACCTGGCCTGTTGTTTGCTTTCTAAGTGTTGGGAAATATTCCTGCTGTCTAAAGAAATAGTGAGGCATTAGCATTCAGGTGAGTTTTGTTTTCAAGTATGACTTATTATATAATAATAACAAATTATTCTGAATGTGCTTTTTAAACATTGTTTTACTGCACTGGAGATTGGGTTAAAACAGAGGTTAGCAATTTTTTCAGACCGAAGAGTCCAAGTGCACTGAAATCCAGAAAACATGGTCAACAAAGTTGCCAGATGAGAATGCTGATTTTTAACAGAAAAATAAACAATTGCATATGAATGATACTGATATGGGGATGATTAAGGGAATATACTGAATATGGAACCTATCAATTTTATTCTATGAAATTGAATTGGTGGGGCCTTTGCCTTTTGCTTTTTCAAAGTTTTCATAACTTCCTTACCATGCCTGTCAGACCCTAAAGGGAGTGACTGGGCCCTGTGGGTAACAGAGGAGCTGGTCTTGTCAACAAAAAGGAAACTACACTCAGGACAAGAAGGGGTCGCTTGGTCCCTGAGGTGTGCATCTGGTCTGTCTGTGCCAGGTGGAGGGAAAGCTGAAATTATAGGATGAGCGGTGGGGCTGTCGTGAAGGCCCCAGGATTTTCCAAAAGAAGTCCTTTCCCAGGAGGAACAATGGTGCTTTGCAGGTGACATCAAACCCAAAGTGGGTGGGCTGGGGTTGGAGGGTCCACAGGGACCAGGGAATTGGAATTCCCCCTCTCCTTTCCCCACCCACATTGGGGCTCAGCTTCCCACCTGCTCTCCTGGAGACAGTCAATACCAGGAGACCCTGTCTTGCAGAGGCTAAGCATGGTAGAGGACTGAGACATGCTCAGCATTGGTGGACAGCAGGGGATGGGTCAGAAACATGGGTCAGGGAGAGACATGTGGTCCTGGGCTTTGGAGGCTTTAGCCTGGACTCTGGTAGGAGTCTCTGATCCTGGGAGAGCAGAGCCTGTTTTTTTCTTTCCCTCTACCCTCCAGTGGCCCCATCTCTCTCTTTCCCACTGGAAAGAAACTTGTCTAGTATGGCACATCTCCATAGCGTCCTCTCACACTCAGCCTGGGAGGCCAAGTCTTCTTTCTTTCCTAGCTTCTCCCTCAATCTTCATTCCCTCTTAACAGCAAGAAGGAAACTTTATTGGTTGATGTGCAGAAAGGTTCAGAGGTACTGCCGGGTTCAGGTGCAGGTTCAGCTGGAGTTGCCAGAACCCAAGACCCCTCAGCTCCTCCCACAGCCTTCTCCAAGAGTTGGCCTCATTCTCGAGGCATGGGCGTGGGAAGGTGGCAGCAGAAATGCCAGCCCATGTGCTTTTAGATTCAAATCTGTCAGGAAAGATTGAGATTCTCTGCCCAAATAAGAGTCTAGAACGGAGTTTAATTCGCTCTGATTTGGGTCATGTACCCACGGCAGAAGCAAACATTACTGCCAGGGGAATGGGCTGCTCTGATTGGCTGGTATTGGAGCAAGGGCAGAATCAACTCCACTTAAGCCATATGGAATGACAATCAGGAGAGATGGAGAGACAGCTATTGTTGGAAAAAGAGGGATGCTGGATGCTGGAGAGGCAAGCCCCAAATGGCCTCCATGCACCCAGTTCCTCCTGCCTCCGAGTCCCCCATGACTGCCCTGTAAATTCAGATCTGGCCCCTGTGACCCAACCCTGGTCTGGATCACTTGGCCAGTGCCCTTGGCACCTGCCTTAACCCCTTAGGTAAGAATCTGTCAGGCTGTCTATTTACTGTAAAAATTAGCACTGGATACTAAAGAAATCATGCCAAAAGCTTTCAATAATGGAGAAGATTTATATGTAACACACACACACACAATTTATTTCTTTTGAGTCTGATTCCTGAGGGTGGAAGCTTTGAAAATTTCACGACTGTGTTTAGAGGAACCCATAAAGACACTTTAGCTGGTCATGGCCTTCCTGCTTAAAGATCTTATCAGGAATTTTACTGGAACTTGGAGGTTTATTATTACTCATTGTTTGACTGTAAGGCTTCCCTCTTAAGAGTCTGGGGTGAGGCCAAGCACCATGTCTCAGCATTCTTTAAGCTTTCTATGATTTCACATTCCATAGTGCAAGGCTTATTAAAGTGGATTCCATAGGAGCTGACAGGAAAGCTTCTCTGCCTGCCACAGGGTGGAATGACAGTGCTTCTGTGGAAATGTGGATGCGTTCCTCGGTCAGGATTTGAACCCTTGAATAGGGATCACCTATTATGCACTGTGGTATTTTAAGCACCTGACACAATTTGGAGGATTGCCGGTGGAACACGTTTTTGGAACACATGCAAATTTATGATTTGACCGTCAGCCAGTCTGGTCGTCTCTATTCTTTGCAGACCACCTCTAGTTCTCTGGGTTTTGTAGCTTAATTTATACAGCCTTCCAATTGTCTGGGTCTTGAATTGCCGCAAGACATTGATCATACATTACTTGGTTTGCCATACCTTCTTTTTAAAAAATCGTCAAATTTTGTTTCTGACCACAATACAAATATGTTCCTTATGGAAATTTGGAAACGCTCAATGAAGAAAAAAGAAATAAATAATTCTAAATATTTGTGTAATCTGCAGTTTTCCCATAATATGTGGATATATATTTACAAAAAGGATTATTCTATTTATGTATTTACTTTTCTTTTTAATTCTGCAGTTTTAGTTACTCAAGGTCAATTGTGGTCCAAAAATATTACAGTATTTTGACAGAGAGAGAAAAAACACATTCATGTAATTTTTACTATGGTATATTGTTATAGTTGTTCCATGTTATTATTAGTTGTTTTTAATATCTTACTGTGTCTAATTTATAAGTTAAACTTTATCATATGTATGTATAGAATGTATAGTACGTATGTATAGAAAAGAAAGTAGTATAAACAGATGTTCCTCGACTTACAATGGGGTTACATCTAGATAAAGTTATTGTAAATTTAACATATCTTAGGTTGAACACCATCGTACGTCCAGGAGCCTGCTGTCTGGGTATCACTTTTGCACCACTGAAAAGTTGAAAACTCACAAGCGGAATCATTCTATGTTGGGATCGTCTGTACCACGCGCGGTTTTAGGCATCCACTGGGGTCTTGGAGCATTTCTCCCTTGGATAAGGGGAGGACTACTATAAATTGTTTCAATTTTTTTCCCTAACAAATGCTGTAATGAGCATACTTAGGGATAAATCTTTGTGTGAATACTTGGGTATTTTCTTGGGGTAAATTCTCAGGAGTAGAATTGCTGGATCATAAGATATGGATATTTGTAAGGCTTTTTGGGAGCCACTGCTACCCAATTACTTTTTGCTGCCAATAGTAATTTCTTAATTCTTTGTCCTAATGCCAGGCCTGGCAGCTCCAGTGAACAGTGCCTAAAGTGAGAGCCAACCTCTGTAGGTGAGACTTCCTGCTACAGCGGCTCTTTGTTCTTTACAGACGAACTGGTCTTTCAGGGTCTATTCCTTCCCACTGCTTCTCATTCAAATGTCTCCTTACATTGGGGTGAATGCAATCTCCAATTTGAGACAGTGCCTATTCAAGAAGGCAGTGCGTCTGTCACTCAATTACTCAGCTTTCGATCTCGTGGGTTTTCTACTGGACAATCCCTGAAGGAGGGCCTGTAGGTAAGGACTTCCCTACGTGAGAGCAAGACCTTCTCTCCAAAGGCCAGTGTTAGTAAGGGCCCTGGCATTCAGAACTACGTATTCCAACCACACAGGTTAATTTGTCTAGACAATGGCTTGGTCTCTAGAAATGGCCATAAGGATTTTCCTGGGAAGTGAGCTGAGGTGTTTCAGCAAAGCAGCTTTTTAAAATTGAGGGCCAATCATTTATTATGGCCTTTTCAGATGCCAGCAACAATTGGCCAAAGTAGGAGATGCTTGCCGGAATGTCCCTGGGCCGGCCACGCAAAAGTCATAGTTATTCTGGCCAATGGGAGTGATTGCTAATTTGCTCTCAGGGCCCTAACTGGCTGATGGTACAATTACGTGCCTACTATTTTAAGGCTGCGTTTCTAGCCCCAGCCTGGCAGGCTTTCTTGAGACATCTGGCAACAATGATCAAAATGCCTCTTTTTTAAAGGAGGCTCACAATCGATTCATCTATGGACTCACAAGGACAGGCTCATTTAGTAAAGCCAACATGTTTCAAAGAAAAGTATATTTTCATTAACTAGCCTCAAAGCAGTAATTATATGTTCAGAGAACACAGTAAAAATTTATTTCTAAATATTTGGTGGTGAAAGGTTGAAGGCAGTGTGTGTGTGTGTGTGTGTGTGTGTGTCCAACATGTTGCATGTGTTTTAAATAAACCCAGCATCTTCCCCTCAAAAAGGAAGCAGGAAATACAATCGTAGACTTTGAAATTTAATTTTTAGCAACAGGATGTGTTTCTAAATACCACTAACATATCAAAAGGAGAATGTGTAGTTAAAAGCTTTAAAATTGTTATCAAAGCAATTGCAAAGCAAATGAGGTACCTTTCTTCTTCTTTTTTTTTCCCCAAGGATGGTGGTGTCTGAACATTGAAAACCAAATCTCCACTGAGGATCAAAAGCAATGGTGGTGTCTTTTTGCGTGAGATGCAGCTGAACTTGGATGCTCTCCCTGATCTGATTCACAGTTTATAATCACAGTTATCACAGAACCATTAAAAGCCTATTAACTTGAATTCCCACAATTCCTTGAGGGCAAGGGCAGAGAGAGAGCAAAATAACTTTGAATATAAATGTAACACAACATTCGAAGGGAGAGAATCTCTTTTAATTATGCCAGTGAAGGAAGATGTCTTATGGATGCATCTCCCCTAGCAGATGGCTGATGAAAGAATACACATGAAGTCTTAGGATGCTCGGGATGTTATGAAAATGAATTCTCTGCAAAGAGACTTTTAAAGCATAGGGAAGAGTGTGCAGACCTCTTCCTGGGAGGAGGAAGCGTAGAGGACTTGCTAAAATGTGTGGCTGCTGGTTGGGTTGGCTGGATGGACACTGTACCGTGGCGAAACAAATCAGCCTGAAAAGAAGCCTCAGCCACATTCTGTGGAAGCAAGAGCCCAGTGAATATTTGGGCTATTGTCATGTGAGAAATTTGATTTCATGTTTTTCCACCCTTCAGTGACTTCGCTGACATTTCCCCTAACAATGCTATTATGTGCTGTACCAGTAAGACAGTGTCGTCAATAAGCTGTCTTGTGACTTCAGATAAAATGGAATGTTCTTATCTCACCGCAGAACAATTAGACACATCAAATTACTTAAAAAAATCATACAGTAGTGAGCTGTGTGCATACCAATGACAGACTCTGTCCCCAAATCTCTGGGCCCAGCACGGTGGCATCAACACCTCCACATTGGGATGCTGGCGCTAAATAGTCCCCACATGTACTTGCACGCCTGGAGGCTGGACTTGACCTTGCCGTGCTGTTTGTAAAGGAATATTGGAATCACCTGGGGAGGGAAGGCACACATACACGCACACACAGTCTCTCTCTCTCAGTCTCTCTCGCTCTGCTGTCTGAAATAACTAATTCCAATCAATCCACCCTCACCTTAAATGCGTTCTTCCTGCATGAATTACCCACATTCACTGCCCAGCTTGATCTCGTTTCCGCAATGGATAAAGCAAATGACTCAGTCCAGAGGGAGTGGGTTATTGACTAAGTGCTTAATTAGGCGCACAGCTCTTATGTGGTCGTTCTTGTACAGTCAAAACGACTGGACCGTGGCATGGCAAAACCGTGAATTTGGTTTACTCTCATGTGCCTGGGCCACAGTTGAATCAATGGGGCAGCAATCTAAATTAAACATTAAGACAGCCACACCGCAACATGTTTATGTAACTCTGCAAAGAAACAGCGTGTGTCTCAGGATCCTCCAGGGTAAAACATTATCCACTTCCCTACTTGCATATCAGGCACACAGGAAGGTGGGTATGGTACAGTCTAGAAAGGTTTTGAGCTCCTGAGGGAAAACCTTCTAGGTAAACACAATGCAAACTGACTCTTTTGGTCCCTGACTTTGGCTTCTGAATCTTTAAAAGTTTAGCAGTACAGTAACCGCTGTCCAATTAAAGGTAGCAGGTTGAGAAAAGGCTTCAGCGCTTATCTGCAGGTGCAAGGTCAAATGTGCCCAAGGGGCACTGGCAATCCGTTGTCCTTCCCTTAGAAGAACTGAGGTGGTATTGACCTAGACACAGCCCAGGTGCCTCTCCCGATTCTATAAGGAGACGCTTCTCAAACTTTAATGAGAGCATGAATCACCTGGAGGATCTTGTTAAAGCACAGATTGTGATTTAGTAGGTCTGGCTGGGGCCTGAGATCCTGCATTTCTAATAGATTCCCAGGTGATATTGATGCTGCTAGTCCCAGGT
Source organism: Homo sapiens (assembly GCF_000001405.40). Lineage (NCBI taxonomy): Eukaryota > Metazoa > Chordata > Mammalia > Primates > Hominidae > Homo > Homo sapiens. The sequence continues at coordinate 125,690,686 of NC_000010.11, read as the reverse complement.
CCACAACTGGAGCAGGGAGGTCCTTGAAGGAGGGTTCCCTTACCTTACAGCCAAAGCAAACATGAGGGGGGTAGGAAAAGAAAAAGACAGCTGATGGTTTGGTGACAAGATGCACTGAAGCCAGAGTGGAGGCTGATGGCCACAAAGAACCAGCCAGTCATCCCTGGAGTGAAGGGAAGTGTCTAGACGGGCTTTGATGGCAGCCCTATCAGCTCTCCGTTACGGTATCGTTTACTCAGCTGAGTGTGCAGAAGGCAACATGGTAAGGCTCAATGTGGTGTACATTTCCCGTTCGCCTTTCCAAGGCACACCCCATTGGCAAAAATGCCCTGGAATGTGAACAAAGAGCAAGATCAAGAAAGGACACATTGTATTGGTGGCCATCCACACGATTAACTGAGTTGATGAACCCTAGATCCCTGTAGAGTTGGAGAAAGTGAAGCCTAAAGCCAGCACTCAGCCCAAGTCTGCCTTTTATGACTTTGTCTTATTATTATCTTTGTAACAAGGCTCTTTTATGAGCTTGTGATTTCCTGCCAAGTTGATGAGATCTCCATTATGTTTTATAGTACAAAATAAGAGGATAAGAGAGGTTTTTAAAAGGCCTGCAGATCTCTTCTTCATTTAGGAACCCTGCCTGCCCTAATTCTGTCCCTGTGTGGGGTAGAGATCAACTTTCTGTCATGTTCTAAGACACTGTTCGTTTTCCCTTCAGCTGAAAAATAGATATTTATTTTGCCATTTTGCTTCACGATTCTAGAGGCTGGCATTTTCCATTTTAGTGCTCTTCATTTTGAACCACACATGTAATTACTGCTGTCTTTTAGTCTGTGTTTTCGGAGGACTAGCCCGTTCAAACTGCGAGAGGACAAAAGCAGCTGTCTTTCCAGGGAGTGAAAACAATAGCATAAAGTCTTCATGTAAACCTCAACAAACATTGAAACACAGAAGTGGAAATAGGAATAAAACTCCCAACAAGTAGAGAAACAGAAATCCAACTAAATATTTCCGCCTTTCTCGGAATTTAGAGAAAGAACAAATACGCTCAACACATCTGCTATATTCTAGTGTGAGTCTTATTTCTAAGGTGCTTTTTTTCAGAAGGCCAAAGCTCCCAGCTGATTTTATTGTTGTTGTCGCCCATCACCTGCATCTCTGCCTCCTACTGACATTGTCAGTTGGTCCAGGTCACCGAGGGCAAGGTGCCTGTCCACATTTCTCGGGCTGCCTGAATGATCTGCCTCCCTGGTCCTTCCTCCAGCCTGGCTCTCACCCATGCCCTTCTCGGTGGCATCAAAGCCCCCTTCTGGCCTCCTCTTGGGTTCTTTTTTTTTTTTGAGATGGAGTCTAGCTTTGTCACCAGGCTGGAGTGCAGTGGTGTGATCTCGGCTCATTGCAACCTCTGCCTCCTGGGTTCAAGCGATTCTCCTGCCTCAGCCCCCCAGGTGGCTGGGATTACAGGTGCCCGCCACCAGGCCCAGCTAATTTTGGTATTTTTAGTAGAGACAGGGTTTCAACATGTTGGCCAGGAGGGTCTTGATCTCCTGACCTCGTGATCTGCCCACCTTGCCTCCCAAAGTGCTGGGATTACAGGTGTGAGCCACCGTGCCCAGCCTCCTCTTAGATTCTTGAGTGAGCCAAGCTCCTCCCAACATCAGGGCTGCAGCAGTCATCAATCTGCCTGGGACACTCTCCATCTTCCTTGGTTTGCTGACGTCATTCTTCATTTCTTCATCGTCTTTCACATTCATTCACTGTCACAGGCTCCTGGAGCACCCTGGACCTCTCACAGTCATACCAATTATTTGTGCAATAATGTCTATCTCCCTTACCTCAGCTTCATGAGGTCAGTGACTGTATTTACTGCGCCTGTCACTGTATCCAGTACAATTTCCTAGGTCACAGCACTTCTTTGGGTGACCAATTCTCCAAGTTATCAATTAACCAAAAGCTTTTCTAGAAATGATTTGGACAGTTTATAGCAATTCTTGTTTTGGCAAGGATGTCAAAAATTCAGTCATTACAATGACAATGTCTTGTGAAATTTGAATTTGGGGTGTCATGAGCATCAGCAGAGTCAAGAAGTTTTGTAAATATTACAGTTAGTTTCTACCTTTCAATTTAATAGATGTTCTAACCGGGCCTGGTGGCACACGCCTGCAATCCCAGCACTTTGGGAGGCCGAGGCGGATGGATCACCTGAGGTCAGCAGTTCAAAACCAGCCTGACTAACATGGTGAAACCCCGTCTCTACTAAATACAAAAAAAAAAAAAAAAAATAGCCAGACGTGGTGATGCATGCCTGTAATCTGAGCTACTTGGGAGGCTGAGATAGGAGAATCGCTTGTACCTGGGAGGCAGAGGTTGCAGTAAGCTGAGATCGCACCATTGCACTCCAGCCTGGGCAACAAGAGTGAAACTCTATCTCAAAAAAAAAAAAAAAAAAAAAAAAAAGTTCTAGTGGGCCAACTTATCCTTCTTATCTTTCAACTGGTTTTGTCTTTCTTGTCTTGATCCAGGAATTGTTCCCTTGAGTGTGAGCAAGAGAGATACAGTTGATTTTCCATATAGTTTGCAACATAGGGTAACAAAAAATGTGCTTTATGTTATAGATGCCTGAATACTTTTCAAGATGGCAGCATACAAATGTGCTGTATATTCATGACAATTTCTACTAGTACCATATGAATCATGTATCATAATAAATAAATGCAGCTGAGTCACTTCAATTTGGTTGTTATTTGCAGAAAGAATCCAGATTCACCCTTACAAGGTGAGCCCAAAATGTGCTTTATAGTTAAGATACCTGAGTATTTCTTAGATGGTCAACATTTTACATACAAATGGATTGGCCTTCCTCATATGCATGTTTAATTGTCCAGGATTTGCAGATGTAAACATGAAAATGAATCTTTCATTTGGTAGACCGACAAACTGTAACATGCCTGCATAGGTGGCAGCTGAGTGTTTGTGGGTGGACTTGTGGGTAGGCATGTGCAGACACACATGTGAGAACATTCCTGCAAAGTCTCCCTAATTCTACCACTTCCTCTCCTGCAAAAGACAGCAAATCATTAAAACGAGGAGTGGCATGCTGCCCTGGAAATGCATGGAAGACATAGGCGCATTTACCCTGCACTATCTTTAAGAAAAAAGACTTAAAATTCAAAGTCCACAAAAACTGTCATGTCAAAAAATACACTGGACAAAACAATTTGCTGTTAATGTTGTAGGTAGTCCAGTGAAAATAATTTTTGGTTAATCAATAGTTTTGAGGTACTGGTCATTGAATGTATTGCTAAATTCATGATTTGCTATTTATAAAGAACTGATTTTTGGTGATTGCCTTAGTGCTGTGACACATGGCAAATGTGCAGTGATATTTGTTGAAGCAGAGATTGGCTCAGTGTTGTCTTTGCAGACAGTCCCTAGCTGGCGGTTTTGGACCACTACGTGCGAGCATGTGCATAAGGCTTGAGGCAGGACCCAACTTGACCCTCGGGCGTTCTCGGCCCTGGTGGTCTGAGGACCCTTGGTGCTACAGGACTTGTTTTCAGAATGGTGGGTCACAAAGTACAGCCCAGTAGTTTAAACCTCTGAAAATAATAACAGCCACCATGAGCATCCCTACTCCAATCTGTGGCTGAGAAATAAATCCTAGCTGAAGAGAAGTAGAATTTCATTTTTTCTGGCCAGGTTTCTTTGTTCAGTTTTGATTTTCCTGGACAAATTTGTTAGAATTTTAAACAATCATTCAAAAGGAGAAAATTGGAACATATGTTAACCAGCGGTCATATACCTTGTTTAACAGAGCATAAGACTAAATACAGAGGAGATGCGAAACATATTTGAAAATGAAGTTTCAGTTCTAAGAGATTTTCTGCTCTATTGGTTGAGACAAAGTGAATGTGTGTGAAATACTGAGTTGGAAATGGCCGCTGTTTTTAGGTTTTAAATGTCGTCATTGTCTTCCTCCCTCCTTTCTGACTTTAGCTTTCATCTTAGGATGCAGGAGAACCAGAACTCTGCCCTGGCCCACCGCCTTCATCTGTGTGGTGTTGGTGGCACATGATGTCCGTCATTTGGCCCCTGGCCTACAAGAGCTCACCTTGTTGAAGCGCTAGGCATTTCAGCAGGCCCTGTTTTGTGCAGGTTAAGGAAAGGGAATTAAAAGGAATCCTCTTATAAAATCACTGCTCAATAATTTAACAGCGTCAAGCAAGTGCATTAAAACAAAACCTGTTTTATGCTGGCATGGAACTTGGCCTCAGTACGTCTGGGTTCTGCTGTGGGCTCTGGCATATATTAGCTGTGTGACTGTGGGTGAGTCACTTCACTTCATGGAGGCTCGGTTTCCTCGTCTGTAGGTACGACAATTACTAACACCTGCTTCGGCTTCAGTCCGCATCCCTGCAGTGAAACCAGTGACAGACGAGACTGTAATGAAGGGTCTCCTCTCAGAGATGTGGGCAGGGTTACAGGAACTGACAAGGAATGGTGCAGCTTCCTGGGACCAGCAAGAGCAGGAAGCCTGTCTATCCCTGGGCCAAAGGGGTAGGGAGAGGGCACTGTGAGCGGGGAGAACTGTGGCTGTGGGGAAGGGGCTGCCCGGCAGGAGCTATGGACATAAGTAGACAAATACAGCCCCTTCCAAATTCTGGCCTGGTAGGGATAGAGCCTGGGGGGCCAGTACTTTGAACCTGTGATGTATCAGAATGTGTTATGTACATCTCTTCCCAATTCCATGTTCAGTGATGTCAGTAGCTTGAAATCCACCATGGTGGAAGTATTTATGCATGGAAATTGGCAGATGCCACTACAAATCAGGCTGCGTTTCCTCTGGAGAGCTGGTTGTGAACCATTTATGAGCACAACACTGTCTATCTCCTTCTGCCCTTCTGATTCCCACTGCTATTTCCTATGGGATGAATCCAACCAGAGCCAAAGCATGGGCTGGGCGCAGTGGCTCACGCCTGTAATCCCAGCACTGTGGGAAGCCGAGATGGGGGCGCATCACCTGAGGTCAGGAGTTCGAGACCAGCCTGGCCAACATGGTGAAACCCTGTCTCTACTAAAAATACAAAAATTAGCCAGGTGTGGTGGTTGGTGCCTGTAATCCCAGCCACTTGGGAGGCTTAGGCAGGAGAATCGCTTGAACCCAGGAGGCGGAGGTTGCAGTGAGCTGAGACCGTGTCATTGCACTCCAGCCTGGGCATCAAGAGTGAAACTCTGTCTCAAAAAATAATAATAATAAATTCAAAAGCAAAAAGAGCCAAAGCATAGGGGAATAGGGGATACAGCCTTTACAGCTTAGACTCCAGACTGCAGAACAGGGAATAGATGGAGAATGACTGGGAGAGGGGTACACACAAAAGAAAGATAACCAGCACACGTCTTAGGGTTGTCGTGAAAGTTATATAAAACAATGAATATAAAAGTACTTAGTAAACATTGACGTGCCTTTCATGTGTTCTTCCTTAGTTTTGCAAAGTACGTTAGAGTTTGCAGAGTATTTATAAGGTGCTATGTGAGCACAATGCTGAGAAGTAGACAGCACTGTGCATCGTCTTCTGCACCCTCCCCCTGCCCTGGCCAGGCTAATTGGAATGAAGTTAGGCTTATTCTTGTTAGAATTTGGGGAATTAAATGATCAAATTAAAGATAAGAGAACACCCGCTGGGGTGGCAGAACCTTCAGGCTGTCCTTTGATTTTGCTTCTCTGTCTCTTCCATGGTAATTAAACTTTCGGCTGGGCAATCATCCCACCAGGACAATGCCTACTTTGCAGCTCCCTTTACAGTGAGGCCTGACTATGTGGTTGAAGTCCTGGCCCACGAGAGGAAGTGTTGTATGGCAGCTGCCAGGAAACTTCCTTAGGAGGAAGCAGCTGAGCCAACTGGGGTTGGCCCAATATGATCCATGGGGACACGCCCTTTCCCCTCTACTTCCCTTTCTGCATTCTGCTGCCTGGAACGCAGATGCCATCTGGGGCCAAGTGATGACAGCTGCCCCCTGGAGCTGGTGAGTGGTGGTAGGTGGGAGGGAGCCTCATCTCTGAGAATCCTGAACAGCAGAGCCACCATATCGAGCCTGGACTACTTCCCTCTGGACTTCACTACGCAGAGAGAATAAATGTCTATCATGTTTAAGCCCCTGTTAGTTCGGGTTTCCTGTCCCAGTCAAATTTGTTCGTAATCAATATAGTGCGTCTTGGCAAGGCTGTGAGACGACAGAACTCCCTTGCACTGCTGCTGCTGGGAGTATTTCTTTACACCTGGGCTTTGGAGAGCAGTGGGCAATGCCTGGTAAAGGTGAAAAATAGTGTCTGTTGCACTGGGTTTGTCAGCAGGTAGCAGAAATCCTGGAAGGGTTTACTCCACACACAACAGTATTGCCTGGTACAGCAGCTCTGCAACACCAAAAGAGGTGGCCCACCACCTTTTCCTCCTCTCCTTACCATGTGGCTTTTGGCATCATAGTGCAAGAGGACCTGTGCATCTCCGGTGTCACATCTAAGGGCCACCTCTGGCCCTTCAGTGCTGGCAGTGGATAAGGTCCTCTATCACTACTACAGCAACTCTCCTTGGAAAACCTAGGAGGGTGACTGGAGGAGGAAAGGGTGGAGGACACAATTTCTGAGTGAGAGAGCAGCTGGACAGGTTGTCCTGCATGTGTTTACTCTCGTATTCACACGGAGTAGCCAAGAGAATTGGCAAGACACAACATTAAAAAAAAAAAGAAAGAAAGAAAAGCAGAAAACACCTTACTGAGTAGAAGGGAGGCAGGACGTGTGTGTCCAGGCCCCGAGAGAAACGCCAGATTTCACGAGCAGCCTTTGCAGCCCTGGGGATGCCAGGTGGCCCTTGGCAAGGCTCATGAGCTCTGGAGCTGGCCCATGACCTTGCTGGGACTTGTGGCATCCCATCCATTGCTGTATGTCCCTTGTTTCCTATTTGTAAATGTTGAAGGTTGTCGTGGAGAAAAAATAAAAACAGGTGAATGTTTAGTTTAGCACAGCACTTGGCATATAATAATTATTCATGAGTGTTACTTCCTCATGGTCTCAATGCTGTGCCAGGCAGGTAAGAGTGGCTGTGAGTGAGTCCTGAGGTTGGGTCCGAGCTGAGACACAGAGGCTGCCACAGAAGGAGATGGTAGGCAGCGTGGGTCCTGGGTGCAGCAGTGCCACTGATGCAGACAAGGTCACCCCCAGCCTGGGACTCAACTTACTTCTCTGAAAACTAACAGGTTGGAACATACAGTTGCCAGGGGGACATGCAACTCAAACATTATTGGTTCAAAAATTGAGAGGGTACAAAATGTTTGCCATTACCCCCAAATCATCTTGTCCTTACCTGTCTGAGCTGACCACAGGGCTTCCTCAGCTGGGACCTGGTGGCTCTTTGCCTCTTACCCTGGGGAGTCACAGCTGCAAGGAACCAGTGGCAAGAATCCTCCGAGGGTTTAGAAGACTCCTTTGCCCATTGTGATGGGTGAGTTCCCATTCCATGACAACAATGGGCACCCGCACCTTCCCCTCCTGGAAGAGGCTGAGAAGTAAAGATCAGGAACAAGGAGGAGGAGGAGCTTCCCAGACGTGTAGAGCTTATGAAGTTTAGGAAGCAGCTTCCCAGACATGTAGAGCTTATGGAGAGGTGAGGGAGCCAATCTCAGCCACATTCAGCTTCCTGGAGAGAATGACCAAAGGGCGACGCTTCAACCCACCTTCAGACAAGGATGGGAGATGGGTAAGGAAGATGGTGGCCCCTGGTGCCTTTCTCATGCCACGTGGGTGTGGTCAACAGTCTGAGGAGTTCCAATCCTGCTTCTACTATTACTGAAGCATGACCTTTGACAAATCACTTCACTTTACTCAACCTCAGTTTCTTCATCTGTGACATGGGAATCCTCTAACACTCTTGCAAAGATTGAATGAAATAATGCATGTAAAATGCTCAGCACACTGGAACCTCGTGAATGTCCACTAAGCAGTCATTCCTGCTCTACTTTTTCTTTCTTCCTTAACATCTATTTTCTAACATACTACAGAACTTATTCTCTTATCTATGTTATTTTTCTCCCCTTGCTAGAATATAAGCTCCATGGAGCTGGGATTTTTGTCTATTTTATTCACTGATGTATCCCCAGTGCCTAGAACAGGATCTGGAGCATAGAAGGCACTCAATACATATGTGTTGAAGTAATTATATTATACTAGAAACCTCTAAACAAATTCTTGTTGGCTCCCAATCCAATTCCTTTAGCCCCTCCGGCCTATGAAATGAGAAGAGTCCAGGAATGCATCATTTACTCATCTTCATCACTTGAAAACTTTCCCTTTCCAGCTTCACGCTCTCCCCCAACTCTTGCTCTTCTGATGTCACTTACAGAGCCTGTGGGATTTTTCACTCTTCTACCATCTTCAGGAAACATTTGGGTCACTCCTAAGTGTGAGGTCTTAGCCTTGTCGGCCAAGCACTTCTCTCCTTTGCTCTTCAACATGTATATTTCATGGCCGACAAGCCTCAAGCCTTTCCCATTTCTGATTTCTACAATTCATTCACAAAAAGAATGTTAAGGGGAAATCACAGCAGTAGACTCGCAATGAGAAACATAATCAGAGAAAAACCTGACGTCGACTTCTTTTAGGGTAGCAACAGGTAAAAAATTGTTAAAATTTTAATTTGTTTCAAAGAAAAACAGAAAACACTTCAGCAAATTTGGGTCTGAAGGCTTTAAAAAACTGATCTACCCACTTGGATACAACCTTGGCTAAGCAGCTTAGTCTTTCTAAGTCTCAGTTTCTTTGTCTGTAAAATGGGAGCATAATGTACCAAGGGTAGAAGACCATGGTGGGGGATTCACGACTCATTAACAAGTGCTCAGTACAATGAGTGAGCACATAGAAACCACTTAACATATATACACTTTGTATGTATGTGTACATATACGTGTATACACACAAATGTATACCTTGTTTCATTCCACAAAAATTTAAAGCATGGAAAATGTACACAATAAAATAATACAGTATAAATCAAATAGAAAGTTATAACTAGTTTTATAAATACTTTAGAAAGAGAAGAGGCTGAGTCTGAGAACACATATAACATAGACATAATATTAGGTATATTTCCAGGATTATATGGTAGATATTTGGGCACCACATTTGACTCTGAGTTCCCTGGCAGCCAAAGTAAAATGAGAGATAATGTCAACTCCATAAAGCTAAGTTCCCATGAAAAGAAAAATGTAAGTTGCTCAGATTAAGTAGCTTTCCCTCTAGCTATTACCTATGTATCAGTTACAATTGTTAGCCTGAATTTTATAGAAGGCTGACTAAAGTGACTACAGTGTCTTAACCAAATAGGGATTTATATTTCTTAAGTAACAATGAAACCTAGAAGTTGGCCATCCCAGGCTAGTACAGCTGCTCAAGGGAGTCATCAGCAGCTCCCTTTTCAGCATTCTGTTTTGCCATCCTTAGTGTGGGATGACTCCAGCTCCAAACAGTGAATCCACAACTCAGGCAGGGAAATAAGAGGAAGGTCAAAGGACAAAAAGATGGAAGGCGCCTGTCACCTAAGTCTGCCCCTTTTTATCAGGAAAACAATACTTTCCTGCCTTCCCTGGAGCCTGCTCCCTAGACCTCTGCTTCCATCTCACTGTGTCACATGGCCAATTTAGCTAAAAGGGTGTCTGAGGAGGTGTTTTTTTTAACCAACCACATGGCTGCTGTGAATGAAGAACCTGAATTCTGTGGTAAGGGGGAAAGCGAGAATCAACATTTCATAGGAAGAAATTTTATTTTATCCTTCTATCAAGACCCCAGAAACGTAGCCCAGTCCCTGGGTTTTAGGGAGAAAGGCACTGTTCCCCAAAGCTTGGCTTGGGCCTTTGGCAAAAATCCTTTCTGCTGTCAGCACCTAAGAGCATAAAAAGAATAGTGCTGATCATGAAGTTTCCCAAAGTAACTTGTAGACGAGGAGGGAAAAATTAAAGAAATTATTGGCTTTGAGTCAGCTGCAGCCCATTTGGGAGGACCGTAATTGCCACATTAGAGGTGACAGTCATTTTGCAGTTGACCTTGCTGGTTGCAATCTAGCTATTGCCAGGTAGGAAAGACTTTTTCCACACACTTGCCCCTTCCTATTTAATATTTCAGTCATTGAGTGACTGAACGAAGCAAAAATTTCACCGCCAACTTGTTAAAAAGCTGTATTTCACGGTTACAATATCTAACAGAAGGGTTTATTTCACAGCTATCATGTTATAGCCATTAAATATATATTTTAAAAGAGCGAAATTAAAACGCTAGAGCCATTTTTTACAGTGATTTAGTCTACAGACCTGCTGAATACAAATGAACCCAACTCAGTTGTCATTTAACTGGTGAGAGACATCATTCTTGATGTTAGAACAGCCTCCCCCAACCCCCAGCCTGATTTTCCACAACTTCCGAGAGGGAAGTGTTGACTCAGTCAGACTGGAGGAAGGGTGAAGGAAAAGGTTCAGAACCCGAAGACCCTTTGTATTATTTATATTTACCTCTAAAAATATTTCTTTGGAAAACATTTTAAAAATAGAAGATAGAATGAATGAGAAAGATATAGGTTGACTTTGAACACATTTCTAGAATATATTAAGAGAGGAAAGCAAGGTGCAAAGCAGTATGTATGATATAATCTGATTTTTGTAAAGCAGTGTAAGTCTTCTCACAGGCATAGGTGTTTGTATGTGATCATATGAGTGCTTGGTTGCTAATATTGTTATCTGGGGTTGGGGAGTGCGACAGGAAGCAGAGAAGAAAGCAACCCAAAGCTACCGTAAAATAATAAGGCAGAGGAGGGGCGTCAAGATGGCTGACTAGAAGCATTGCGTGCCCGCCTATCCCACTTAGAAGAACCAAAATAGTGTACAGGCAGTCACACTTCAAATATGTTATCCAAGAGAGAACGCTGGAATTCAACAGAGAAGTGACAGGAAACACCGTACGTGGGGAAAGAGAAAGGAAAAAGGCAGCCTGCCTGGCCGGGATCGGCTGGGAGCCAGGAGTGACTTCCCAACATGGGGAAAGGGTAAGTGAGTAAGTGAGAGACTTCCGGCAGCCCACATGCCCACTGTAGAAATGTGTAACTCTGGCCATGGAGAACTTCTCGACCCTTCTCTCCCTGAAACTAACAGAGAGAGTCTCCCGGAAACTGTGGGATGGAACTCCTCTAGGGAGGAAGGTCATGCTGGGTTCCTTTCTGAGACCCAGGCTGCTATAGCAAGGTGCCATTTTCAAATCTATCTTTTGACAGACTGCACGCTCTCCTGGGCCCCAGAAGCATCTGGACTGAGGCATTATGGAAACTTGGGCTGTTGCTACTGGGACTGAGGAGTGAGCTGAGAGCACTTCCACAGTTGAGGCTAAGAAGCAACTGAGGCACGGGCTGCAGCTGCAGCTGCTGGTGCTGGGTAGTGAGCACTGCCAGGAGACTGGGGTGTGAGCGAGGCACAAATTGACACTGGAACTAAGTTGTCAGCTTGGCGGGGGCGGGGGGGGTGCTCCTGTAGCCAGAGCCAAGGGGAGCAAGCTAGACATGGGCTACTGCTGCCAAGGTTGGAGGGCAAACCCTGGCAGGACTGGAGCATGAGAGGGATGTGTGTTCCCCATGCACCAGCCCAGACTGTGGCCACCAAAGACAACCCCTCCCTCCAGTGACAGGGCCTCAGCACAGCTGCTACCACCTCTCAGCTGAGCACTCCACCTGGGGCCTGCTCCTGCTCACGATGGCTGG